>NC_000016.10:19698607-20001637 GCF_000001405.40 Homo sapiens
CACGCGAGTTGTATAAAGCACAGAGCAGAATCCCTGGCACACTCTTAAGGGCTCTTACACGCATTCACTGTCAGGGAGCAGACATGAGACTCTTGGCAGCACTGATGTTGTGCAGATGTGGGATCTGCCGTGGCCCCATGGGCTTCCTGAACAGCAGGTACCCACCTGTTGATGTGGCTTTTCCAGGGGCCTTCGTTTACCTTGGGGAAGTTGTATCCTCTCTCCTGGGCCTGGTGTTGCATTCTGGAGATTTATTTTCCCTTTTGTCTTTATCACTCAAAGCTGGAGTTCAGGTTCGGTCTGCCGTGACACTGTGGTTAGACTTTTTTTGGCAAGATACCTCTCACATCAGATGATTGAGCAAGAAAGGAAAGATCTGATGTCAGCGTGTAAAGGCTGGATATGGGCACCAAGGATTGGGGAGCTCAGTTCGGGAGATGTGTTTTGGTCTTTATTACCGGCAGCCCAGGGGCAGGAATACTGACTGCAGCTTTGGGTAGTTTGAGGACACATCTGAAAGAGGTGAGCTGAAGCCTTTCAGTTTTCAGCTGTACTTGCATTAAAGCAAGGCTTGTCCCTGCTGGGGTACCCTTCATTCCTCGACCTCACTGACTGGTGAGTTTCTTCCATTTCATGAGTAATGACCATCTGTGGGCACAGAGCTTCGTCATCTTACTGAATCCCCGCCCTTTGCAGGGGTGACCTTACTGTCACTTACAGATGAAGCAGCTGGGACTTTGGGAGGTTCAGCAGCTTGCCCTACAGCAAATACATGGCAGAGCTGGCACTGGAACTCAGGCATGACCTACCCCAGAGTCAGCACTGTCCACAGCATCTCTGCGGGGCACGGCCTGAGCCCCAGTGCAAGGCAGTAACCTCCCTTTTCTGTTTCAGGCCCTGAAGCGCCAGAGCTCGTTGGGCCTTTCCTTCTTTAACAGCATCTTGGCCCATGGGGACCTACGCAACAACAAGCTCAACCAGCTCTCCGTCAACCTGTGGCACCTGGCACAGAGGCACGGCTGTGCAGACACCAGGACCATGGTGAGGCGCTCGGAGGGCCCCGTGGTATAAGCCCACTGGCCAGTGCACAACCACCCTCAACACAGCATTGTGGCCTGGACATCAGACAGACAACCCCATACTCCCCTTTTAGAAAAGCACTTGGTCCATTTCTACTGGATCACTTCCTAGCAGTAAAAAGCAGAGCTGGCCAGGTGTGGCAGCTCATGCCTATAATCCCAGCACTTTGGGAGGCTGAGACAGGAGGATCGCTTGAGGCTAAGGGTTTGACACCAGCCTGGGCAACATAGTGAGACCAGGTCTCTACAAAAAATAAAAAATTAGCCGGCCATGGTGGTGCACATGTGTAGTCCCAGCTACTCGGGAGGCTGAAGAGGGAGGATGGCTTGAGCCCAGGAGTTCGAGGCTGCAGTGAGCTATGATCACACCGCTGCACTCCAGCCTGGGTGATAGAGCAGGACCTTGTCTCCAAAACAAAGAACAAAAGCATAGCCTTAAAAGTCTATTCCCTCTGAATAGGAACCATACATACAAAACATCAGTCATTTCTGGTCACGTCCAAATCTGATTTTTAGGGCAAGCTGCAATCCAAGAAGTTGAAGACTTTGATTTCTTCCCTCCTCTCATCCCTCAAAAAACTCACTCTTCTCTGCTAAGAAATCTAAGCTCACATAATGGCTGATTCATTAGAGCCTTGGGCTCCAAGGATAATGAACCAGAAAGGAGATGGATCTTTCTTTTTCCTCATAGGTGAAAACGCTAGAATACATCAAGAAGCAAAGCAAACAACCAGACATGACTCATCTGACGGAGCTGGCCCTCAGACTCCCTCTGCAAACAAGGACCTGACCCCCGGGCCCATCCCCAGGCTCAGGGACTCTGGTGCCAAATCCAGAAAGATCTGCTCTGCTGCCCTGAACTCTTACGGCAATTTAGGTTTCTCATTTTTCTTTTCTTTTTACATATGTACAAATTGTTTTAAGCTTTGGCCTCTATCCAGGTTATTCTGACAATGAAGAAATGGGAGTTGTCAGAGCATTAAAATGCAATCTTCACTAAGAAGCAGTCTCTGTGTTGTCTTTGCACAAGTGGCCTTCGGTCTACTCAGCCCGATCTGATGGGCCTTTTTAGCAAGAGAGAAACAAGAATGCAAGTAACATCTTTCTTCTCTGGAAGGTGTTTGTTTTTTCATAGTTTAGAAATAAGGACTTTAAAAGTGGACTGCTTTTCAAAGTGCCACTGTTCCAGACCCATTCCATTCCAGACTTTGTACCTTAAAGTTAGAGCACACCCAAAGTCTGGAACTGTGTTACCTGAACCCCTATGGAGGATTTATAAAAGGCAGAAATAGCACTCCATTAACTCTTTTTCCTATCAAAAGCAGCTCTTGATTGGACTTAGAATCTGTGTTGGTGGATCAAAGGAGAAAGCGAGGTCAAATTTGAGATTCTCTGTGGCTTCAGTATACAGTAACTGAATAAATGTCCTGAAGGAGCATTTATGTTCATGACTGTTCATTTAATTACTTCTGACTGTCTTCCTCCAGAAGAGAAAGACCGTGTCTAAATATATTATCCTGGTTTGTTTTGCAGCCACAATTCTAAACAGCATGTGATTCTGTCTGCTTTTCTTCCAACAGTTTGGTGGAACCTGATTCTTCTATTACGGCTGGTGAGCTTGCACCGACATTTCATTTTGAATCAGTAAAAACATTCATACTGATGGGTGATTCATCATCTCAGCCACTGCCATTATGAAAATGCATCCACACTGTGGATTAAAAATGCCCCAAACTATTGTGCTTCTACAAGATCCACACTGGAACTGGACATAGATTACATTTCATCTTTACTCTGAGAAATACAAGACTACAGTTGAACACTCAGTTAACCTCAGACAGTAAAAGGGGCTAAAAAATTTTTTTAAATCAATTTATTGGCCGGGCACGGTGATTCACGCCTGTAATCCCAGCACTTTGGGAGGCTGAGGCAGGCAGATCACCTGAGGTCAGGAATTCGAGACCAGCCTGGCCAACATGGTGAAACCCCGTCTCTACTAACAATACAAAAATTAGCCAGGCGTGGTGGCACACACCTGTAATCCCAGCTACTTGGGAGGCTGAGGCAGGAGAATCGCTTGAACCCAGGAGGCGGAGGTTGCAGTGAGCCGAGATTGCGTCACTGCACTCCAGCCTGAGTGACAAGAGCAAAATATCATCTCATCTCAAAAAAAATTAAAGGACAGCAGACACTAATGAATGCTTCTTTCCCTCCCCTCTACTAAATCATACAGAAACTCAGACAGCATTGTGGGGTGGCTCAGATACTCCCAAGTGGCCTTTATTTCACAAAATTCTGTTTTTTTTTCTTTTTTTTGAGACAGTTTCACTCTTGTTGCCCAGGCTGGAGTACAATGGCGTGATCTCGGCTCACCCCAACCTCCGCCTCCCGAGTCTAAGCAATTCTCCTGCCTCAGCCTCCTGAGTAGCTGGGATAACAGGAGTGCGCCACCACACCCAGCTAATTTTGTATTTTTAGTAGAGATGGGGTTTCTCCATGTTGGTCAGGCTGGTCTAGAACTCCTGACCTCAGGTGATCCGCCGCCTCGGCCTCCCAAAGTGCTGGGATTACAGGCGTAAGCCACCGCACCTGGCCCACAGAAGTATTTTCATTAAAATTATTTTATCTACTTTTACTGTGTGATGCTATAAAATGAAAAACAATTGGCAAATTCACAAATTATGTTCTTCAAGTCATTTCTTCTCCTCTGAGGCTGAACGTGGTGGGCAGCATTAGTTCCCAAGCCTAGGCCAGTGAATTCTTACCGCTCTCACATTACACCTGAACTTGGACTTTCACATGAGGTCGGGCACCCATTATATCAAAGGTGCTTCTGAATCCTGTCATGTGGCCCAGGCAGAGGCTTAGATTTTATATGTCCTTGTGTGTGCAGTTTCCCCCAGCCCTTTACTGAATCAATAAGCCGGTCTCTGAAAACACTGGTCTATGTGAGATGAAGTCTATCATTAGCAAGGATGGAGCAATAAGATGTCAGCCAGAATTGTAGAAAATAAAAATGATGGGGCCTGGGTGCGGTGGCTCATGCCTGTAATACCAACACTTTGGGAGGCTGAGGTAGGTGGATCATGAGGCCAAGAGATCAAGACCATCCTGGCCAACATGGTGAAACTCCATCTCTACTAAAAATACAAAAAAAAATTAGCTGGGTGTGGTGGTGCTCACCTGTAATCCCAGCTTCTCAGGAGGCTGAGGCAGGAGAATCGCTTGAACCCTGGAGGTGGAGGTTGCAGTGAGCTGAGATCACGCCTCTGCACTCCAGCCTGGGCGTGGAGTGAGAGTGAGACTGTCTCAAAAAAAAAAAAAGAAAGAAAAACAAAACCATGGCAACTTCCACATGAGACTTACTTACATTAGGTCTTCTATTGTTACTTTAACAAATTGCCACAATTGTAGCGGCTTAAAACATAATGTTGTCATCTGACGGTTCTATAGGTCTTAAGTCCGCCTGGTCTCACTGAGCTAAAATTAAGGCATCAGCAGGGCTACGCTCCTTCTGGGAGGCTCTAGGGGAGAATCTACTTCCTTGCCTTTTCCAGCTTCTAGACAGCACACACATTCCTTGGCTTCTGACCCTTCCCTTCCCATCTTCAAAACCAGCAGTGTCTAGTCAAGTCTTTCTTAAGTCTCTTTGATGTGGACTCTTTTTTGCCTTCCTCTTCCACATTTAGGGATCTTTGTGATTCCTCCGGCCCACCCAGAAACACGGGATCCTCTTCCTGTTTTAAGGTCAGCTGATTAGCAAACTTAATTCCCTTTTGTTTCGTAACCTAACAAATACACAGGTTCTGAGGAGATGTGGTAGGAAGGGGTGTTATTCTGCCAACTTCTTTTGTGAGGACTGTGTCTATTTGGCAAATTTTTTTTTTTTTTTGGAATGGGGTCTTGCTCTGTCACCCAGGCTGGAACACAGTGGTGCAATCATGGCTCACTGCAGCCGTGATGGAGGGTGGTGCTCAAACCAATGTTAATTTACAAAGGATGGGAGCTCAGAGTGATTCTCCCAAGACAAGACTGCCAGAGGGTGGGGTCCTGCTCATCTGAGAGATGGTGATCTGCACTGGCAGAAAGCAAAAGGACAAGATTAAGTCCATTCTGAAGACACCCAGCATTGTGGTGTCTTGGCTGCCCAACCTCCACTGGTGAGACGTAAAGTTCTTATGTATATAGAAAAGCAATAAAGCTCCCCCTGTGCAAATGGAACTCCTAAGCCAGTGGTGATGTTGAGTTAGAAAGTCACAGCCTATTACAGACAGAATTTACACCAGGGGCAAGGCCTGACCATCACACCCTCATGAGAGCTACCAGTCACCAGGGCTTGGATGGGAGCAACACAGCGGACATATGATCACCTCTCCACAATCACCCAAAGACAGTTTTTTTTTGTTTGTTTTTGAGACAGAGTCTCATTCTGTTGCCCGGGGCTAGAGTGTGCAGTGGCACCATCCCAGCTCACTACAACCTCCACCTCCCGGGTTCAAGCGATTCTCCTGTCAGCCTCCTGAGTAGCCGGGATTACAAGCCCGTGACACCACACCCACCCAGCTAATTTTTGTATTTTTAGTAGAGACGGGGTTTCACCATGTTGGTCAGGCTGGTCTCGAACTCTTGACCTCGTGATCCGCCCACCTTGGCCTCCCAAAGTGCTGGGATTACAGGCGTGAGTCACCGCACCTGGCAGAGCACAACCTTTTTAACAGAGCTAAGGCAGGCCAACGTCAGGGTGACCTCTTGGCAAGATAAAAACTATGAGTAGTAAACGGCCGATTCCAGCTACTCAGGAGACTGAGGCACAAGAATCGCTTGAACCCAGGAAGCAGAGGTTACAATGAGCCGAGATCACGCCACCACACTCCAGCCTGCGCGACCGTGAGACTCCATCTCAAAAAAAAAGAAACGAACGGCTGGTTCCTGTTTACACCAGGCACATTCCTGTAGTGTTGCTCAAGGTCAGGAGGGATTTGTTTCTCCATCAAAGGAGGAGGTGCCCAGAAGGCACTCACTCAAATCCAGAACACTGCCTCTTGGGCTTTCCACGGCCTCTCCCATTATGTATCTCAAGGTTGAATCCAGGAAAGAAAGGCAGGACAAGTTCACGTCCTGAGGGAAGTGGCCCAAGTAGGTCCTTGTAGCACATACTTGTCCAACTATTGACCTGGCCAATGCTTGCGGATCAGGGTTCAGAGCCAGGGAAACTGCCTGAAGTGCCTGCCTCACCTCTGCCCAATGGGCAGCTGTGGACACCATGGCCACTTCACCAGCATCCACTCTTCTTGACTGAAGGGAATCACCAGCCTTCCCATGACAGGGGCGGGTGCAGCTATGGGCAGATGACTCATTGCCCAGCAATGGAGGCTTCTGGAAGTTTCCTTGAGACACAAAAAGGCTTTTCTTCCTCTGGAATGTTCTAGGGTCTTGATATGCTGCCTGGAACTGTTACTGCCATCTTTGTACTAGCCTTGATGAAGCCAACACTGGAGATGATGGAGAGAATGCTTCCTTGGCGAGCTGTTGAACCAGGCCCTAATCAGGCCTTCCTGCCACGTGAGACTGAACTTTCTGGCCATCGAGGCCTGCCTGGGCTGGGATGTCTGTAGGAGGCATGTTCAGGCCAAACGATCGTGAAAATGTCCCAGTCAGAACCTGTATTTTGGGATGCAAAAAGCTAGGTGAGTGGAAAGAAGGTGGTCACAGATGGTCACATGCGACTTGGGCCACTGGACCTGGAGCTCTTTGAGGCTTGCTGTAGAGTCCAGGCTTGGAAACGCTGTCCCCACAGCCGATGAGGCAACTTCCCGTGTCATCTCCACACGTTCATCTCCTCCTGGCATTCAATATCCACCTACAGAAGTCACCTGGGATTCTCTTCCTTGTGATAAAAAAGAATCTCATCAGACACATCCCTGGGGCTGGGCACAGTGGCTCACACCTGTGATCCCAGCTCTTGGGGGCTGAGGCAGGAGCATGAGTTGAGTCCAGGAGTTTGGGACTAGCCTGGACAATATAGTGAGACCCCATCTCTACAAAAAATTTTAAACACTAGCTGGTTGTTGTGGTGCACACCCACAGTCCCAGCTACTTGGGAGGCTGAGGTGGGAGGATCACTTAAGCTGGATAGGTAGTGGTTGCAACAAGCCGTGATATGCCACTACACTCCAGCCTGGGTGACAGAGTGAGAGCCTATCTCAAAACACACACACACGTCCCTGGGATCTGCCATTGATTCATTTGCGGGACTAACCACTCTTCCTAAAATGCCTTGTTCAGAATCCAGTCAAAGCACAAAAATCCTACCTCAGCACTTAGGGCCGAAGGGACACCAGTGGAAAAGGCAGGACTGGTTTAGAGGCACATTTCCCAGCAGCAGCAGCTCAGTCACATGTGTTTGGTAACAACTCAGACACCTCTCTGCCTACAGCTGCTCTATGACAGGGGAAAGGAAAAGGAAGGAAAAGGAGTTTGCGATTCTCCGTTCCTCATTCACTCCACTTTTTATCAGAGATGCAGACTTGTCATAAAACTTTTTCCTCCATCTAAAGACATTTCAATCCCCAACGAGGATTCTGGTGGAAATTCCCTAAAGGGGACATTCAGAGTGGCGAATAGTGAACTTAGGGCTTCGGGTACAAAAGTACAACACCCTGCACTTAGTGGCTGGGTGACCCCAGGCAATTTTATTACTTTATCCCTGAACCTCAGTTGCCTCATCTATAAGATGGGGCTAATAATAGCACCCATTTCATAATTATGAAGATTAAATACATTAAGGAAAACACTAGTATGTCCCTAGTACCTGCTAAACACTCAACAAAAGTTAACTGTACATACTGATGTCTCAAACAGGGACGGAATGTTTAACACAGAAAACAGGAGGTTTTAGCACTCACTCGTTCTCCTGGCTCCCGAAATATGAGCTGCCCTGCCCCAGTTCATCCAAGCCCATCAATATAGTTGTCCTCGTCCTTAATCTCCACAGGTGTTCAATGTGAGCCAACTGTCAGATGGCTTTCATTTGCACAACTGAATAAACCATTTATGCCTAGTGTTCCATTACTGGAACGCTAAGCTTATGGGAGTTATTTATATCTTACTGCTCGAGGTCCTCACCAAGATCTGATTTTTTCACAAAAAAAATTTGTAATCTCCAGCATAAATGGAATAATCAAAGCAATTGTGGCAGTTTTGGGGGGACAAAACTCTAGAGTTTAATCTTCCAGCTTGACTGACTTGGAAGCGTTCCTGTCAATGTAAAAGATCTTGTTGGGGGCGGTGGAGAAGCCGAGGCCGGCTCCCCGGCTGTACTTCCAGCTCATGGCCCGGTCGTAGTCCCGCTGCAGATTCTGCTGCAGGCTGTCAGCCGCCTTCTTGCCGAGGGCCATGTTGGGCCTTGCAATCGTGCTGGCGGGGCGGCTGAACGAAGGGGACAGGTTTTTGAAGCCACCCATAAGTCTGAGAAATTTCAGTTTTTGGTCCTCGTTCTCAAAACCAGCAGTATCCCACTGGCCAAACTGGGTTCCCTGTGAGGAGAGGAAAAAGGTGGCTATTTTCCTTGAGTTCAAAGCCCTTTCCTTCCCTTGACCCCCACCCTCATCAGGGAGGGCCCAGCAGATTAGATGGCTGCTGTGTACCAGGCACAGTGCTAATAAGCTCAACAACGGATTATTCCGTTAATCCTAAAGACAGCCCTATGAGAAACACTGTTGTTATTCCCATTGCACAGAGGAGAAAATAGAGGTCTGCAGCTTAGCTGGAGACAGAAACCTAACTAGTGACCCCCAGAATTCCAGCCCAGGTCCAGCCAACACCACTGCCCACCTCTGCACAGAGCTGCCTTTCTGCCTTCCTCCTCCTTTCCTAACTCATGGCACACGGCACAGTGTGCCTCACTTCACAACAGCGCACTCCCCCCACCACCCTACACTAAGCATTTCCCCCCACCTCCCTACACAGTGCACCTCCCCTCCCCCACCTCCCTACACAGCACACTCCCCCACCACTCTACAGAGCACACTCCCCCCACGACCCTACACAGAGCACTCCCCCCACCTCCCTACACGGCGCACATGGCGCACCTCCTCCCACCACGCTACACAGCACACTCTCCCCCTACCATCCTACAAAGCGCACCTCCCCTAACCACGCTACACAGTGCACTCCCCCCACCACCCTACACATCGCACTCCCCCCACCTCCCTACACAGCACACTCCCCCACCTCCCTACATAGCACTTCCCCCACTCCCTATACAGCGCACCTCCCCCCACCTCCCTACACAGCGCACCTCACCCCACCATGCATCTCACAAGACAGCACACCTCCCCCACCTCCCCACAGGGCGCACCTCCCCTGCAACACAGGGCACCCCACAGCCCAGCAGCCGGGCGCACTCACCCAGCAGCCTAACGTTTGGGTGAATTGGAGGGTGGGAGAGGGCGAGTGGGAATCTGAAGTGTGCTTCTCAGAAGCACTGTTTTATGGCGGGAACGGGTGCGGGCCCACAGGGGTAAAAGGTCACACAGCCAAGTCAGACTGAGCCAAGCCCAAGAACTCGGGGGTCCCCATTCCAGCCAGAGTGCGCTACCACCCATGTGCAAGAAAATGCAGGAGAGCCCTCCAGACCCCCTTCTCCCAGGTCGGTGGGAGAGGAAAGAAACTCACCTCCCAAGAAGACTGTGACTCGGAAGTCAGGCAGCCCCGGGAGGAAGCCTCCCCTGGGTGACCCTGCTCAAGTCCCCTAACCTCTCTAAGCCTTGGTGCCCTCATCTCTAAGGTGGGGTGATAACATCCCCCTCACAGGGCTTCAGTGAGACATACGTCAGATTTGACACCAAAAGCCCAGTGCACGATGCATGGCACACCTCAAGCCCTCAGTGACTGGCCACTCCTCTCCCCCTACCCCAACCAGACTGCTGACATCGACGCTGCCTGGGAACTTCCCGCCCACAAGCCAGAGGCCAGCCCAGCACTTATTTCTGGGTTGGCTTTGGGAAAATAAGAACCAGTTGTCACTACAGCTGCCCTGAGTGAACCGGTGACACATTCTCCCAGCTTCATGGTGGCCCAGATGCAGGAATAATGACAGCTCCCCTGCCCTGCAGTTTCTAGAGTGAGAGGCCATCTATGACCACCCCACATGGGTTTTGGGGAGAGCAGGAGACTGCTAGCTGGTCCTGCGTGAACCAGCACTTCCAACGGCTGCTGCCCACCCAGAGGACCACTTCACCACGTCTCAGTGGCATGGCATGTCCCAGCCCCTGTGCCCCAGGATCACTCTCCTGCCGTCAGGTCCTTCCAGGGACAGCCCCCCGGGACATCGGCTCCGAATCACACTGCCTTTTTTCTTGCCCTCCCTATTCAAGCTGGATGTCCCATCAGCTCGGCTCAGCTCAGCAGGGTGGCATGGAGAGAAAGGGCACCCCAAGGCAGGACCCATAACAAAGCCCCACTCCATACCCCACCAGGCCAGGGTACGAGTCCCATTTTACAGGCTCAGGGGAAGGTACCTGGCCAGAGTCCCACCACTAGACAGTGGCAGAGCCAGTAGTGAAATCAGATCTTTTGATCCGAATCGACTGTTCTTTTCTGAATGCTCTGACGGAGCCTGAAGGCCAGCATCGCTGGTCACCCAGACCTTTCTTCTCGTCTCCCCAAAATCCAATCTATGAACAAGTCCTGCCAGCTGTGCCTCCAAAGTAAATCACAAAGCTGTTTTCTCTCTCTATCCTCTGCCACCATCCTCAGGCTGCGGCCTGCAGGCTGAGCCTTCTACCAGGTCTTCCCGCTTGCCGAGTCAATGCCCTCCAGCCAATCCCACTTAGCCAGATCCCAGGCCAGCTCTCTATCATGGCCGCTGAGGCCGAGGCCTGTGGCCTGTAGCCCTCTCGTCCCTCATTCCAGCCGCAGTGCCGCCTCACTGGCCTTCCCTACAGATCACTCCAGGCCCTTTCCTACCTTAGGGGTCTGCACCGGCCACTGGCCTCACTGAAACGCTCTTCCCCCTGTCTCCTGAGGGCTGGGGCCTCTGCACCCTGAACATCTCTGGACAAGCGCTGCCACCTCCCAGCCCTCGCCCATCTGTTGCAGCCCCTCTCCAGCTCACTGTTCTGTTTCTTTCTCCTGACCGCTACTGCCACCTCAACTGATCTTCCTTTCCTTGTTTGCTAACCATTTCCCTGCCATGCTCACCCCGCTCTGGCCTCTAGACCGTGAGCGCGATGATGGGGATCACATGGGCTTCATCTGCTCCATGTCCAGCACCCAGCACAGAGCCCCCACTGAACTCCGCCAGGGCCCCAGCCTGACAACCTCACACTCTCCAGCCTCATGATCCTCGCACCCTCCTCCCTCCTGAGAGATCTTCTCAGGCCCGGCTTGGACATTTCCCAGTCAGACTGGATCTGAAAACCAGGCCTGAGAGGGGCCGCGACCACTCCCTCCCCTCTGCCTCTTGTCCCTGTTCCTAGCAGCCCTCCAAAGGCATCGTCCACCACTGGCAAGAGCTCGCTGGAATGTGTCCTCAGTGATTAATCCTTAGGACACCCCACCAGTCCAGGGCTGAGACAAAGGTTCAGGCAGCTTATCTCACCGGGCCAGCTCTCTAGGAGGGAGGCAAGCGCCCTTTTCAGAAGGAAGGAAATTAGCTCAGGACAAATTCTGCTGTGGAGGGAGCCTGCTGCAGGCTAGGGCTGCCTCTGGGGCCTGGACATACTTGGTTCTCCTGCTCCACTCCTCATGCTGGAGGCGAGGGGAAGCGTCGGGAGGCCGAGCGTGCCACCTCCTCGCAGAGCCCTAGCCCCAAACTTACCGTCCACTTCCTGGTTTCAGAAGCTTCCGTTTTGCCTGACTCGCGATCGATCTCTTCTTGCAAGGCCTTTCGCCTCACCTGAGCAAGAAGGATGACAGAAGAGGGCCGTCAGACAGAGATCTTCTTTCAAGCTTAAAACCCAGGACAGAGACGGGGCTGGGGGAACGGAACGTGGGAGGAACTAACACAGCTTGACTCTGCTACAAACAATGGGAAGCTGCTATCATAAGTATTCTCTTAGCATCTCAAGGGCTGCGCCCCTTGGCCTACACTGGGCAGGCTCATTTATCCTCTTTAGCCTCTTAAGAATGAATTTTCCTAGAAACTGAGGCTTAAGAGCTTGCAGTGAGCCAAGATCACGCCACGGCACTCCAGCCTGGGGGACAGAGTGAGACTCCGTCTCAAAAAAAAAAAAAAAAAAAAAAAATCCCCAAGGCCAGAAAGTCCACTTCCCACAGGGATGCATTTGCCACGGGATATGGGAACGACAGAAGCGGAAGCTGATTCACAACAAAACTTCTCCTCTAAATGCTCCTGAATTAGCCCAGGGGGTGGCAGCATGTGTCACCTGCCCAGCTGCAGGGTCTTAGGGACATGTCCCCCACATCCTGCAGCAAGTAACAGGGAATGGCCAGTCGGGCCTCTCGGCCATGGCCACGGCAGCCGGAAGGGCCCCCAGCATGAGGATGGGGAAAGCACGCATTCCCGGCCCGGGAGGTGTGCGTTGGCAGCTGGCCCAGTGGCCTCTGGAGTCCCTGGTGCCCCTGAGACCAGGATCACCTAGCCAGCCTGGCAGGCAGCAAGTGAGACTCCAAGGGTGGCAGGAGGCAGCGGGAGGGGCCTGAGGAGGGTCTGGGCTGTACCTGGTCTATGTGCGCCTCATCCATGTTGCCTTTTTTTTCCAACACCACCTCTAAGTCCGTGTCTGTTTCCTGCAGGAGAGGGCAGAGCTGGCTAAGGTTCAAGTTTACAATGAATGGCCTCTGCCTCTGCACCCAGCCAGGGTGAGACCATGACAAAGTCCAGAAAAGACCTCAGACCACGGCATCACCCCCAGCCCTGCCACCTAGAAACATCTCAGTCAGCAAAGCCCTTCCCATCCCTTCTCTTCCACAATTCTCCCGCAAAACAGTAGTACTAAACTATTTGACGGATGAAGAAACTGAGACTCAGACAGGTAAAGTGACTACAAGGTTACCCCACGGCTCAGGGACTGGTGATTCTAACCCACATCTCCTGACCCAGGGCTTGGTGTCCGACCTTTCCCACTACACACGTCACCTACCTCCTACGGTGACACCAAACTACAGGACAGAGGCCAAGGACCACACTAACATGCACCATGCTCTCCCACCCGCCTTGGCCCTGAAGACACCCTCCAACAGCGAGACCTCAGGCCGGCCACTTTCTTGGGGTTCTTCAGTAACGACAAATGCTGACATTTCATGCGTCCTCACTTGAGAAGTGTGCTGTGCCTGGCACCTAGCGTCACGTGTGTGATGACCCTGGAAGCCCTCTCCATTCCCATCACTCATCCAGGCCTGCAACACATGTGCATTTGCTGGACTGGGTGGGCTGCTGTGGGAGGTAGAGTCCCCCCACAGATGTTAAGCAGAGGGAACTCCCTTTCACTGAGCTCCTGGGAGAAGGGATTCTAGAGTCTGATGGCGGCTGGGCCCAAGCCTCTAGGGTTCCTCCCAACTCCAAGTTTCTGAATAAAGGAAGATGCTGGTAAAACCAAGGCTAATGGACTAGGGCAAAGCTGGGAAAATCCTAGCAACCAAAGCTAACACCTGGAGGCCTTTGATATGGAGGCCACCCCTCCACTCCCCTCCCCCTCTAACCGAGCAATGGGTGGTCCAAGGTCACCCAGCAGATTGGTGCAGAGCTCGGAAGAGAATCTGGGGTTTATGCTAATGGAAAGATGGTCATTTCTGGGGCTCTACTAATACCGGCTTCTACAAGAGGTTACATAGATGGTTTCTGAGAAGGGATAAATGCCAACTTCAGAAGCCAGACTAGCTGAGTTTGAATCCCAACTCCACCTCTTGCCAGCTGTGTGGCCTTAGACAAGGTATTAAGTCTCTGGAGCCTCAGTTTCCTGATCTGTCAAATGGGGGTGCCCACAGCAGCTACCTCACCAGACAGGTAGGAGGATGAGATGGGTTGATACAAAGCAGTCTGGGCATACAGTAAACACTCAAGAAATGTCAGCCACCGGCCACACGGAAGGGCCGGACACTGTCTGGAGCAGGACACACACCCTGAAACAAGACACACACCATCGTTTCGGCCCACACGTCCGTGCACACACCTGAGGACAGGAATGGGGGCCTGGCCCTGGAAGGGGCTCAGCTGGGAAAGGCTGTGGGTCTGGGGAGCCACCAGCCCTCCGGCTCACCTCAGGCCTCCCTCTCCCACTCCAGGCAGCCTGGCAGGCTGAAGACAGCAGGTCTCTGTGGTTTTCACCAAGCCATCATCCACTCCTTCCCTCCTGGTAACAGAACTCCAGTTTTCCTCTCAGAAACTGCCTCCCCGCATCTCAGACGGTGTGGTTTAGTTAGGACTGATACCCGCCCTGTCCTTCACCTCAAGTTTTTTTTTTTTGAGACAGTCCCGCTCTGTCACCCAGGCTGGAGTGCAGTGGCATGTCGGCCCACTGCAACCTCCACCTCCCAGGTTTAAGCAATTCTCGTGCCTCAGCCTCACGAGTAGCTGGGAATACAGGCGCCTGCCATCATGCCCAGCTAGTTTCTGTATTTTTAGTAGAGATGGGGTTTCACCATGTTGGCCAGGCTGGTCTCGAACTCCTGGCCTCAAGTGATCTGCCTGCCTTGGTCTCCCAAAGTGCTGGGATTACAAGCATGAGCCACCGCACCCGGCCACCTTTGGTTTTAGATTAGAGCTTCTGGATAGATTGACCCAACTGAGGCCTGCGATAGTGGCCCTGAGACTTCTGTCATAGATTTACAGGGGCCACCCTTCTTCCTTTGGGGGTGGCTGAACTGCTGGGATGAAAGCCTAGAGCTGCCGGGACCATCAGGTCACAATGTGATGGAGGTGGAGGAGGAGGATGGGCCATAAACCAAGATAGAAAAATACAAAGCCCAGAGCTGAGGAAATCTCATACAGGCATCTCCGGCTACCCAAATCTATTTGATGTATAAATTGTGTATACTGAGCTGTGATGATACTCAGATAGCTACAGGCACTACGTTATCTCATGTTACTTGGTTCCTGAGTTTTGGATAGCAAGTGGCAAGAGTTCAGAAAGCAAGGGATTCATCTGAAAAATTGATCCCAGTTAATTCAGACCCCAACGGCAGACAGGGAAAACTTGGGTGGTTTCAGTAGCAAAGGATACCTGCAATTATCGATGATACTGCATGAGCCCCTAGATCCAGCCATACCTGAAGCTAGTTAACCATAACCTTTCCAATTGCATATATCAATAAACTCCCTATTCTGGCTGAAATTAATTTAACCAGGGTTTTAGCTAAAAGCATGAGTACTCGTGCATGTACAAACATGCACACACGCCTACACACCCCTCCCAAACCCCACCCTTAATTCTCCCACGGCAAAGTCCATTTCTGAAGGAAAAACTACCTCCTTCCAAGGGTCTCCTGCTACCCCACTCTCTTTCCTCTTCTTCTTTTTCTTCCTTTTCAGAGCTGGCTCCTCGATGACTGGCTGCTCTACCTTCTTTTTGGACTTCATCTTTTTCTTTGCGGAGGCCTTAGGGTCATCACTTATGGGGATGTATTCCGGAGCCTCAACTTTGACTGGCTTCTTTTTACTTCCTTTCCTAGGGCTGCTCTCCATGGACCTGGAGGGCTTGGAGTGGCCTGGGAGGGCATCTCCCTCCTGGTGGATTTTTTTTTTCTTCTTCACCTTCCCATTGTGTTCTCTGGGGCTCTTCCGCTTCCGTTTCTGCCCCAAGGCTGCCTGTTCCTCATCCTTCTTCCCCACTGAGCAAGTGTCCCCAACATCCCTGGCCTCCCTGGCCTCACAGAACCAAGGGTCCTGGACCGAGAAGGCTGTGGGGTCCTGGGCCCCCTTTTTTTCCTTCTTGTGTTTTTTGAGCTTCTTGCCAACTCTGGTTTCCTCCTCACCCTGTCTAGGGTCTGGGGAGGTTTTCACCCCAGAGGCATGGGACATGGCTAGAGGTGACTTCTTATTTTTCTTTTCCCCACTGAGGAACTCCAAGTGGCCAAACACCTGCTTCCTGAGGCTGGGTGACTTCTCTGTCCGTCTAGCAGGCAGCGTGGTCTCAGGTTCTACATGCTCCTCGCAAAGGGTGCTGACACCCTTCTTTTTCTTCTTCTTTTTCTTCACTAGAGGCATCTCAGGTGCCTGCCCATGGGCCACACTCTTAGAGGGGGATGTAGCTCTTAAAGGAGAAACATCAGCAAAGTAATCATCATTGTTTAAAACTGAGTATCGAGTCTCTGGTTCTTTGACCACTTTCTTCTTCTTTTTCTTCTCTGGGAGCCCAAGGTCTACTTTGTGTGTCTTGGTGATCATTCCTGAAAAAACAAATGGTACAAGTTATCCCATACCAAGCCATCCTGTGTTCAATTCTACTAAGCATTGCCAAGAGCCATGTTTCTTTGAGTGGGTGGTCAAAGCGTTGTGGGACAGGGAAAATGGACATGATTCCTTTAAAGCAAAAAAAGAAATACTACAGAAACAGCGTAAATTTTAAATCCACACAGCCCTAGGTTCAAACCTAAATGCCTCTCTCACCTTAAGTAAATCAGCTAACCTCCCTGAGCCTCAATTTCTCCATCTGGAAAATGGGGGAATATAACACCTCCCTCCTCAAAAGGGTGTTGGAGGGAGTAAATGAGATAACCCATGGAAAGGGCTTGGTACACTGTTAATTCCCTTTTTCTTTTTCTCTTTTTTTTTTTTTTTTTTTGAGACAGAGTCTTGCTCTGTCACCCAAGCTGGAATGCAGTGGCGTGATCTCGGCCCACTGCAACCTCCGTCTCCTGGGTTCAAGTGATTCTCCTGCCTCAGCCTCCCCTGAGTAGCTGGGATAACAGGCACCCGTGATCATGCCCAGCTAATTTTTTTTTTCTTTTTTAGGAGGGACGGGGTTTCTCCATGTTGGCCAGGCTAGTCTCAAACTCCTGACCTCAAGTGATCCGCCCGCCTCAGCCTCCCAAAGTGCTGGGATTACACGCATGAGCCACCTTGCCTGGCCTAGTTCCACTGTTTTTAAAATTTGAAGTTGATTGCCAACACTGAATGAGTCACAATGATGCACAGTACTGAGGGCACCCAGCTTGTCTTGGACAGATATCGTGGAAGCACCTGTGAGAATGGGCTGGGGTCCTCAATACCCATCAGTGTCCAGCTGGACCACTGCTCTCACTCCAGTCCCCAGCCAAGTTCCTGCACTAGACATTCCCAGAATCTAGAAGCAAAATATCCCAAAATATTTCATAGCAAGTTAGGATCATGGGAGGGAAAGGAAAAACTTCTCCATCCTGCAGCCCTCCTCAGCTTCGGAACTCAGAGGGTCCACACTGGAGCTGGCTCTCTCTTAGCAGCTTCAAAGAGCCAGGCCTGAGCTACAGGTCAAGTTCATTCATAACCCACTCCAGGCGCACCTGGAGAGTCAAGGGAATAACTATACTCATTCATTGCTGTCTGCCCTGTTTCCTGGTTTATTTCCAGTGTCCTGCTCAGTGCCTGGCACATAGCAGGTGCTCAATACATACTCACTGAATGAATGCACACATGCTAGGGATACAGAGATGAACAAGATAAAACACCACCCATCAAGAAGCAAGTAGGTGTGGGAGGGAATAAGGTGTAATACAATGATACAGGTGATAAAAGCAAGGACAGTGCTAAGGTCAGGGTGGTGGAGGTTGTGGAACCTGTCCTACCAGTTGTCAGGAAAATTTCTGAAGAACAACTGCAGGATGGTGGTATTAATCCCTGAGACAAAGGTACTGAAGGCAAGTGGCTGAAGAACAGGCTTGATTGGACAGATGACTTGGAGATGTTCACTGGACAGGTGAATATATATGGATGAGGAGTTTGGGTGGCCGTGCTGACACGGGCGACATAAAGTTAGGAATGTATGGGTGGTGATAAGCCTTGAACAGAACAAGCCTGAGACAAGACTTCAAGAAATACAGTAGCTCGCCACCTAATCCCAGGTTTCCGTTACCCCTGGTCAACCCTGGTCCCAAAATAGGTGAGCACAGTACAGGAAGTTATCTTGAGAGGGAGACCACATGCATGCAACTTTTATTACAGTATACTGTTGTAATTGTTCTATTTTATTACTAGCTAGATTGTTGGTAATCGTTTACTGCACCTAATTTTTTGTGAGACAAGGTCTGGCTCTGTTGCCCAGGCTGGAGTGCAGTGGCATCATCTCGGCTCACTGCAACCTCCACCTCCCGGGTTCAAGCAATTTTCACGCCTCAGCCTCCCGAGTAGCCGGGATTACAGGCACATACCACCACGCCCGGCTAATTTTTGTATTTTTAGTAGGGACGGGGTTTTACTATGTTGGCCAGGCTGGTCTCCAACTACTGGCCTCAGGTGATCCGCCCGCCTCATCCTCCCAAAGTGCTGGGATTACAGGCATGAGCCACCACGCCCGGCCCTACTGTGCCTAATTTATAAACTTTCTCATAGATAGTATACACAAGAAAAAACAGTTATATTTAGGGTTCGGTACTGTCTGTGGTTTCAGGCATCCACTGGGGGTTTAGGAACGTACTGCCCGCGGATAATGGGGGAGGGGGACTATTGTATTGGCATTTAAATAAGTGGGCAGAGATAAAGGAGCTTGCAAAGAAGAAGGTGCAAACCTTGAAATAGTGTAGTCAGGAGAGCCAAGACGACTTCAGAATAGGGGAGCAGTCAAGAGAGCCAAGACGACTTCAGAATAGGGGAGCAGTCAAGAGAGCCAAGACGACTTCAGAATAGGGGAGTGGCCAAGAGATCTGGTAAGAACAAAGAATCCACCGGGAGGTTGCGGGTCAACTCTTAATCCCCTTCTCTCCCCATCTCTTGCCATTTAGAAAAGTATAGCATCCTCCTCTTTAGCCCTGCGACCAAATGCATTCACTCTTTCAAGGAGAAAGGAAAAGAACGTTACAGTGCATCTCCTGCAAACGCAAACGCTTTCTCCAAAACCGCTTTTAAATTCCAGGGACAGCCTTGTGAAGATCTTTGTGAATACCCGACCTCGCAAGCTCCAGAGACTACAATAATTCACTTGCCCTAGGTTCCAAAGCCAGCAAGTGGAAAACGGAGACTGGAATTCCGCCCACAGGACTCCAAAGCCTGTGCAGCAACACCCCACTCCCCCGGCAGGATCACCAGCAGGACGCGCGGGAGCCAGGAAGTAAGATCCGTACCTCCAAGGCTCCCATGGGCCCAAGCCTCCGCATCAACAGACTGGGAGGGATTACGTGGGGTCCCAGGGCCGGCTCTGAGGCGGGAAAACTTTCTGGAGGCGGCGGCCTCAGGCCGGAGCGGGCGCACACCGACTGGAGGGGTCGGATTCAGGGATGTGGGTGGACCGCATTTCCCCATCTTCCCCGCCGCGCACTTCCTCTGGTGCAATCTCCACACCCCGCGCCGGCCCGCCTGCAACGCGCCCTGGCACTCACCGGTGGGCGAAATTTCCCCGCCTCCACGTGAGAGCCAGCTCCGCCGTGACCCGGAAGTCCACTTCGAGTCGCCGGCCCACCCTCTCGGGTTCCGGCTTCTTCCGGGTCGCGGCCTTCCGGCGAACGCGGTTACCGTGGAAACCGCGGCCATGGCGGCACCGCGGCAAATCCCCAGCCACATAGTGCGCCTCAAGCCCAGCTGCTCTACAGACTCGTCGTTCACCCGGACGCCGGTGCCCACCGTGTCTCTCGCGTCCCGCGAGCTGCCTGTCTCGTCGTGGCAGGTCACCGAGCCGTCAAGCAAGAATCTGTGGGAGCAGATCTGCAAGGGTAGGAAACCTGGGCTGGCCGAGAGGGGCGGGACCCGGGCGGCCGGACGGGGGCCGCGTTTGGGGAGCGCCCACTGTGCGCCTGTCGGCTGACGGGCGGGGCCGCCGGGCAGCGGCTCCGCGGGCCCGGGCTCCGCATTTTACGCATGGGGAAACTGAGGCTCGGAGAGGCTGGCCCGAGGTTACGCAGCGCGGACTCCAATCGCGATCCGTAGTGAGGTTAAAGGCAAGGGAACGGCGAGGGAAAGCTGAATAAAGAGAACCATGCGGTGTGGACCATTGGTTCTTAAACCTCGGTTAGTGAACCGAAAGGAATTGCTGGGGCGGGGGCCGGGGTGGGGATCTTGTTATAAACGGAGGTTCCCAGGCCCCGCCCACAGAGCTTCAAATTGGGATGCAGGGAATCTGCACTTTTTAAAAGAGCACCCCAGGTAATCCTAACGTAGGTAGTCGGTGGCCCACACGTTCAGTAACCATGGTGTGGACAAACGGGTTTTAGTCCCTTCTTGCTTCAAACCTTCCTTAACCTCCCCAGGCGGAGTTGAGCACATCTTCCTTTGTGGCTCTACTCAGTATTTGTTACTTAGGTTGGGCAAATTATTTAACTTATGACCCTGTCTGCAAAGTGGGCATAATAATGGCACCTATTTCGATGGTGTTAAGAAGATGGAACCAGATAGTCACAAAAAGTGCTTAGCAAACTGCCTGATTTTAGGAGGGCAAAAGGATTATTGGGGAAAAAAAAACACAAACTGCTCGATTTACAGAAGGAGCTACGTAAGCGCTAGTTCTTAATGAATAATGTTGGGTGGGATGTTTTCTTTTTCCTCCACTAGACCATAAGCTCCTCAAGGTCAAGGACTCAGATTTTTCATTCGTGTGGCCACCATCACTACCTAAGCTGCCTGAAACAGCGCGGTGAAACCCCGTCTCTACTGAAAATACAAAAAAAAAATTATCTGGGCGTGGTGGTGTGCGCCTATAATCTCAGCTACTTGGGAGGCTGAGGAAAGGGAATTGCTTGAACCAGGGAGGTGGCGTTGCAGTGAGCCGAGTTTGCGCCACTGCACTCCAGCCTGGGTGACAGAGCGAGACTCCATCCCCAAAAAAAAAAAAGTGTGGTTAGTTAGCATTTGAAATGTGATTAGTGCAATTGAGTAACTGAATTTCTTGTTGGACTCAAATTTTTTTTTTTTTTTTTTTTTTGAGACGGCATGTTGCTCTGTCGCCCAGGCTGGAATGCAGTGGCACTGGCTGGGCTCACTGCAACCTCCGCCTCCCGGGTTCAAGCATTCTCACACCTCAATCTCCTGAGTAGCTGGGATTACAGGCACCCGTCATCATTCCTGGCTAATTTTTTTATTTTTGTAGAGAAGGGGTTTCACCATTTTGGCCAGGCTGCTCTTGAACTCCTGACCTCAGGTGATCTACCTGCCTCGGCCTCCCAAAGTGCTACAATTACAGGCCTGAGCCACCAGGCCCAGCCCAGACTTAATTTTAATAAATTTAAATAGCCACATTTGGATAGTGGCTGCTGTATTGGATAGTGCAGGTCAGTAAATGTTTATTGAATGGAAAAAAAGAATGAATGTACCAGTATATGCGATGACTCGAAAGAAGTGGAGAATACAGAGAAGGAAGAGAATAGTAGACTCAGTTGATAGATGCCCTCCAAAGCTGTCTGTTTCAACCCCATCCAGTACTTAAATTCCTTCTCCAACCTTACATTGTGCTAGAAAAATCCCTTTCATTTTGCATGTTCTCTTTGTCACTTTCACCCCTACGTCCTTACCTCTTGGTGCTATGATCCAAGGAGCTAATCACTCTACCCCAAAGAATCTACTCAGATAATTTGACGGTAGTTATTGTGGCTGCCTTTTCCCCAGAGCTTTCACTTCTCCAAGCCAAACAGTTTCTTATAATACAGTTTACTAGAGGATTGTTAGAAAAGTTACTCAGCCTCATCTGTAAGAGACAGATAATTGTTGTGCCTACCTCACAGGGCTGTTGTGGGGACCAAGTAAGATAATGTATGAAAAGGTGCTTAGCACAGTGCCTGGCATTTAAAAAGTAGTCAATAAATGTTCATTATTGTTGACAAAGAAACATGCCTTGTGTTGTGATTTACACACCGAGTTTATTTTGGTCAAATAGGCCTCTAGAGAGAAAGCAAAGACAAAGGGTTTTGGTTCTCTCTGAAGAGCAAGTGAATTGATGCCACTTTTAAAATGATAGAGTTACAGAATGAGGTCAGGCATGGTGGCTCACACCTGTAATCCCAGCACTTTGGGAGGCCAAGGCGGGTGGATCACCTGCGGTCAGGAATTGGAGACTAGCCTGGCCAACATGTTGAAACCCTGTCTCTACTAAAAATATAAAAACTAAGTCAGGCTTGGTGGTGGGTAATCCCAGCTACTCAGGAGACTGAGGCAGGAGAGTCGCTTGAACCTGAGAGGCGGAGGTTGCAATGACCTGAGATCGTGCCACTGCACTCCAGCCTGGGCAACAAAGTAAGAATCCGTCTAGAAAAAAAAAAAAAACAATTCAGTGAGGTCAACATTGGCAAACTATACACATGGACACTGTGATGAGTATTATAACAGATGGATAAACCCAATTCTTAAACATCTAACAAATGCAGTTTTCTATAACATGTAGTAAATTCAGTTTCTGACAACAAACATGAAAAAACAGGCTTTGTAGTAATCCTATCTTTGAGATTAAGTACTACATTCTCTTAAGATAATCTCCATTCAAAAGACAAATTATCATAGCAAACAGACCTGCCAGAAACTCAATTTCATGAAGACAAAATACAAAGTAGGTCAATATCTAACTTACACAGACCTTAACCAACCTGACTAGTGCTCTTTTGTATGTATGTGCATGCTCACCACTATAACTTATTTGTAAATATTCTTCAGTTTTCTCCCTCATCTTTCCAGTGACAACTGAGTTTTGTATTCTAAAAAGCACTCGTGTTAGTGTCAATAAACTTCTTCCCGGCCAACACTTCTAATCAAATCTTATAGTAGTTTGTGACTAGCTGTGTTCATGGTTTTAATCAAGACAATCAAAGGATGTGGGGCTTAACAGTTTCCTTTTTTTTTTTTTTTTGAGATGAAGTCTGGCTCTGTCACCCAGGCTGCAGTGCAGTGGCGCAATCTCGGCTCACTGCAACCTCTGCCTCCCAGATTCAAGCAATTCTCCTGCTTCAGCCTCCCAAATAGCTGGGATTACAGGCACCCACCACCATGCCTGGCTAATTTTTTGTAGAGATGGGGTTTTGCCATGTTGGCCAAGCTGGTCTCAAACACCTGACCTCAAGCAGTCAGCCCGCCTCATCCTCCCAAAGTGCTGGGATTACAGGCGTGAGCCACCGCGCCTGGCCTTACAGTTTCCTATTTTGATATGCTGTGATTACTGTTATCAGCATCCTCACTATTGTCATTGGTTCATCACTTAATCAAGCACTCTCTGGCCTCAGCCCTCAATGCTGTTGTAAAATCTGGCCTTTCATTTCACCTGCCAGATACCGACATGGATCAGTTGTGAATCAATACTTGTTCCTCCAGCACAGCCACTGAGCCAGCTGAAGAAAGATGACCCCAACTGGCTCTCAGCACTGCTCAGCAATCAGCATCTCTCAATGCCTTCTCCCATTGCCTGGTTCTACTAGTCCAAGTCTGTAACACCTCCTGAAATGTTCTGTGATACCTCTTAGCATAGGATGCGTTCACTGAGAAGAGTCAGGCAGTCAGGAGTGGGGAGGGAGTCTGCTAACATCCATCTGTACACGTGGAAGAAGCTCTCACCCCGCTACTCGCCACTCAGCTCTCCATCTTTGCTTACCGTCCCCTTGCTATTCCAGGATCCTGCTTTATCACTCACTTCCTCTGCTACGCCTTTAACTTCTCTACTAGCTTTTTCCTCCAAACACCCCTGGCCTGTCATATCAGGAAGAAACCTCCACCATGACCCTATATCCTCTTCCAGCTCCTATCAGTCTTTCATTCCCATTCCCTTATCAACTAAGGGCAGACCAGCTTCTTCCTCATTTCTCCGAATAAATTGTTCTTAAGCATTGAGCCAACTTGTATCTACCAGGGCTGGGAACTGTTTTCAATGCTGGGCCAGGTATAACTGCAGGCACTGTTTTAGACGCCAACAACTTATCTCCATCTCCACGAATGTTACCATCGTTCACTCAGCTGCCCAGTCCAGCTTTTTTTTTTTTTTCCTTCCCTTGAGACAGAGTCTTGCTCTGTTGCCCAGGCTGGAGTACAGAGGTGCGATATCTGCTTACTTCAACTTCCACCTCCCAGGTTCAAGCAATTCCCCCACCTCAGCCTCCTGAGTAGCTGGGATTACAGGCACTTGACACCATGCCCAGCTAATTTTTGTATTTTTAGGTGGGGTTTCACCATGTTGGCCAGGCTGGTGTCGAACTCCTGACCTTAGGTGATCCACCCGCCTCAGCCTCCCAAAGTGCTGGGATTACAGGCGTGAGCTACCGCATCCGGCCTGCTTCCCTTTCACTTTCCACGGCCCCACACTCTCATTTGCCAGTCCTTATAGATTCTACCTGTTTAATATCTCCCACCATCCCCACCCTGCCCCCACTCCCCACCCCCACCAGTCTTCATGTCTGCTGCCTTAGATCAGGCCCTTACCACCCCCTGCTTAGATTGCTGCTGTGGCTTGTTAATTGAGGCAGGCCTCCTTCCAGACCATATCCCACTGGCTGTCGTAGGAACCTCTCTAAAATTCAAATCTAATCGCATCAT
This sequence comes from Homo sapiens, assembly GCF_000001405.40. Lineage (NCBI taxonomy): Eukaryota > Metazoa > Chordata > Mammalia > Primates > Hominidae > Homo > Homo sapiens. The sequence goes on from NC_000016.10 coordinate 19,723,274, forward strand.
GCTGTGACCTACAATGATTTTCATAGCTTACAGATAAACTCCTTAGCTTAACCCTTAAGCTTCTTAACGTCCCATCTCTGTTTACTTTTCTTAGTTCACAACATACCATTCACCCAAATCATCCTAATGGCAACCATTTATTGAGCTGCTGTTTATGTGCCAGGCATTGTGCTAGGTGCATTACTTCTCATTTAAGCCTCACAGCAACAGATGAGGAAATTGAGGCTTAGAAAGGTTAGGAAACTTGCCCAAAGTAAGCGGCAGGGTCGGCTTCAAACTCAAGTCTGTTTTGACTCTCAAGTTCAAACCCCTGAAGAAGACACCAGCATGGTTTTAAAGCATGGACTGGGAGCACCTACATCAAAATCTCCTGGATACATGTTAAAATGCAGCTTCCTGGCCGGGCGTGGTAGCTCAAGCCTGTAATCCTAGCACATTAGGAGACCGACGGGGCTGGATTGCCTGAGCTCAGGAGTTCGAGACCAGCCTGGCCAACATGGTGAAACCCCATCTCTACTAAAATAAAATTTAAACAAATTAGCCAGGCATGGCAGTGTGCACCTGTAGTCCCAGCTACTCAGGAGGCTGAGGCAGGAGAATCACTTGAACCTGGGAGGAGGAGGTTGCACTGAGCCGAGATCATGCCATTGCCCTCCAGCCTGGGTGACAGAGTGAGACTCTTGTTTCAAAAAAAAAAAAAAAAGCAGCTTCCTTGGCTCCCCTTCCTGCCCTGATGGGCCAGACTCCTTGGGGGTGAGTCTTTGAGTTCTGCATTTTAAACAAGCACTTCGGTACCACTGTTGTGTTGTGTACTTGGAGTCACACAAAACTATTCCTCCAGTGCACCATACTATTCCTCTCCATGCCTTTCCACAAGCTTTGTCTCTTCCTGGAACATCCCTACCTTCTCATTTATCTCTCTAGACTCAGTCCACGTGGCCCCTCTTCTGGAAAGCCTTCTGTAATTCCTCAGGCCAATTTCAAAGCCCCTTCTTTCCTCTCCTCTAGGCTGTGGTTGAAGCCCTCTACAGCAATACTTTCACTTATCATAACCCCTGGTTTATCATTCATCCCCTCTCTGGAACATAAGCTCCTCTGCCCTGTTCATGTGGCTCTCCAGCAGCCTGGTACAACCTCCCACTATAGTATATGCCTGTCAAATGTTCGTCTGATTCACTCCCAGCGTCATCTTCCTGTTCCATCCCCTTCCAATAAGCTACTGTGGGTCAATGCTACATTTTTGTTGTTGGGTTTTTTTTTGTTTTTTGTTTTTGAGTCAGAGTCTGGCTCTGTCACCCAGGCTGCAGTGCAGTGGTGCGATCTCGGCTCACTGCAAGCTCCGCCTCCTGGATTCACGCCATTCTCCTGCCTCAGCGTCCTGAGTAGCTGGGACTACAGGTGCCCGCCACCACACCCGGCTAATTTTGTTTTTGTATTTTTAGTAGAGAGGGGGTTTCACCATGTTAGCCAGGATGGTCTCAATCTCCTGACCTTGTGATCTGCCTGCCTCGGCCTCCCAAAGTGCTGGGATTACAGGCGCGATCCACCGTGCCCGGCCACCAGTCAATGCTACATTTTAATTGTTTCTATCAGGAACATGTTCAGCTGCAAATAGCAGAAAGCCCAACTCATAATGGCCTAAACAAAGATGGTTAATTATTCTCACATCCCAGAAGTTGAGGGGAGAGGGTTCACTTGTGGCACAGGGGCTCCACTCTGCCAACAAGTTTCCGGGCTCCTTCTGCTCTGCCTCTCCTAAAATGTTGCCTTTGTTGTGTAAAACGAACAACAACTTTCACTTGTTCATAATGTTCATTTAATATGCATATAACATTAAATTCCCCTAATCAATTAATGCCATTTATAACCTTTGGTAATGGAAAGATTGTAAACATTTATACATTTAATATACCTGATTTAAAAAAATTTTTTTTTAATTTTTATTTTTTTGAGACAGGCTGTCGCCCAGGCTGAAGTGCAGTGGCGTGATCGTGCTTACTACAGCCTCAACCTCCCAGGCTCAGGTGATCCTCCCACCTAAGCCTCCCAAGTAGCTGGGATTACAGGCGTGCGCCACCACACCCAGCTAATTTTTATATTTGTTGTAGAGACAGGGTTTCACTGTGTTGCCCAGGCTGCTCTTGAACTCCCGGGCTCCAACAATCTGCCCACCTTGGCTTCCCAAAATGTTAGGATTACAGGTGTGAGCCTGTAATCCATGCCTGGGCCCCTGATTTTCTTAAGTATTTCTAATGCAGAACAGAGCAGATAAGCACACTTTTCTAAGCACTGAAGCAACTCTTGGAAATGGAATTAATTAAACTATGGTAAATCAAGTTGTTTTAAGAGTCCAGTACTCTACAAACTTAAATTCTTTTATGCCTTTCAATGTAAAAGCATCAGTCTGTAATCATATTTCAGATTGAAACCACAGGGAAAACTGACATTCTCAAATATGTTAGATTCCCTTAAACTATTACAGAGGTTTTAAGTAACACATCAGATTGTCTTGAAGCTAAAGTATTTTCCCATACTTCATACTTCTACATAATCATTTCAACTGTATGTCTTTTGTGATCATGTGATGAAGAAATTTATATTTTTTCCATCAAATTTAAGTGAACTCCTGAGAGATTTCTTTTTTTTCTTTTTTTTTTTTGGAGATGGAGTCTCACTCTGTCACCCAGGCTGGAGTGCAGCGGCTCGATCTCTGCTCACCGCAAGCTCCACCTCCCGAGTTCACACCATTATCCTGCCTCAGCCTCCCAAGTAGCTGGGACTACAGGCGCCCGCCACCACTCCCGGCTAAGTTTTGTATTTTTAGTAGAGACGGGGTTTCATCGTGTTAGCCACGATGGTCTCGATCTCCTGACCTCGTGATCCGCCCGCCTCGGCCTCCCAAAGTGCTGGGATTACATGCGTGAGCCACCGTGCCCAGTCCGGAACTCCTGAGAGATTTCACTGGAAAAATATGATAGCAAGTAATAAAGAAATGCAAATAAAAGTAAAATACCATTTTTTTCTTTTACATGTGTTGAAAAACTTTTAATGTATAAGATTGATTATACTCTAGAGAAACAGGCAGTGTCACTATTGGGAGTACAAGTGACTGTAAACTTTTTGGAGAAAAGTTTGGCAATTTGGCCCAAATTTTAAGTTATTTTTTCCTTTGACAGAAAAAAATTCCACATCTAAGGATCCTACCAAAATACCTCTCTGTGGATCAATGATTTATATAAAGATGTTCATTGAAACATTGTTTATAATAATAAAATAATGGAAACAACCTAAATGCCCATGAAGAGTACACTGGTTAAATAAATGTGGCACATCATGTATGTAGCAACATTGAAAGGAGTCTCATATTTAACACACAGAATGGTTCATAGCAGGTAATGGGCTTACAATAGATATAAATGAATGAATAAGCCGTTAAAAGTAACTTACGATATGGTTGGTTCTGTTCATCCATTCGTTCATTCATTCAGCCAGTATTCTGTGGGGAAATAATGGTGAGACAACAGATCCAGGCACTTCCCTTACCAAACATATAGCCTATTAGAAAAGATAGTCATTAATGCCGGGCATGCTGGCTGAAGCCTGTAATTCCAGCACTTTGGGAGGCCAAGGTGGGCAGATCACTTGAGATCAGGAGTTCGAGACCAGCCTGGCCAACATGATGAAACCCTGTCTCTAAAAATACAAAAATTAGCCGGGCATGATGATGGGTGCCTGTAATCCCAGCTACTTGGGAGGCTGAGGCAAGAGAATTGCTTGAAGCTAGGAGGCAGAGGTCATAGTAAGCCGAGATCATACCACTGCACTCCAGCCTGGGCGACGGAGCAAGACTCGGTCTCAAAAAAAAAAAAAGAAAGAAAGAAAAGAAAAGATAGTCACTAATTTTTATAAATTTCAAATAAGGCAAAAACTAATATGAGTTATGAAGAAAAAGGACACAGTGTTATGTGGTTCTATGTGTGGGCACTTTGACCTAGCCTGGGAAATTGAAAGTAAACAAATGTATTATGTATTATATACATATATTAGTAAATACATTGGAATCCTACCACTGGAAGGCCAAGGCGGGCGGATTGCCTGAGCTTAGGAGTTCGAGACCAGCCTGGGCAACACGGTGAAACCCCATCTCTACTAAAATACAAAAAATTTGTCTGGCATGGCAGCATGTGCCTGTAGTCCCAGCTACTCGGGAGGCTGAGGCAGGAGAATTTCTTGAACCCAGGAGGCGGAGGTTGCAGTGAGCCGAGATCGTGCCACTGCACTCCAGCCTGGGCGACAGAGCGAGACTTTGTCACCCCCCCCCCCCAAAAAAAAAGATTTGGTTGGATCTATGCCATATCTAACAATGGTTGTAGGGTTGCAATAGGATTAGGTGTGACTTTTACACTCTACATAAGACATCCCTATGTTATTTGACATTTTCTTTCAATAAGTATGTCTTGCTTTTGTAATCAGACAGAAGTATAAATGTATACATTTTAAACCCAAATAAACAATTCCACACTATAGCAATGGTTCCCAAGGCAGCTGGGGAAGAAGGGTGAATTTACATGCTTGCCAGAGAGGAAAAAAATGGTAGAGCTTGGGCTGGTATGGTAGGCGGAATTCTAAGATAGCCCCCAAGATTCTTGCCACCTCGTGAACACACCTCACTTATTCAATCAAACGCTAATCTAGGTGTGGCTGTCAGAAGATTTTCCAGGTATGTTTAAAGCTTTTAACCAGCTGACTTTAAATTAGGGAGATTATTGTAGGTGGGCCTGACCTAATCTGGTGAGCCCTTAAAAGAAGTCAGATTCAAGCAGAAGAGATTCTCCTGCTGCCCTTGAAGTAGCAGCAATCAAGTTGTGCATTACCCATGGCGAGAACCTGAGAGTGCCTTCTAAGAGTTGAGAGGGACCCCAGCTGACAACCACAAGATAGCAAGGACCTCAGACCTCAACCACAAGAAACTAAAATTCTTTTTTATTTTTTTGAGATGGAGTCTCACTCTGTCACCCAGGCTGGAGTGCAATGGTGAGATCTTGGTTCACTGCAACCTCCACCTCCCTGGTTCAAATGATTCTTGTGCCTCAGCCTCTCAAGTTGCTGGGGATTATAAGTGCCTGCCACCACGCCCAGCTAATTTTTGTATTTTTAGTAGAGATGGGGTTTCACCATGTTAACCACTCTGGTCTCAAACTCCTGACCTCAAGTGATCCACCCACCTTGGCCTCGTAAAGTGCTGGGATTACAGATCTTAGCCACCATGACTGGCCAAGAAACTAAGATTCTATCAAAACCGAAATTCTGTCAACAACCAATGAGCTTGGAAAAGTATCCCAACCCTCAGAGAAGATCACAGCTTTGGCTGATACCTTGAATTCAGCCTGATAAAACCCTGATCCATTCTTGGACTCCTGACTCAGGGGAATTATGAGATAATAAATTTGTGTTCCTTTATGTCAATGATTTGTGCTAATTTGTTACACAATAATAGAAAACGAATACAGTTGGTATTGAGAAATAAATTGCTTTTAACCTGCAACCTGACATTCTTGTCCCCAGCCTGATGCTTAGAAAGTTGAGAAGTGGAGGAAATGCTGTACTGTCTGATAGGTAGCTAGGTGATGAAATAAAACTTATGTCCATACGACTGTATGCCCTCAATACCGTCTTGCCCACAAATTAATTTTTCCTCATGACTGTAAGTGACTGTGCAATTGTCTTGACAACATTGACCTTTCCAGAAATATTTTTACCAGTCTTTGCTTTAGGGATATAACTAATACTGGCCATGAGCATTTTCTGTTCCTCTGTCAGTCATGGTTGTTGCAACCCTGTAGAACTTACGTGGACTGTTCTTTTATTTATTTATTTATTTTTGAGTCAGAGTCTCGCTGTGTCGCTGACTGAAACCTCTGCCTCCAGGGTTCAAGTGATTCTCCTGCCTCAGCCTCCTGAGTAGCTGGGATTACAGGTGCCCGGCGCCATGCCTGGCTAATTTTTGTATTTTTAGTGGAGATGAGGTTTCACCATGTTGGTAAGGCTGATCTCGAACTCCTGACCTAGTGATCCACCCTCCTCGGCCTCCCAAAATCCTGGGATTATAGGCGTGAGCCACCGCTCCCAGCTGTGGACTGTTCTTTGTGTTAGCCTCTCCTCCGCATGTGCTCTCGGTGTCTTCCCTTACCCAACCTCCACGTTCTCTTCCTCCCTTAATTCCTTATAGTTTCCATCATGTTGGCAAAAGCTGAAGTTGTGTCCTCTAAGAAAAAGAGTCTCAGACTCTTAGATAAAGCGTCGACTCTTTCATGTAAGAGACCAACCATCTCTTACCGACTTTATTATTTTATTTTATTTTATTTATTTATTTATTTTTTATTTTTTTTGAGATGGAGTCTCGCTCTGTCGCCCAGGCTGGAGTGCAGTGGCGCAATCTCAGCTCACTGCAAGCTCCGCCTCCCGGGTTCACGCCATTCTCCTGCCTCAGCTTCCCGAGTAGCTGGGACTACAGGCACCCACCACCATGCCCAGCTAATTTTTTGTATTTTTAGTAGAGATGGGGTTTCACTGTGTTAGCCAGGATGGTCTCAATCTCCTGACCTTGTGATCCGCCCGCCTCTGCCTCCCAAAGTGTTGGGATTACAGGCGTGAGCCACCACGCCCGGCCTATTTTATTTTATTAATAATTTTTTTTTAGATAGTCTCGCTCTTGTCTTTCAGGCTGGCTGGAGTGCAGTGGCAGGATCTTGGCTCACTGCAGCCTCTGCCTCCCGGGTTCAAGCAATTCTCCTGCCTCAGCCTCCCAAGTAGCTGTGATTACAGGCACCAGCCACCACGCCCAGCTAATTTTTGTATTTTTAGTAAAGACAGGGTTTCACCAGGTTGGCCAGGCTGGTCTCGAACTCCTGACCTCAGGTGATCCTCCTGCCTCGGCCTCCAAAAGTGCTGGGATTACAGGTGTGAGCCACCGCACCCGGCCTCTTGCTGATTTTAAATACCATTAAATGTTAACCTGTCATGGCCAGTTGTTTTTTCATTTCTGTACACCACCAGCCAAAATAAAATTTAAGAATGTTTTATTCAGGGAGAAGGAAATTACACCAGAAACTCTAGTGAAGTATGGAATTGAGGATTTTTTTTCCCTTCCCTTTAGAGTATGAAGCTGAGCAGCCTCCCTTTCCAGAAGGATATAAAGTCAAACAGGAGCCTGTGATTACGGTGAGTATTACCTAGGCCTCAACCGAAGCAAGAAGCTCTTAAATGAGAATAGCATTGATGGCCTGTGAATGTCACACAGTGTCACTGAGTTCAGGAGGTGGGAAAGGGAAGGCACTGGAGCGAGAACCAGAAACTTGGGGCCAATCCCAGCTCTAATACTAACAGTTTGACTTAGAGGGCATCACATAACCTCTTTGAGCATTAGTTTCGGCGTTTGTCTGTCTATCTATCTGTCTGTCTGTCTGTCTGTCTATCTATCTATCTTATCTTATCTATCTATCTACCTAATCTATTTTTTGAGACAGGCTCTTGCCCTGTCGCCCAGGTTGGAGTGCAGTGGCACAATCTCAGCTTGCTGCAACCTTAGTAGCTGGGACTACAGGCACCCGCCACCGTGCTTGGGATTTTTTGTCGAGACGGGGTTTCACCATGTTGTCCAGGCTGGTCTCATACTCCTGACTTCAAGTGATCTGCCTGCCTCAGTCTCCCAAAGTGTTGGGATTACAGATGTGAGCCACTGCTCCCATCCAGGTTTCTGCATTTATTAAATGGGACAGATAATGCTTGACTAACTCACAGGGCTTCTGTGGGGCTCACATGAGATCCTGGATGAGAAGAGCCTTTGCAGTGGATCTAACACCATGTCCATGTGAGGGACAGTTGCAGACAGACCAAGTTTCTCTGCATGACAGGGTAGACAAGATGAAGACTGTGCTAAGGAGAGAGGGCTAAGGACAGGGCAGCCAGGAAGAGAGGCCCTCGTGAAGTCTACCTTGGAATTAGATAGGAGCTTAACGGAGTTTAAAATTTTTAAAAAGCAAGGCTCTGAGAGATGAAGGGACTTGAGCACGGTAACACGGATGGAATCAAAACCTGTTTCTCGACTTCTATTAACTTCCATCACTGCAGCTGCCTCTGACAGAGACATTGTGTCTAAAAACTTTCTTGTTCTGTGATTGTTCCTTTTCTCCTAGCATCCTGTTCTTGCTTTATGGACGCAATTCTTTCTCAAATTTCTCTGCAGATACAAATCACAGTTCTCTTCCCTGAATTCTCTGTGCTTCTTCCAGGGTCAGCTGTTCTGACAATATATGTTGATCTTCGTCTCTTGTGCTATGATCTTCTTGACCCGTATAAAGAGATTTGATTGTTTATTAATGGTCTTCAGTGGATTTTTCTATATAGCTGGTATATTAGGGTTCTCCAGAGAGACAGAATCAGTAGGATACATATATGAGAGGGGATTTACTGGGGTAATTGGCTCACACGATTACGGAGGCTGAGAAGTCCTACATTAGGCTGTTTGCAAGCTGGAGAACCAGGGAAGCTGGTAGAGTGGCTCAGTCCAAATCCAAAAGCCTCAGAGCCAGGAAGAAACAACAGTGTAACTACCAGTCTGAGGGCCTCTGTTTATGATACATGGCAGGGTTACATGGAAATCTAGCTGGACTTAATTAGCCTCTGAGAGCCCCAGGGACCACTGGTGAGAGCCCTGGAGTCTCAAAGCCAGAGAACCTGGAGTTCTGAGGTCCAAGGGCAGGAGAAGAAGGGCGTCCTAGCTCCAGAAGAGAGCAAGAATTCAGCCTTCCTCAACGTTTTGTTCCTTCCAGGCCCTCAGCCAATCCAATGGTGCCTGCCCACATTGAGGATAGATCTCCACTCAGTCCACCAACATATACACCAGTCTCTTCCAGAAAACCCTTGCAGACATATCCAGACATAATGCTCTGCTAGTTACCTAGGTATCCCTTACTCCAGTCAAGTTGACACTGAAAATTAACCATCACAGTATCACGGCTGATGTGGCTTTCTTCTACTGCTGTACTTGTGGGTTTGTTTTCTGGATGGGTCTCTTCTATGAATAGCAAAACACTGACTGGGTGCTCCTGAAGGGTGATTGTCCACTGGCCGACTTTTCTTCAGGGTGAACAGGCAGAGAGTCGGTATTTTGGGATTGGGCGGTGGCGGCAGGAGGGTCTCTAAATCAACTTTTTCTTTCTTTCTTTTTGAGACAGGGTCTTACTCTGTCATCAGGCTGGAGTGCAGTACTTCACTTCCCAAGCTCAAGCGATCTTCCCGCCTTTTCCTCCCAAAGTACTGGGACTACAGGCGTATGCCACCACTGCCAGCTAATTATTTTTGAATTTTAGTAGAGATGAGGTCTTGCTATGTTGCCCAGGCTGGTCTCAAACTCCTAGACTCAAGCCATCTGCCCTCCTTGGCCTCCCAAAGTGCTGGAATCACAGGCGTGAGCCACCACACCCAGCACAATTTTTTTTCTTACGCTACCATCATGGTGCCCTAAGTGGTTCTAAGTGTTCTACTCCTTTTCAGGCTGTTTCATTGGTTTACAGAAGAGTTCCTGGAGAGGAGGGGGAGCTGGAGATCCAGCTGGTGTGAACACAGCTTTATGATATCGAAGGACCAGAAAGAAGCCTGAGGGGAGTGTGGGCAGCAGGCCAAGTTAGCCCAGCCGGATTTCCACCCAGCCTTGCCATATATCATTCCATTCTTGTTCCCACCCTGTGCAGTGCCTGTCAACTTGAGTGTTGAGTCCCTTTGGGATCTGATGGGTGGATGGACATCTGTCCTCTGGGGCAGCTTCCTCCTGTGACTGTTACTTCCACTCTTGCTTCTTTTATTTATTTATTTTTTTTTTTGAGATGGAGTTTCACTCTTGCTGCCCAGGCTAGAGTGCAATGGTGTGATCTCAGCTCACTGTAGCCGCCACCTCCTGAGTTCAAGCAATTATCCTGCCTCAGCCTTCCAAGTAGCTGGGATTACAGGCGCCCGCCACCACGCCTGGCTACTTTTTTGTATTTTTAGTAGAAACGGGATTTCACCATGTTGGCCAGGCTGGCTTTGAACTCCTGACCTCAGATGATCCATCTGCTTTGGCTTCCCGAAGTGCTGGGATTACAGGCGTGAGTTTCTTGCTTCTTGAGTGAGGCTTCATCCCTGGTGTTTTGGATATGTTTACAAACGTCTCATCCACAGCTGGTCCTTCTTTTCTCTATCAGGGGTTTCTGCCTTGTCGTTTATAGGTGTCTCAGGAGGGAAGGGAGACAAAGATCTGTGCTCAGCGTACCCCCTTGAACCTTAAAGTCTGATGCAGAATTTTATTCCTTCATAAGGTTATACCAGAAAATGCAATTATTTAAGCTGTTTAAATGAATTGCCTCCCCTCCCCTGTCTGCCTCCAGGTTGCGCCAGTAGAGGAAATGCTTTTTCATGGCTTCAGTGCAGAGCACTATTTTCCGGTTTCCCATTTCACCATGATCTCACGTACACCCTGTCCTCAAGATAAATCGGAAACAATCAACCCAAAAACATGTGAGTAAGAGAGATGCCATCTTTTATAATTTGGGGCTTTTAACATTGCAGAACCACAGGGTGGGTATGGAGGCGGACAGATGGACCTCAGGGAGACCACATACATAAGAAAGAATGTGTTCTTGTTTTATTTTTAAGAGACATGTCCTTTATTTCACTGATTTATCTTTAAGGTTAAAAATGTAATAAAGATAATAAGTAACAAAAAGCATACTTTGATTTTACATTAAATAAAAAGTAGGAAAAGAGAACAGTAAACACATGTAGCCGGCTGTGATGGCTCATGCCTGTAATATCAGCACTTTGAGAGACCAAGGCAGGAGGATTGCTTGAGCCCAGGGAGACCCCATCTCTACATCTCTACAAAAAATTTAAAAAAAAAATTATCACTGGATGCAGTGGCTCATGCCTATAATCCCAGCACTTTGGGAGGCTGAGGCAGGAGGATCACTTGAGGTCAGGAATTCGATACCAGCCTGGCCAACATGGTGAAACCCTGTCTCTACTAAAAATACAAAAATTAGCTGGGCATGGTGGCAGGAGAATCTCTTGAACCTGGGAGGCGGAGGTTGCAGTGAGCTAAGATCGTGCCACTGCACTCCAGCCTGGGCAACAGACTAAGACTCCATCACAAAAAAAAAAAAAAAAAAAATTATCCAGGCATGGTGGTGCACACTGATAACCCTAGCTACTTGGGAGGCTGAGGCAGGAGAATCGCTTGCACTCGGGAAGCGGAGGTTGCAGTGAGCTGAGATCGCACCACTGCGTTCCAGCCTGGGTGACAGAGCGAGAAAAAAAAAAAAATTAGCTGGGTGTGGTGGCAGGTACTTGCAGTCTCAGCTATTTGGGAGGCTAAGGTGGGAAGATTGCTTGAGCCTGAGAGGTCCAGGATGCAGTGAGCTATGATTGTGCCACTGCACTCCAGCCTGGGCGACAGAGTGAGACTCTGTCTCAAAAAAAAAAAAAAAAAGTAAAAAGTAGAAGAAAACATCATCATGCTTCCCTGCTTTGTGTGTGGAAGCAGGGGTGTATACTGCAGATCTGAGTCGTAGTTCCTTGGGCCCTCCCTGGTACCAGACCCTCTCCTACTGGTTTGTTCTGTGCCTTCTGCATGCCTTGGGCCTTGGCTAACGACTGCCTTTATTACTGTGACCCTAAGCCCTTACCCATTATACTCTGACTCCCAATTCCTCTCTGCTCCCATTTCCTACCACACTCCCCTTGTTTTTGTCCCTCCGGCCACACTGGGCCCCTTGCTATTCCTGCTTTGGGGCCATAACAAGCTGGTGGACCTGGCCTTATGTAGGATACTTCCTACATCTTCACCAGACTATAGAGGCTCAGAGGGACATTTTAAGTTACTTTAGTTATACAGCCCAGCTCTGTAGTCTGGAGCAAAATATAACATCTAAGATCATGTGATTGAATGGACAGTACCTTTTTCTGGCTCAAAAGTAAACATTTCTCCCAGATTGGCTCGGGCCACTGGGGATTTGCAGGGGGAATTTTTGTTTGTTTGTTTTAGGTTCTCCCAAAGAATATTTGGAAACTTTCATCTTTCCTGTTCTGCTTCCCGGAATGGCTAGCCTGCTTCACCAAGCGAAGAAAGAAAAATGTTTTGAGGTCAGTTGTTTGGCAGGATTTCTTTATTTTGAGATTCTCAATCATTCATTATTATCAGATGATAGCTCATTATCTTGGTACCATCAGGTTGTTCTCCAGATGACCCCTTCGGGAGGGAAAGCCTGTGTTTGGGGTCACTTACCCAGTTCCAGCCACACCATCTAGTTGTGCACATACATGCGCTGCCATCTGTCTGGCCACTTGGACTCCGGAGAGCTTTTCCGCCTTGCTTGGCCTCCTGCCTGCCCTTCTCCTGTGCAGTTTGGCATCCACCAGGTTTCTTGGGTCTTCAGCTTCTGTTTATTACATGCACTGATTAAAGCTCTCCTTGGCCGGGCACGGTGGCCCATGCCTATAATCCCAGCACTTTGGGAAGCTGAGGTGGGAGGATCACTTGATGCCAGGAGCTCAAGACCACTGGGCAACATAGTGAGACCCCCATCTCTAAAAAAAATTTTTTTTTAAATTAGCTAGGTGTGGTGGCGCATACCTGTAGCCTCAGCTACTCAAGAGGCTGAGGCAGGAAGGCCCCTTGAGGCCCAAAGTTTGAGGTTGCAGTGATCCATGATCACGTCACTGCACTCCAGCCTGGGCAATAGCAAGACCCTCAACTCAAAAAAAAAATCCCACAGAACTCTGCTTACTTCTTACTTGGCTCTAGATTGATTGTTCCCCCTGGCATCTCTCTACTCCATGCCAACTGTCATGAATGTAAACTGCTCGCAGAGAGTCTTGGAACACAGTAAGTGCTCAGTAAATAACATTAACATCACACTGCAGAGAATCAGCTTCTCTGCAGGGAAGTTTTAGTTTAGTATCTTTTTTCTTTTTGAGACAGGGTCTTGCTCTGTTTTCAGGCTGGGGTGCAGTGGCGTAATCATGGCACACTGCAGCCTCAACCTCCAGGGCTCAGTTGATCCTCCCACCTCAGCTTCCTGAGCAGCTGGGACTACGGGTATGCACCACCACGCCTGACTGATTGATTGATTGATTGATTGATTGTAGATACTGGGCAAAAACTCAGTGAACTCGGTAGAAACCGAGTTCCGATGCTGGCCTACACCCACGCGGATACCCTTAGAGGCTCCCTCTTTTCCGTAGTTCACGGGATACTTTGGGTGTATGTGTTCCCTGCACAGTTTTGAATTCTAGAATTTTGGATGATCCAGATGAAGAGAGTAAAATTACAACATTTATTATTGACCAGGCACTCGCTCTGTGCCAGGCACTTTGCTGAGTGCTGCATCTTCCATTATTGCAGTTGCTCTCCCCAGCCATGTGAGCTTCCTTCTATTATTATTATCTGCACTCTGCAGAGGAGAAAATGGAGGGACACAGAGGCCTGAAATGTGATCAAGGGTGAATGGCAGAGTTAGGACTCAAATCCAGATTAAATGATTCAAAATGATACTAAAGGCCGGGCACAGTGGCTCATGCCCATAATCCCAGCACTTTGGGAGGCCAAGGCAGAAGGATTGTCTGAGCCCAGGAGTTCGAGACCAGCCTGGGCAACAAAGTGAGACCCGGTATTTACAAAAAAAAAAAAAAAAAGAAAAAGAAAATTAGCCAGGCATGGTGGTGCATACCTGTAGTCCCAGCTGCTCATGGGGCTGAGATGGGAGGATCAACTGAGCCCTGGAAGTTGAGGCTGCAGTGTGCCATGATCATGCCACTGCACCCCAGCCTGGAAACAGAGCAAGACCCTGTCTCCAAAAGAAAAAAAAGATACTAAAAAAGTCGGCAGTAATTACAGTGTAAACCCCAATGAGGTTGACACATCCTAGGGTCTATAAAATTATCCATAGTTAATGATATCACCCAACTAGTTGCCCTTCAGCACAGGGTCCCCATCTGAGAACTGCCTACTGCCGTGCTGGTACTTCTATATACTGAGGAAATAAGGTTTTCCCATGTTCTAGCAAATACCCGATGTTTCCTCAGCAATGCCTTCACAGTATCCTGCCCCACTTGCCTCTTAATCACTCCATATTATACCTCCCCCTAATTGCCTGCCACTTAATTTGCTCAGCATAACATTCCTTTGACAGGCGTCACCATGACAGTTGTGTCTTTACTTGAGGCAGAAATGGATGATGAGACATTGATCAGAATTTGGGTAGCACGCTTAGGAAGGAAGAATTTGGGATACACCTCTGGGCCGTGGTTCACCATTTGACAACAGTAGATCCACATAACGAAGTCACTAGCCCTCAGCCTAGCTTTCAAGGCTCTGCCTAGTTCATGTGTTCATTGGTTCCTTCCTTCCTTTCTCCCTCCGTCTCTCCCCCGCAGTGCTCCCCTTCCCGATGGTACCCTCCACCCAAGCAGAACCACTCGAAGTTCGCTGCACCAACCCCCACCTCACGGCCTCTGTGCATCTGCTTCTGCTTTTTTTAGAAAAAAAATCCCTGAGCTCCTCTTCTCTGCATATTTAACTTCTACTTGTTTTTCCAAACTCAGCTCCATAACTTCTCTCTGAAGCTTCCAGTTCCCTGCTGGGCTCAAACTAGAAGTAATTGATCCCAACTCTCAGATTTCAGAGTATTTCATCTGTTCCTCATTTTATGGCAAATTAAGACATCCTTAATTAAGACATTCTTAGCCCACATATACTTAATTTTATGCATGTCTGTCTCCCCCTGTATTTTAAGTTCCTTGGGGACAGATTCTCTGATTTATTTTTATATCTTTAGTCAATGCTACCCAATGCCTAGCACATGGTGAACATAGAGTTGGCCCTTGATAAATATTAAATAAGTGAATGCATGATTATACACCAGGGAATGTCACTATTACTATGTCTTTGACCAAAACCCAGCTTCCTTCTATCTGGGAAGGCTGTTCTATTGGACTCATCCCTGGAGAAATTCCCTGGAGGGGTGAGGAAAGAAGATATGCTTCTATTTCATGAGTTTAGTTGATGGAGGAGAACAGTGAGGGGCAAATGACACAGTCTGACCCCCCCCACCTCATATATTAATTATGCAAATAATTAGTAAATTGGGCCTTGATTTATAGCGCAGCAGTTAAGAGCAACACTTGAGTCAAAGTTACCTGATTTTGAAGTCCACCTCCATCCCAGCTGGCAGCATAGCCCAGGACAAGTCATTTCATCTTTCTGAGCCATTATCACTTCCTTCCATGTAAAATGAGGCTGATCATAGCACCTGCTCATGGGATTATTATGCCGATGAAATGAGGTAGCTCATGTAAAGTACTTAGGCCAGTCCCTGGAACCTAGGAAGAACTCAATACATGTTAACTTATTTATCTCAGTGATACAGTGGTACAGGTACTTCCCAGATATTGTGGGTTACACCTGCTACCTGAGTGGTGTCACTCTTGTTCCTTCGCCATCTAGAGTCCTTATTCAGGACTTGGTCCCAGTTCCCAGAAAAACCATCCAATTCCACAGTGATCTCGCAAGGAGGGTTTGTTTTATGGGTTCTCTCATGGGAAGGTGGGGAAGAGGGTTGTGTTGGCACTTATCAAGCAATACTTCGTTAGTCCTCTCTGGAAGCATTTCTCACCCTCTGGGAACCCCCTCCCCATGCTCCCTCTGCAGACCCCTTTTGGATCCTGAACAATTCAGCTGTGGCTCTCAGCTTGCATGGCCCACTCAGCAAGGCCAAGCCCAGCATGCAGCTTTCCCTCCTCTCTTAAATGCAATTCAGCTATCATGTAGCCCTTGCAGGTGGAACTGGGGGTGGGGGCTTCACATCTCTCACCCCAACAAAGACACAGTTGTAAGGTTTTCCTCATATTGCTTTGTCAGAAATCCTAGTTTTGACACATAGGCCTGGTGAATTCAAATCTGGGGACCTCAGTCCCCACTCTTTCTCCTGATGTGCTACTACAGTCATGGTTGTCATATTGAACCTGGGAAGACCATAATGATCAGATCCCTTATTTTCACTAACAAGAGAGGGCACTCTGCTGATGAGAACTGTAAACAAAAAAGCTGGTAAAATAAAGTCAATGATTCAGGTACTGATGATTAAATCCAGGTAATTGCTCTCCTGTCACCTGTGGTTTGAGTACTGGTATGATAATCATCAGAAATTATATCAAAAGTCAGAGAAGACCCAGTGTGGTGGCTCATGCCTATAATCCCAGCACCTTGGGAGGCTGAGGCGTGTGGATCACTGGAGCTTAGGAGTTTGAGACCACCCTGGGTAACATGCCAAAACCCCATCTCTACAAAAAATACGAAAATTAGCTGGGCATGGTGGCACATGCCTGTGGTTCCAGTTACTTGGGAGGCTGAGGTGGGAGAATCACTTGAACCCTGGAAGTTGAGTCTGCAGTGAACCATGATGGCGCCACTGCACTCCAGCTTGGTTGACAGAGTGAGACCCTGTCTCAAAAAAAAAAAGAGGAGCCCTCTCATTGATTTATTGCCCGTTGTGCGTCAGCACTGGCATCCTATGCACCATCTTGTTTCACCCTTACAATAACCTTCTGAACCAGATCTTCTTTTTCATCACCTCCCTTTTACCAAGGATGGCCCTGGGACACAGAGAAGTTGAGCATTACTCAAGGTCACCTAGTAAGCAACAGACAGCACACATCTCCAACCAAGGCCCAGATGATCCTGAAGCCTGGGTTTCCATCCCTCCTAGTAAATGGGAGTTGGAGGCTGTCCTCAAAATAGCTCCCAGAGATACTGATTTTTTTTCATTCATAGCTATTTTCTGAAGAACAGACTGCTTACTTGCCTTCAGTTATCAAATTTAAACGGCTTCTAATTCTTATCTGTTTTTTCATTTGCTCACTTGGCTTTTCCTGACAATTTAATTCTTGTCCACTACTCATAACTGACCTTCCCCCATCATCTGTGTTTTGACTACTGCTATGATCATCATCAGAAATTGTATCAAATTGTGGTGTGATACAGTTGGTAGGTATCCCGTGGTGTTAAACAGGTGCAAGGTGTGGCTGAATGGAAGGGGAGTGAGGCTGGGTTGAAGAGTGGTCCCAGAGCAGACCTTCAGCCTGGCCACACCATTGTCAGATGGCTTTGTCCCTCTGCCTTCTGTTCTGCTGCTAAGTGAGGAAGAGCACCTCACGAGTCACATTTCAGCAATTGTATCACTTTTTCCTATCTTGCTGTTGACCAAAGTATATTGAGTGCACTGTGTCTTTTTATTCGATTGAACAAAGGATGGAATATAATGATCAAACAATGAAATGAGCACAGTGGAATAATCTTTGTTTTCATACATGTAAAGAATATCTGGCCGGGCACGGTGGGTCATGCCTGTAATGCCAGCCCTTTGGGAGGCTGAGGCATGTGGATCATGCAGTCAGGAGTTTGAGACCAGCCTGGCCAACATGGTGAAACCCCATCTCTACTAAAAATACAAAAATTAGCCGGGCGTGGTGGCAGGTGCCTGAGTCCCAGCTACTCGGGAGGCTGAGGCAGGAGAATGGCTTGAATCCGAGAGGCAGAGGTTGCAGTGAGCCAAGATCGTGCCACTGCACTCCAGCCTGGGCAACAGAGCGAGACTCCATCTAAAAAAAAAAAAAAAAAGAATATCTACAAGCAGGATGAAGCAGGATGAGTCGCCCATGTTTGGTTCTGTTCAACAAACATTCATTAAGCCCTGCTGTGTGCTGATCATGAGGCCAGACCCCAGGGCACACTGAGGGGACAAGAAGACATGGTCCTGTCCTAGAGGAGCCATAATGATGAACTAAAGTTGTTTTTATTTTTCTTCCCCTTGTGTCTGTTTTTTTCACTCCTCTGAAATAAGAATGAATAAGGAGAAATGGCTACAGTGGATCTGTAGCTGGGGATTCATTTCTAGACCTTGGTGCATGTATATTCCATTGTGCAACCTTTATTCTAATTTACTTGGCCATTATTCTTCTAATTTATACCCTTTCAGAGGGCACAAAAATCAGCTAAAAGGGCAGTAATTAAGATTTTACATGAAGGTTGCATATCTAATATTTGACCATAAATAATTTTGTAACAAGGGGGCTAGAAACAGTTTCCAGCCTGTAAGCAGTGATAAAATGCTTTGAAAGAACCAGATAAATTTCTAATTATATTAGAGATTAATGAGGCATCCTTGTGCCAACTCATATTTCATTGTTGACATCCTACAGATGAGCTACTCCTGAGACTAAATGAAAACAGTCTAGATGTCAGATGCTCCAGGGTGCTTGAACAGAGCATTAAAGTTTAAATTGTATAATGAATGATAAAGCAATGTAGAAAATGTGGGTTGTTAAAACTGTTCATATGTGGCCAGGCATGGTGGTTCATGCCTGTAATCCCACCACTTAGAGAGGCCGAGGCGGGAGGATTGCTTGAACCCAGGAGTTCGAGACCAGCCTGGGCAACATGGTGAAATCCCGTCTCTACTAAAAATACCAAAATTAGCCAGGTGTGGTTGCAGGCACCTGTAATTTCAGCTACTTGGGAGGCTGAGTCAGGAGACTTGCTTGAACCTGGGAGGCAGAGCTTGCAGTGAGCCAAGATCTCATCACTGCAGTCCAACCTGGGTGACAGAGTGAGACTGAGTCTCAAAAACAACAAAAACAACAACAAACTTGTTCACTTATAAGAGTGGAGAAGCTTGAAAGGCAGGCACACGGGAGTTCAAAATCCTGCTAGACTGCTTCCTTGCAGCATGGCCCTAAGTAATCCGTGAGCCTCAGTTTCCTCAACTATTGAAAGGACAGCAGACCTGCTCCTGTCATTGGGCGGAAGAGGGGAAGTAATGAATGATACTTCCAGACCCAAGGAATGTTAACTTCCTCCTCCTCTGCTTCTCACGCTTTGCCAGGAAGTTCAGTATTTTGAATGCTACAAATACGCAAGGTGGGTAAATTACTATTAACTTTCTTCATTTCCTGACTTAGGGTTTTTTAATTAAATCGGATTCCCTCCATGTTCCCCCGTCCCCGGTCATCTAGTCTTTTGTGGGTTATTTTCGAAGGCTTAAAAATGACATTAGTACCATTTCAACATTTGTCAGACCCAAGTGGAACTCCCCTTATCCTGATCTGCACAACAGATTCACATTTTCTTGATTCAGCTGTTCCTCACATCCTGTCATTGGGAATAGATGCTTAAACTGAATGATGACTGGCCTCCAACCAAAATTACATAACTGGGGCATTTTTATCTGTCACCCACAACTGAACTTGCATCCAATTGGCTCTTACACAGCAGCGTAATTCATTGTTTATTGATGCCATTCAAATTATATCTTGAAATAACATTTATATTAAGTTGCTCAAAAATACTTGCTGATCTGCGTTTTGCCCTTAAACTGCTGATGTCTAGTTATTTATACTTGACTTCATTATTTTTCTGTTTTTTCTTTCTATGACATGGCCCCCATAGTGCCTGGAACATAGTAGGAACTCAATGAGTATTTATTGGATAAATGAATGAATATGGATTCTCAAAAGATGGGGCTGGCCAGATGCAGTGGCTCATGCCTATAATCCCAGCACTTTGGGAGGCCGAGGCGGGTAGATCACTTGAGGTCAGGAGTTCAAGGCCACCCTGGCCAACATGGCAAAACCCTGTCTCTACTAAGAATACAAAAAAATTAGTTGGGCATGGTGGCACGTGCCTGTAATTCCAGCTACTCGGGAGGCTGAGGCAGGAGAATCGCTTGAACCCAGGTTGCAAAGGTTGCAGTGAGCTGAGATCACGCCACTGCCCTCCAGCCTGGGTGGCAGAGTGAGATTCTGTCTCAAATAAATAAATAAATAAATAAAAGTCAGGGCCTACTTTTAAGATCATAATTAAGCTACATGAGCACTCTGGAGGTCTGTGACCTTTATTCAGTTTGTTGTAGTTATTACACACAGGAGGTAATTTATTAACTATACCTGCAGTGACTGGATCTACTGCCTCTGGAGGGAGGTAAACAATGGGGAGACCGCCTAAGTCTGCTAGGCTCCCTGGAGCTGGAGCTGGGCAAGGAGCAAATCCCCTCAAATTGAAGGAGCCTCATTCACAGACAATGGAGAGCCAGAGAGTAGAGCAAGAGGCTAGGATTCAAGAATAGTAGTTGTCAGCACTTTTTGAGCCTTGCTTTGTGCCAGATGTCATTCTAAGCACTTTACCTGCAGTCACTCATTTAATCCTCCCAACAATCTTTGGAGGTGGATGCTATTATCATCATCTTATGGATCAGGGCTGTACAGCACCAGGGCTAACCAAGAAGCTTAAGTTCACAGCTAGAAAGTGGCAGAGCCAAGACTCAAACCAAGAATTGTTCCAGAGTCTAAGAGTTTGACCACTGCTCCACTCTGATGGTCAGTCACACAGCTTGCTGAAAGCAGAGGTCAGATTCTGACATGAAAGATGGGTCTGGAGGCTGTGGAGAAAAGGAGTGAGAAGTTAGCAAGCCTTTTATTTAGGTTGTCCTGCCAGTACCATGAAACTCCAAGGAAGACCAGGGGGAACAGAGCAGACAGAGAAACAGCAAGAGCTGGCACCTAATTACTATGCCATAGAGCATTTGGCCAATTACACACACATCTATTGTGTGGTGTGTGGTGTGTGTGGGTGTGTGTATAGGTGTAGGTGTGTCTGCACACATGAATTCAGGCATTGTGTGGTACATGGTTCAGCAATTCCATGATTCCAGCCTCTGGAATCAGGCAGACCCTTTCAACCCAGGCCTGTTCCCCAAAAGCTATGCAAGCTTGATTATTTTGATTTTGAGTCACTCATCTTGTGATTCTTTTATATATATCATTTTAAATACTATGAATTTAATATAGTTTCTAAACAAACAGTTGTTCCTGCTTAGATTATTTTTTCTTCTTTTCTCTAAGCACACAAATAGTATATTTTTTCATTTTAAAAATTATTTTCATTTTTATTTTTAGAGATGGGGTCTCACTGTGTTGCCCAGGCTGGTCTCAAACTCCTGAGCTCAAGTGGTCCTCCTGCCTTGGTTTCCCAAAGTCCTGGGATTACAGGGATAAGCCAGTGCACCTGGCCCATCTTAGATATTTAACTCTATTTTAAATGCTCAATGTAAAATTCAGCATATTTAATAGGCAGGTATTTCCCTAATCCTTAATTTTTGGTGGAGATTACAATTGGGAGAATAAACCTTAAGCACATGATTTCCATGAATTATCTCAGCCTGAGAGTTAGATCAAGACCTCCACATTTCATGATACGAATTTAACAAGTGAAATAGATTTATTTAACCCTTTCTCAAAGGGTCATTTTCAATCATGTAAAAAAAGTAATTGAGATTTTTTAAGTGGCATCTGTATGGCATTAGAGTGACAATCTACAAATAAAGCCAATGGCCTTCTAGTTTTGCTGTGAAATTAGCTGGGTGCTAGCAGTATTTTATATTGTGTTAAACAAATATACTCTGTGAAAGGTAAATAACGGAAAATGATTGCTTTGTACAAATAGCTGGTGGAAGTACATCTGTGGCCAACAATAGATACTGTACAGACATTTCCTGTGTGTATAGCGATTTATGCAGCCATGTATACAACAAGCCAAAGGTAACAGAATGCAGATAATAGTATCTAAATTCGTTGGCCAATAAGTGAAGAATCACATGGAAGATGGGAAAGAGATGAAAGTTTTGACCCTTTGCTCTCCTATATTTAATATTCCAATATTTTGGGTATATTAAAAAATTTCAAAAGAAGCACGAGTTACCTTTGTAATCAGGAAAAATAAAAGTTAATGATAAGTAACATTTTCAAGTCCTCATATTTGACCCTGCTGCATCGTCTAGGTTATTTTCTTTCTCTCTTTCCTTTTCACTGACACACTCAGTGAATCACCTCACCTACATCTTTTTACCATTCATTCTTTCTTTAATGTGGCACTCTGGCATTTAAATGCTCACTATGTCTGGTACAACTCAAGTTTACTAATGACCCAGTACTGCCAAATTCTGTGACCTATTCCAGGGACAAAAAGGAGGCCAGTATGTTTGGGGCAGAGTGAGCAAAAGAGAGAGGAGGTGAGTTTGACAGGGTCAGCCCCGCAGCGGCCGTAACATCACATGGGCCAGTAAACAAAGTGGGTTTTATTTTAAAAGCAGTTGGAAGTAATTAGAGCCGTGACTCAACCCTACTGGGCCCAGTGCTCCCTTGTCATAGCATTGTATAGTGTGCTTCTTGCTATCCTGAAATGAAATGCTTAGATGATATAATATAACCTATTTATCAGTTACCTGATTGCTGTGTTGTACAGTAAACTACCTGAAAACTTCATGGCTTAAAATAACGATTTATTATTTTTCATGACTCTGGGCCGACTGGGCAGTTCTGGTGCTCTCTCCTGGGGTCACTCATGTGACTGCGTTCAGCTGGTAACTGGGCTGGGTTGGAAGGTCCAATTCTATCTCACTCATGTGTCTGGGGCCCTGGTGCTGCCTGCTAGCTGGGGCACTTCGGTTCTCCTTCATGTGGCCTCTCATCCTCCAGTGGGCCAGCCCAGCTCCTTTACAGCGTGGTGGTCTCCAGCAGCTTTCCAAGAGGGTAAAAGCAAAAGTGCAAAGCCAAGACCTGGAACATGACTTCCACCAAGTTCTCTACTAAAAATACTAAGAATTAGCTAGGCCTGGTGGCATGTGCCTGTAATCCCAGCTGCTCGGGAGGCTGAGGCATGAGAATCACTTGAACCCAGGAGGCAGGGTTGCAGTGAGCAGAGATCCAGCTTGGGGGACAGAGTGAGACTATGTCTCAAAAAAAAAAAAAAAAAAAAGAGTCTAGCTTCATTTCTTTTTTTTTTTCTTTTAATTTTTGTGGGTACGTCGTAGATATATATATTTATTGGGTGCATGAGATGTTTTGCTTCAGGCATGCAATGCGAAATATCATGGAGAATGGGGTTTCCATCCCCTAAGTAACTGTGTTACAAACAATCCAATTACATAGACTTTTTTACTTATTTTAAAATGTACACTTAAGTTTTTATTGACTGTAGTTACCCTGTTTTGCTATCAAATAGTAGGTCTTAGTTGTTGCCATTAACCATCCCCAACCTGACATTCATTCCTACTGTGTCTCATGGTGATAAGGCTGTGGGTGCTGAAAACATTTCCCATTGTGACTCTTAGAATTGCCGTCAGATCTAGTTTGTAAGCCATGCAAGAAAATCTTATTATAACTTTATAGTCAAGTTTCTTTTTTATTTTTAACAAAAGAGCATTGATCACTTCATTTCCCAAACTTGGCTACGAGTTGCTTTTGTTTCTAAAAATCAAAGTGATCCTCAAAGGACAAGGCTTTAAAAAGAAAGTCAGCAGGCTCTGACCTGAGGGTGACCCAATGGTTCTTTAACAAAGTGAAGGGCAGTGGCTTTGTGGCAGGATTTTCCTCCTCTGGTCTGAAGCTTTGTCCGCCGGCTTTGAGGGGCATGGCTTTATGCCAGATGGCTGTGGTAGCAGTCTTGACTAACTGCCAGATAGGGGGAACATTATCATTTGGCCATAAATTGCATTTCGATTATTATGTACTTTATCAGTTAACTTTTTTGCCATATAATAAACTACCTCAAAAGTTAGTGGCTTAAAATTACAAGCATTGGTCAGGCATCGTGGCTCATGGCTGTAATCCCAGCAATTTAAGAGGCCAAGGCAGAAGGATCATTGAGCTCAGGAGTTCAAGACCAGCTTGGGCAACATAGCAAGACCCCTATCTCTGCCAGCAAAAAATCATAACCATTTATTTAGCTCACTTTTTTGCAAGTTAGCAACTTGGGCTAGATTTAGCTGGGAGTTTCTTCTGGCCTTGGCTGGGTTCATTCATGTGTCTTTGGCAGCTACTGGATAGGCTAGATGCTGGCTGGTCTAGGATGGCCTCAGCTGGGATGAGCTGTTCCATGTGGTCTCTCATCCTCTATCAGATTAACCCTAGGTTGTTCATAGGGCAGCCAGGCAGGGTTGCTTCAATTCAATTAGACACGTCAAGGCCTCTTGAGCCTGAGGCTTGGAACTGACATAGTGTCACTTTCACACGTTAGATTGGCCAAAGCAAGTCACAAGGCCAGCCCAGATCCGAAGAGTTAGGAAATAGATTCCTTTTTTTTTTTTTTAAGTAAATGTGTGGGGTTTAAATACAATTTCATTACATGCATAGATTGCACAGTGGCAAAGTCAGAGCTTTAGGGTATCACCCAAATAACACACATTGTACCCAATAAGTAGTTTGTCATCATCACCCTCCTCCCACCCCTTCACCCTTCCGAGTCTTCACTGTCTGTCATTCCACTCTATCCATCTGTGTATAGACAGGTTTTAGCACCCACTTATGAGTAAGAACATGCGATATTTGACTTTCTGTGTCTGGCTTGTTTCACTTAAGATAATGCCCCCCAGTTCCATCCATGTTGCTGCAAAATACATGAGTTTGTTCCCTTTTATAGATTCCAATTCTTGATGGGAAGAGCTGTAAAGTCACACTGCAAAGTGCAGATACAGGAAGGGTGGAGAATGGTGGCCCTTTTTGCAACTTACCGTATACACTGCGTTAGAAATAATATGGACCGGGTCACAGATGGCAGCTGTGACTGTTAGCTCCAGCCTGGTGACTTCAGGAAAGATTAAATGAGCTAATGTGTGAAGGGGCTTGTTCTGGAGTTCAACCATCTGGGCTCAAATTCTTTTTTTTTTTTTTTTTTTTGAGACAGTGTCTTACTCTGTTGCCCAGGCTGGAGTGCAGTGGTGTTATCGTGGCTCACTGCAACCTCCACCTCCCAGGTTCAAGCAATTCTGGTGCCTCAGCCTCCCGAATAGCTGGGATTACAGGTGTGTGCCACCAGTCCCAGCTAATTTTTATGTTTTCAATAGAGACAGGGTTTCACCATGTTGGCCAGGCCAGTCTGAAACTTCTGACTTTAGGTGATCCGCCCACCTCTGCCTCCCAAAGTGCTGGAATTACAGGCATGAGACACCGAACCCAGCTAAATTCTTATCCTTCCATTTACTAGTAAGTGACTTTGGGCAAGGTATTTAGCATCTCTGTGCCCCCATTTTCTGATCTGTAAAATATGAATTGTATGTAGTACATCGTAGTAATATGTTCTTGTTGTGAGGATAAATGAGTTAAGCAAAACTTAAGAGTGTCTGGCATATAGACAGCACTCAATACACATTAAATGTTGTTAATCCTATTAGCGTTTCTCTTGGAAAAGAGCCAACCTGTAAAGGAGTGCTATTCCCCATGGCCTCTTCTGGTTGACCAATTGTTACATGAGTGAATGGAGGGTGTAATTCTCTTACTGCATTCTGGACATTACAGATAGATGGCCAAGGATGGACTCTCCTTGTCATTCTGAAAATACTAGTACCTTTTAAAATGATAGGTATTAGTAAAAATCAAAACATAACTCTTAGAAATAATGATGAGCTTAGAATCTGAGAATGTAATATAAAGACACCTCCTAGAATTAAGCAACTGCTAGAATCACATCCTGTAATGGAAAAAAACAAAACAAAACAAAACAAAAAACCAGCCCTGCAAGTATTTCAGCCTTCTCTTGAGAATTTATGTCTAAAGAAGGAAGCCATTTTTTAAAGAATGAAAATGAGGTTTTTTTGAAAGAATGTATCTTAAAGTAAATCATTGACTCTCTTGGTTGTTTAGAGAACTGCATTTCTCCTGCTACATTTTAGGAACAGGAAAAGCCAGGTCATAAACTAGTCCCAGATCCAAAAGATGTTTCAACTGTTAACCCCTTAGAATCATAAAGGGTTATCCAGGAAATAGAGAAGAGAGACGAAACAGAGCTTTCTTAAAATCAGACTTCAGTGTCAGAAATCAAGTACTATGGATGTTTCCATGATACCATAGGAAAGATCATCTGTCAGTTATTCATAACGTTCCGAAGCTGAACGCCTTCCAACTACACAGGTCAGCTACCTGTTTTTGTAAATGAAATTTCACTGGAACACAGCTATGCCCGTTCCTCTACCTATTATCTGTAATAGCTTTTGCACTACAGTGGCAGAGTTGAATATTTGTGACACGAGCCTATGTTTACTATCTGACCCTTTAAGAAAAAGTTTGACTGGGCATGGTGGCTCACATATATAGCCTCAGGACTTTAGGAGGCTGAGGCAAGAGCATCGCCTGAGCCCAGGAATTTAAGACCAGCCTTGGGCAACATGGTGAAACCCCGTCTCTACAAAAATTAAATTTACACAATTTGCTGGGCACCATGGTGTGCGCCTGTAGTCCCAGGTACTCAGAAGGCTGAGGTGGGAGAATCCATTGAGCTTGGGAGGTCGAGGCTGCAGTGAGCTATGATTGCAGCACTGCACTCCAGCCTGGGCAACAGGTGAAATTCTGTTTCAAAAAGGAAAAAAAAAAAAGAAAAAGAAAAAGTGTGCCAATTCATGCTTTGAAGTCCTGGAACTATCCATATTTTTATAGTCATAGCTGTTATGTGGGAGGCAGTCTAGTATAAAGGAAGCTGAATGATTAAGTAGTTATTGTTGTGTGGGAGGCACTACAGTGTAAGGGAAGCTTAATGATTTAGAATAGAATTTGGAGCCATTTTCACCTGAGAATAGGGCCTCATTCCACCTCTTTGTAGATGCGTGACCCCAGACCTTGCTAGTATTGTGACCTTGTAATTTTAATATTTCTAAGCCTCAGTCTCTTCCTCTGTAAAATGTAAATAACAATAGTAATTGCTTCAGATAAGGGAGTTTATGATTTTTTTTTTCTTTTGAGATGGAGTGTCGCGCCGTGGCCCAGGCTGGAGTGCAGTGGCGTGATCCTGGCTTACTGCAACCTCTGCCTCCCTGGTTCAAGGGATTCTCCTGCCTCAGCCTCCCAAGTAGCTAGGACTACAGGCGTGTGCCACCGTGCCTGGCTGATTTTAATATTTTTAGTAGAGACGGGGTTTCACCATGTTGGCCAGGCTAGTCTTGAACTCCTGATCTCAAGTGATCTGTCCACCTTGGCCTCCCAAAGTGCTGGGATTACAGGAGTGAACCATTGCGCCTGGCCTAAGTTAATGAGAATTTTGTGTTTTTTTGTTTTGTTTGTTTTTGTTTTTTTTTGAGATGGAGTCTTGCTCTGTCACCCAGGCTGGAGTGCAGTGGCATGATCTCGGTTCGCTGCAACCTCCAACTCCCGGATTCAAGCAACTCTCCTATCTCAGCCTCCCCAGTAGCTGGGGCTATAGGTGTGTGCCACCATGCCCGGCTAATTTTTGTGTTTTTAGTAGAGACGGGGTTTCACCATGTTGGCCAGGCTGGTCTCGAACTCCTGACCTCAAGTGATCCATCCAACTTGGCCTCCCAAAGTGCCGGGATTACAGACGTGAGCCACCGCACCCAGCCGAGAATTTAATAAGATAATGCATTTAAAGCATTCAGTTAAGTGCCTGGCACAGCTACAATGAAAGATAACAATTGAATAACAACAAAATTAAATTGGAAAAAGTGGAAGTCTGAAAATGAGGACAGTCTGCGAGGAAGAGGTGGACTGGGACTGGCCATTTAGGGGGAGTTGAATGGTAGGGGTGGTGTCAGAAATGTGGAGGGCTGTGGCAGGTACGGTGATGAGGGTGGGGCTGCTGGAGTTAGGTGGGCTTGAATCTCTCCTTCAGCTCTGCTAGCTCTGTGCCCCTAGGAAGTCTCCTGAAATGCTGTGAGCCTCAGTTTTCTTATCTATTAAGTGGGGAAGTGATAATCATAGTACCCACCTCACCAGGGCTGTGGGGAAGAATAAATGAGATGGGGTGTGTCAGGCACAGTAATGGGAGCCATCGTTATTAAGAATTGTGCTTGGCCAAGCACAGTAGTTCACACCCGTTATCCCAGCACTTTGGCAGGCCTGCGTAGGTGGGTCACTTGAGACCAGGAATTGGAGACCAGCCTGGGCAACCCCATCTCTACAAAAAATAGAAATTAGCCAGGCAGTGCCATGTGCCTATAGTCCCAGCACTCGGGAGGCTGAGGTGAGAGGATTGCTTGAGCCCAAGAGTTTGAGGCTGCAGTGAGCTATGATCACACCACTGCACTCCAGCTTGGGTGACAGAGCGAGACCCTATCTTTAAAAAAGATAAATAAATAAAAATAAATTTTAAAATTATGTTTGAAGGAGGGAGGCAAATGTGAGCAAGTGCAAAGCCAGAGGAAAGAGAGTTGGGGTCCAGGTAGGCAATGAGAGAAAGAATAAATTCTGTTTTAGGCAGGAGTAGCGAGATGGATCAGGACAGGTGTGTCATCAAGCCTCTGCCAGTAGCTTCCTTTAACAAAGAGCTTGGCATGCCTTCTCCAAGCAGAGAGCAGGCCTTGAAGGGAGTGCTCCAGATCCCTTGGTTTCTCGGAGGCATGGCTTTGAAGCTAGGTGTGCAAATAATTTTGATCCTGAGATCAAAATCTGTGGGAGTAGAGTTTGTACAAAGACTTGCCTTCTCCTTATTGAATCTGCATTGCCATTGACCTTTCTGATCTTCCGATTATAGTTATAGCTGCCTTCCTGAGTGCCCCTGGGCTGGCCACACTCTACAAGAGTTGGAAGGGGAAAAGGTTGTAAGGCAGGAAATCAACTGTGCAATTGTTAAAATAGAACTTCAACAGTGTTTTTAGACTGAAGTCTAGTTAAAAGGCCACAGTACCATTCCTGCTCTACCGTGACCTGCATTGCATTCCACTGGAACAAATTAAGTCTGAGATGTGTAAATAGCATTATGAAGATTAAACCTTACAGTTAGGTTGATATTCTTAAGGAATTCCATGACATTCAGCCCTGCCTTTGGATTAGCTTAATTGGAACACGAGCGATCAGAATTTAATTAGAATTTAATTGAACTGCTATATTAAACAGAGCTGGCTCAGTGGCTACATTGCAAACTTCACTTGGAAATTCTTTCTGATGCATCTCTGAAAATATTTTGAACACTCAGAGTAAAGTTAATCATTTTTACTGTAAGCATTTTTTGATAAAAGGCTTATATTGTTAGCAGTAAAAAGTAGTGGAAACTCAAATGAGTTTGTTTCAGCTGGGGAGTATTAAGTATGCAGAGCTAAGATTTCCTTATTTGCTGGAGTTAACTCTTTGAGGGCAGGTCCTGAACATGGCAGAAAACCCCATTCAAACTGTCCTAAGTAGAAAGGGATTGTTTTCTTTCTTTCTTTATATATTACTTATTTATTTTTTGAGATAGGGTCTCACTCTGCTGCCCAGGCTGGAGTCAGATCATAGCTCACTGCAGCCTCAATCTACCCCAGCTCTAACGATCCTCCCACCTCAGCCTCCTGAGTAGCTGGGACTATAGGCATACATGCCACCATGCCTGGCTAGTTTTTGTATTTTTTGTAGAGATGGGGCTTTGCCATGTTGGCCAGGCTGGTCTCGAATTTCTCAGCTCAAATGATCCACTTGCCTCAGCCTCCCAAAGTGTTGCGATTACAGGTATGAGCCATCGTGCCCGGACCTTTTAAAAAATGTAGACAAGAGGCCCACAGGGAGATCTTCCAGCACAGCTTGATCTGGTGACCCAGATGATGTCTCCATGACTGTTCTCTCTCTTCTTCTCTTGACTGCTTCGTCTGGGTTGGCTCCACCCTCAAATGAGCCCTCATTTTGTGGCACCAGCCTATGTCCTATAAGGCTCAAGTGTAGCAGAGAGAGAGAGAGAGAGAGAGTCTCTCCCAGAGTTTCTCTCTAATTGAGCCAACTCGGGTCAATTGTCTGAGTAATTTGGGCTGGGCATAGTGTCTCATGCCTGTAATCCCAGACATTTCGAGATGCCAAGGCAGAAGAATTGCTTGAACCCAGGAGACCAGCCTGGGCAACATAGCAAAACCCCTATCTCTACAAAAAAAAAAAAAAATTTTTGAAAATTACCTGAGCATTACAGGTGGCATGTGCCTGTAGTCCTAGCTACTCAGGAAGCTGAGGCAGGAAGATCCCTTGAGCCTAGGAATTCAAGGCTGCAGTGAACTATGATCATGCCATTACACTCCAGCCTAGGTGACAGAGCAAGACCTTGTCTCTAAAAATAAAATAAATAAATAAATAAACATACCTGCTTTGGAATAGGTCCTTGGAACTAGGGGAATTGTGATTTAGTGGCCTGTTAGGCATCCAAAGCCCATAGTTTTTGCTGGGGAAAGATGGATTCCTGAAAGGAACTCAGGGTGCTGTTACCAAAATAAGATGGAAGGGATACTGAGCACGTATCTTGGTTAGGGTGCATTATGTTGCAACTAGCAGGAAACTGACTTAAATAATACAGAGGATTTATTGGCTCAGGAAACTAGAAGGCCCCAAGGTAGAGAGGGAAGGCTTCAGGGTTGGTTTGATTCAGGAACTCTGTGATATAACTGAGGAGGACTTGGTTCTCTCCTGCCTCTCTGCTTGGCCTCTAGCAGAGTCAGCTTTATCCCGGGCTGGCTTCCTTTGGATTGGCAAAACAGCTGCGACCACTGCCTCGGCTTTGTATCCACCTACTACATCAAACAGAAGGGGGACAACAAACTCTTTCAGGAAAGCAAAGGAAATTAACTTCCCAGAAGCTCCAGCACACCTCCCCTGACATCTCATCACTCTGAAGTGGGTCACATGCCCATTCCTGATTCAGTGCATCCCTTTGGCCAGGATAAATGTGGACCAGATTGGCTCAGGTCTAGGTGGGGTGAGGTGGGATTATCTCACCTGCCTTATCAGGGTTCACACCTGGAGCTGAGACGGAGTTAACCATCTGCACCTACTGTCACTTACTACCCAGGTCAGGAGCTGCAGGGTGGCAGTTTGGGGGCATTTAATAACCACACTGGGGCCGTGCCTTACTCATTTTCTTTATCTCTTGTGTTTAACACAGGGCGTGCACACAGTAAGTAAATGTTTGTTGAACAGAGTCAGACTGGAACAATGCACTTTGCTTAATTTGGAAAGAAATCAGTTTTGTGCATGAGTAAAACGATGGCTGAAAATAAATTTTATGTCAGCTTTAAATATGGATTAAATGTGGACTCTGGGTAGAGGCCATAAGACCGCCTCTTCTCCTATCTTACTCCATGTAACGTAAAATTTTCCCTTTCGGCTTTTGGTTGCTTATCAAATTCCATTACAGTGAAGACTATTGTAGACCATAGTTGGTATCAGGAAACTGTTTCTAACTCCTGACAAGTTCTTTGATGATCTCACGACACAAAAATTTGCTACTACGAATAATTCTGTAAAATTACAGAATTTTTTTCTCTTTCTTTTTTTTTTCTTTTTACATTCCTTGCCCATCTCATAGTCATTCATTGTAGTTATTTTCCTTCTTATAATTAAAAACCTGAATATCCTTTTAAAAGTACAAGGGCTTTGGTCAGTGAGGGAAGAAACTCTATTTCCTGGTCTTGACCAATAAGGAAAATTAGTAATACCATCAGCTTTTGTTCGAAAAAATTTCTAAGGAGTGGAAACAATAGATTCTGGCAGGAAAGGTGTGGTAGAATTATTTTAGCATGATCCCTTTTCAGCCAAAACACTTTCTGAAATGACCCTGTGGCCTGGGCTGGAGGTCTTGGTCAATGTTATTAGTGCATTTTTTGAACTTCTTTAGAGAAGTATTATTTTTCTCTAATGAAATGCCTTCTCAATGGAAAAAAAAATGTGAATACCTGTTTGCAGTTTGCTATAAATATTTTGGCATCTGGTTATAGGCCAAGTGTATGCTTATTTCTGGGATCATAGTTACGGATGGTTTCATCGTGTATGGGAATTATCGGGTATCTGGAAATGTATTGTGGAAAATACGTGGGAAAGGAGGCTGTGATGTTCTATGTGTATGCCACATCCACAGTCCTTAACTGCTGTTCTTTGTCCCTATTTTATCCATGTCTCCATCACCCTGAATACAAGTGATTGAACCAGGAATATGGATCAGGCCCTTGGGCAGCCACTCTTAGATGGCAAATGACTGTGAAATGGTCCACCCAACAGAGATGGTCTCTCTTGGGAGTATCCAACTAGTCCTATCAGATTCTCCCATCTGGGGAGGTGGGATGTCACACTGCAGAGAGAACAGGCAGACTGTAGCGTAGGGAGAGGGGGACACCTAGAGACAACCTTAAAGGCAGAGAAAGGAGGACAGAGAATCAATTAGGAGAGAACAGCAGAGAAAGCAACAGCAAGCAATGAAAGGAGCCATGGCCAAGGAGCTGAGCTCCACATAACTAGAACCGGAACCAGAACCGTTGTTGGATGACTGTAGCCTCACCTGTGCCCTGAACAGCCATAAGCAATGGTCCAGGTCTTCCTGAGACCTGGCTCTGCCACCAGCCAGAGAGATTCTCATTTTCCCCACCATTTCTTTTACCTTTACTGTGTCACTCCCTGTGGTAGAAGAGATTATACTTCAGAAATATTTTTGGCCTCTCCCTAATGGAGGTTTGACCATGTGACTGACTGCTTTGGTCAGCAAAATGGATGGGCATGACATATATCATTTCCAAACACATGCTGAAAGAGTCAAAACAGGCCAAGCCCAGTGGCTCACACCTGTAATGCCAGCACTTTGGGAGGCCGAGGCTGGAGGATCACTAGAGCTCAGGAGTTCAAGACCAGCCCAAGCAACATAGCAAGACCTTGTCTTTACTAAAATTCAAAAAAATTAGCTGGGCCTGGTGTTGCATACCTGTAGTCCCAGCTACCTGGGGGGCTGAGGCAGGAGGATCACTTGAATCTGGGAAGTTGAGGCTGCAGTGAGCCTTGATTGTGCCACTGCACTCCAGCCTGGGTGATAGTGTCTCAATCAATCAATCAATCGGCAAAGCATAGTTCACCATATTCTTTTGATTGGCCATAAGAGCTGGTGATATTTGAGATACAGGCTGCTCTGTCAGCCTGAGTCCTAGAGTAAAGACAGCATGGAGCAGAGAGCCACAGCTGATTGAAATGTTCATGTAACATGAGTGAAAAATAAACCATTGACAAGATAAGCCACTGAGACTTGAAGTTTAGTTATTATCACAGCAAAATCGAGCCGAATATGACTAAACAAACAAACAAGCCCAGTAACTGAGGTACTATGATCTGAATGTCTATATCTTCCCCCCAGATTCATATGTTAATCTCATCTCCAGTGTGATGATATTAGATGGTAGAGCCTTTGGGAGGTGATTAGGCCATCAGGGTGGAGGCTTTATGAGTGAGATTCGTGTCCTTATAAAAGAGGCTCCATGGCCGGGCGCAGTGGCTCACGCCTGTAATCCCAGCACTTTGGGAGGCCGAGGCCAGCGGATCATGAGGTCAGGAGATGGTCACGAGGTCAGGACCATCCTGGCTAACACAGTGAAACCCCATCTCTACTAAAACTACAAAAAATTAGCCGGGCGTGGTGGCATATGCCTGTAGTCCCAGCTACTTGGGAGGCTGAGGCAGGAGAATGGCGTGAACCCGGGAGGCAGAGCTTGCAGTGAGCTGAGATCGCGCCACTGCACTCCAGCCTGGACAACAGAGCAAGGCTCCATGTCAAAAAAAAAAAAAAAAAAGAAAGAGGCTCCAGACAGCTGCCTTGTCCCTTCCATCTATGGGTGCCATCTATGAGGAACCAGACACCAAATCTGCCAGCACTTTTATCTTGGACTTCCTAGCCTCTAGAATTGTGAGAGACAAATGTTTGTTGTTTATTAGTTACCCAGTTTATGATATTTTTGTTATTGCCACCTAAATGGACTAAGACATGAAGTAAATTGAGCATATTTCTATTCCTTGTAAGCCCAAAGAGTCTCAACCAACACAGTGCCGTAGCCAGCCACACTTCAGTCCCCTGAACTCACAGCATGTGCTTTTGACTTTTCTAGGTGGAATTATATGAGTCATCTGATGCAGATTCAATTGCTTTTTAATGCTAGCTGTTTCTCTTCTCAGCCTTCAGTCCTCCAGTGTGTCTCTTCTACGTGCATCCAGTATAAAAATTGGTACAAAATACTGTCTGGATTGAACCGCTGTTAATTTCCTCATTTTCGGCTGGGCGCTGTGGCTCATGCCTGTAATCCCAGCACTTTGGGAGGCCGAGGCGGGTAGATCACTTGAGGCCAGCAGTTGGAGACCAGCCTGGCCAACATGGCAAAACCCCATACCTACTAAAAACACAAAAATTAGCCAGGCCATGGTAATTCTATGCCTACGCCTGTAATCCTAGCTACTTAGGAGGCTGAGGCTTGAACCCAGGTGGTGGAGGTTGCAGTGAGTGGAGATCGTGCCACTGCACTCCAGCCTGGGCAACAGAGTGAGACTCTGTCTCAAAAAACAAAATTCTGCATTTTCTCTTTTAGAGGTCTGGGTCTTTTATGATGGTATTTTCCTCCTATTTCCCTCTCTTCTAATTTTATTATTTAAAAAAATTTAATCAGATAGATGAACTGAGAGAATTTTGGAATGAATTCCCACATATCCACTGCCTTGATTCTACAATTTCCATTTTGCTTTATTTGTTTTATCACATATCCATGAACCCAGCAATCCATCCCTCTATTCATTCATCTCGGTTTTTTGGATGCATTTCAGAGTAAGTTGCAGACTTAATGAGGACATGATGATGCCTTAACCCTTGACACCTAGTCTTTTTCCTTTTAATTATAGATTAAAAGAATATTTTTAAACCTTGTTAGAGGCTGCCTTAACTGTTCCCTCTGCTCTCACAAACATAAGCATTTTCACCCTTTAACAATCAAGGACTCAGTGTATTTGCCCACATTACATAAACCCTGGGTGCCCTCGCTGTCTAAATCTCGCTCTTTAATTTCTTTCTCTCCTACTTCCTCTCTTATTTCATCACTCACCACAACTTTTCATTTGCTTTTCCTTCTCTCTTTCAGCTCCTCAGCAGATAATTTTTAAACTAAACAACAGCTGAACAATATCCCCACTGTTCCACATGTCTGGGTATGCACAGCACGTCCACGCTTGCCCAGAACAGAAGGAAAACACTATTTCTTCCATTTTATTTCTTTGCATCGAAAGTGATTAAATCTGTGTGCATGACCGTCATACATCAGACCATTTGGCTATTTTTAAAGTCTGTTTATTAAAGTCAAGCTGCATTCTCTTTACAGAAGAAATCTTTACCACTAAATGATGTGATAAATGCCAAGGGAACAATGCATCTTTTGTAGGGCGGGAGAGAGACACTGCCATCCTACAATTGCCAGATTGTTTAAATTATTATACGGCAATTCAGGCTAGTTACATATTTGCATTGTTATACAAGTATTTTCTTATTTTGGTTAAAGATGGCTTTTTGAAGGGACTTCTATTCTTGCAGGGCAGATTAGAGGACCCCATTACATGGTCTGATACATACATTTTATTACGCCAACCAGCAGTATTTCCATTTTTTCATAAAGGGGTTTCAGCAATGAGGTAAAAGATTGCAGATAATCTCCAGTAACTCAGGCACCACGATATTTTATTTACTAAAAACTCCAATAAAGGTTTCGGTAAAAAGTGTTAAGGAGAACTTTTCTTTTTGGTGAAACATCAATTTCACAACAATCGTTTCAACCTTATCTTGAATTATAAAGCTGAGTTTGCCATTTCAAACTAAAGAGGAAGAAAGAAAAAAAATTATGGAAACATTTTCCTAGTAAAATATTGTGGGAAGAAAGTAAAGAGAAATTGTCTACAATTATATTAGCAATTCCTACTTGTAAATATCAGAACCTGTGTACATGAGTTTTTTTCTTGCTTTGATGCTTGAGAGTTGAATGGTGAATTCATTCATTCATTTACTCAACAGGGACTGCTCACCTGCTCTGTCCAGTGCAGTCAATTTTTTAAAATTAATTATTATTATTATTATTTTGAGATGGAGTCTTGCTCTGTTGCCCAGGCTGGAGTGCAGTGGCGTGATAGCTCACCGCAACCTCCGCCTCCCAGGTTCAAGCGATTCTCCTCTCTCAGCTTCCTGAGTAGCTGGGATTACAGGCACGTGCCACCATGCCTGGCTTATTTTAGTATTTTTAGTAGAGATGGGGTTTTGCCATGTTGGCCAGGCTGGTCTCAAACTCCTGACCTCAGGTGATCCGCCTGCCTCGGCCTCCCAAAGTGCTGGGATTACAGGTGTAAGCCACCATGCCCAGCCTCAGTGCAGTCAGTTAAGCACTGGGGATATAAAGAAAAAAAAGACATGTATATGTGGCCTGTCGTCACAGAGCTTATGATTCACTAGGGAAGATAGACATGGCAGACTCATGTTACAGTCTCAGGTGCTATGACAGACAAGCACACGGAAAACTGGAGTAGAGCCCACCCTAAACTGAAGAGGGTGAGATTGGGCAAAGTGGTTCATGTCTATAATCCTAGCACTTTGGAAGGCCGAGACGGGAGGATCACTTGAGCGCAAGAGATTGAGACCAGCTTAGGCAACATAGTGAGACCTCATCTCTACAAAAAGTTTTAAAAATATATTAGCCAGGTGTGGTGGTGCATGCCTGTAGTCCCAACTGCTCAAGAGGCTGAGGCAGGAGGCAGGAGGATCACTTGAGCCCAGGAGTTTGAGACCAGCCTGGGCAACAGAGTGAGACCCCGTCTCTACAGAAAGTTTTAAAAGTATATTAGCCAGTGTGGTGGCATGTGTCTGTAGTCCCAGCTACTCAAGAGGCTGAGGCAGAAGGATTGCTTGAGCCCAGGAGTTTGAGGCTGGAGAGAGATCATGCCACTATACTCCAGCCTGGGTGACAGAGAGAGACTCTGTCTCTAAAATTTTAAAAAATATATAATTTTTTAAAAAGACAATGAGAATGCTCAGAAAGGCTTGCTGGAGGCATCATGAAGGATAAATCGTGGTTAACTGATTGGAGAAGACAATAATAGTGCTAAAAAGTCTCTGTTTCAAATAATAAACAACCTAATGCAAACTGGCTTAAGTGCAAAAGAGAATATATTGGTTCTTATACCTGAAAGGTCCAGGGAATTTTGGCTTCAGTCATAGCTGGACCCAGGATCTAGTAGAGTATCATCAAGGATCTGCCACTGTTTGTCTACCCAACAGCATCTCTCTTCTTCCTTGTTAATAGAGCCCCAAATTTGTTCACTCTCAGTGGAACTGCTTTGTCTTTCAGGAGCGGCTGGGCTTAATTCATTACATCTGTGACAATCCCGTTTCCAATACAGTCATATTCTGAGGGCTTGGGAGTTATACTTCAACATATGACTCTTGGGGTGATACAATTCAACCCTTAACACTCTGCCTTTCCCTTCTCCATTTCTCTGATCTCCTGCTGGTCTCTCGTTAGCTGGACTGATCTGGAGGGTATGTTATGGGAAAGGGGTCCTGATCCAGACCCCAAGAGAGTTCTTGGATCTTGTGCAAGAAAAAATTCAGGGCAAGTCCGTAAAGTGAAAGCAAGTTTATTAGGAAAGTGCAGGAATAAAAGAATGCCTACTCCATAAACAGAGCAGCCCCGAGGGCTGCTGGCTGCCCATTTTTATGGTTATTTCTTGAGTATATGCTAAGCAAGGGGTGGATTATTCATGCCTCCCATGTTTAGATGATCTAGGGTAACTTTCTGATGTTGCCATGGCATTTGTAAACTGTCATGGTGCTGCTGGGAGTGTAGCAGTGAGGATGCCCAGAGGTCACTCTTGTCGCCATCTTGGTTTTGGTGCGCTTTGACTGGCTTCTTTACTGCAACTGTTTCATCAGCAAGGTCTTTATGACCTATATGTTGTGCCAACCTCCTATCTCATCCTGTGACTTGGAATGCCTTAACCGTCTGGGAATGCAGCCCAATAGGTCTCAGCCTCATTTTACCCAGCCCCTATTCAAGATGGAGTTGCTCTGGTTCACGTGCCTCTGACATTTCCAATAAGGTTACATTCCGAAGGGGTTATACTTCACCATATGAATTTTGGGGTGATACAATTCAACCCCTAATGTTCTTTTTTTCCCTCCTTCATCTCTCTGGTCTCCTGCTGGTACCACCCATAGGATGGACCTATCTGGAGGGTACAGGAGCCTGGTTTATGTGAACCATGAAAAGCAGCTTCCTGAGGTACAGAGCAGGCTAGGGAGGGTGGATCTGGATGGGCAAAGAGGATTTCCAGGACACTTTGTAGCATCTTTCTTCTTGGGAAGGATCTCTCCACATGGCAACGAACACCTCTAGACTGACTTGATTCTTAGCTCCTGCTATTTTAAAAGAAGACAGAGATTTTATCACCCGATTTCCATAACAATTCTCTAAAAGAAGTTTACTGGTATTCTTTGGGTTACAAGAACAAACTTGAAATGGAAATAGAAGACAGGATATCTGGTGCTCCACCCCATTGGCAGGCTCAGCTTATCTTCTCCCCATTACTCTGGGATGTCTTTTCCCTTGTGGTTTACTAGGTATCTATCCCTTAGGGGCGCATTCAGCTGCCTGTATTGAAAACTCAAGAACAGTGGTAATAAAACGAATGAAGTTTATTTCTCCTTACACATTTAGATGTCCAGAGTAGGGCAGGCCCAGGCTGGTGCCGTGGCTTAAGGAAGTCAGCAAAGACACAGGCTCTTTCTATCCCCTGCTTCACCATCCTTAGCATGTGGCTTTGGGCCTCATGGCTAAAAGGGGCTGCTCCACTTCCAGCCCCACATCTGTGTTCCAGCCTAGAAGAAGTGAAATGAAACTTCAAGGAAGAAGGGGCAGCAGAAATCAGGAAAGCAGAATTTTCTCAGAGGTCCCTAGAATATGTCTGGTTTTATCTCATCGGGCAGAACTGTATGACATAGCTGTCCCTTGCTACATGGGAGCCTGGGAAATGTAGATCTTTGGCTGAGTTGATTGCCATTTGGAAGCAATCAAGTTTCTGTTAATAAGGTTGAAGTGGAGAGTGGACCGTGGGTGGAGAGCTAGCAGGGTCAGCCACACTGCTGGCGGCACCTGTGTGCGGGGTGTCTCGTGAAGGTGGCACTTAGACCCGAAGGACTGCTGCTCAGAGGATTTGAGTGGATTTGGGGTAAAGCAATATATACAGTTACTCAGAGAATCACAGTCTAAATTTAAATAACAAAATCCTGCAATTCCAAAAGCATGTAGTAAGCCTCGATATGAGCACTGTCTTTTATTACTACCTAATGTCAGAAAATGTGCTTATTGAAAGAGGACTAAAGAAATGTCTTTGGAATTCTTTGCCCAAGTTACTGTTTGTTGATGTTCTTA
The DNA here is from genome assembly GCF_000001405.40 of Homo sapiens. Classification (NCBI taxonomy): domain Eukaryota; kingdom Metazoa; phylum Chordata; class Mammalia; order Primates; family Hominidae; genus Homo; species Homo sapiens. The sequence goes on from NC_000016.10 coordinate 19,762,570, forward strand.
TAAATCTCATAAAGGATTCACGCGTATTTCATCTAACACAAGCAATCAATTAACCTCCCTTCCTTTTTCCTACTCAGACATGGGCAAAGTAAGAATATACAGTTGACTCCTAAACAATACGGATGCCAAACCCCCGTGCAGTCAAAAATCCACTTATAACTTTGGCCGGGCACAGTGGCTCACACCTGTAATCCCAGCACTTTGGGAGGCCAAGGCAGGGCAGACTGCTTGAGCTTAGGAGTTCAAGACCAGCCTGGGCAACATGATGCAACCCCATCTCTACAAAAAATACAAAAATTAGCCAGGCGTGGTGGTGTGTGCCTGTAGTCTTGGGTACTGGGGAGGCCGAGGTGGAAGGATCACTTGAGCTCGGGAGGCAGAAGTTGCAGTGAGCTGAGATCACGCCACTGCAGTCCAGCCTGGATGAGAGAATGAGGCCCTGTCACAAAAAGAAAGAAAGAAAATCCTCTAAAACTTTTGACTCCCTCAAAACTTAACTACTAATAGCCTACTGTTGACTTAACAGTCACACAAATTTTGTATATGTATTATATACTCGAAACTTAACTACTAATACCCTACTACTAATAGCCTACTGTTGACTTACCAGTAACACAAATTTTGTATGTTTTATGTATTATATACTATAGTCTTATAAGTAAGGTAGCAAAAGAAAATTTATTAACAAAATTATAGAAAGAGAAAATATATTTACTAGTCATTAAATGGAAGTGGATCATCATAAAGGTCTTCCTCCTCATCTTCAGGTTTAGTAGGCTGAGAAGGAGGAGGAAGAGGAAGAATTGGTCCTGCTGTCTCAGAGGTGGCAGAGGTGGAAGGGGAGGCAGGAGAGGCAGGCACACTTGGTGTTAAGTTTCTTTTGTTTTTTTTGAGACACAGTCTCACCCTATTGCCCAGGCTGGAGTGCAGTGGTGAGGTCTCGGCTCACTGCAACCTCCACCTCCCAGGTTCAAGCAATTCTCCTGCCTCAGCCTCCTGAGTAGCTGGGACTACAGGTGCCCACCACCACGCCTGGCTAATTTTTGTATTTTTAGTAGGGATGGGGTTTCACTGTGTTGGCCAGACTGGTCTCGAACTCCTGACCTCAAGTGATCCACCCGCCTCGGTCTCCCAAAGTGCTGGGATTACAGGCGTGAGCCACCACACCCAGCCAGTGTTAAGCTTTATTGAAAAAAGTCATGTATAAGTAGACCTGTGCAGTTCAAATCCATAGTGTTTAAGGGTCAGTTGTAATTTAATTATCTCTTCTCTCTTCAGAGGAAAAGAACCAAATTCATTGCCTGTGATTTTCTGACTGAGTGGTTATACAAGTAAGTTGTTCGTGTCTGACTATTCAGTGATCCTAAGAATTCAGTCGTGTTAATTTGCAAGCAGAATAGCAACAACTGACTTGAATTCTTGCTTATTGTTTTCTTGTCAATCAAACATATGGCATCATGACCAGCCAAAATCCAAAGAGGGCAGGGGAGCCATTCACAGAATTTTTCTCCATTCCATTTGTGGAGGAGCGGCTAAAGCAACAGTGAGTATGACACAAGGCTTTGAATAATTTATTCCTAATTTAAGATTGTGTTAATAATACTTTTCTTCCATCTAAGAGAACAAACTGATGTGATCCATCCAGGACTCTGGGCCAGTCATATTTGTGACTCCTGTCTCTAGTTATTCTTAGCCTAGGCTAACCTTATCCTAATCAGGCCAGTAATTTCATTCAAGAAGCACTCCAGAAATAAAATAGAAAACTTAAAAAAAAAATTATTATCCTAAGTAATTTATCCCTCCATTCCCTTCATTTTTTTCCTGTCTCTCTGAATGTCATTATGTCTCAGGAAATATGACTAAGCTTTTCTAAATACTTAGAAAATACTAAAAAAGCTTAAATAATAAGTTACCTGCATCAATTCTCCATTTTTAATATAATAAAGAACATGACAGATAAAATTAAAACTATTTGACCATTCTAATATGGGTGTCCTCCCCACATTGAAGTAATCACTTCAGTCTACAGTGCAGCCTTCCAGACCTCTTAGTTATTTAGCTATATAAAATCAGTTTATGCTGCTCTGTCTATGGAGTAGCCATTATTTTATTCCTTTAATTTCTTTTTTTTTTTTTTTTGAGACGGAGTCTTGCTCTGTCACCCAGGCTGGAGTGCAGTGACGCGATCTTGGCTTACTGCAAGCTCCACCTCCCGGGTTCATGCCATTCTCTGTCTCAGCCTCCTGAGTAGCTGGGACTACAGGTGCCTGCCACCACACCTGGCTAATTTTTTTTTTTTTTTTGTATTTTTATTAGAGACGGGGTTTCACCGTGTTGGCCGGGATGGTCTCGATCTCCTGACCTCGTGATCCGCCCACCTCAGCCTCCCAAAGTGCTGGGATTACAGGCGTGAGCCACCGTGCCCGGCGGATCACGAGGTCAGGAGATCGAGACCATCCTGGCTAACACAGTGAAACCCCGTCTCTACTAAAAATACAAAAAATTAGCCAGGCATAGTGGCGGGCGCCTGTAGTCCCAGCAACTCGGGAGGCTGAGGCAGGAGAATGGCGTGAACCCTGGAGGCGGAGCTGGCAGTGAGCCCAGATGGCTCCACTGCACTCCAGCCTGGGCGACAGAGTGAGACTCCATCTCAAAAAAAAAAAAAAAAAAAAATCAGTTTATATCTGGCCGGGCATGGTGGCTTATGCCTGTAATCCCAATACTTTGGGAGGCCGAGGTGGGCAGATCACTTGAGGTCAGGAGTTCGAGACCAGCCTGGCCAACATGGCAAAACCCCGTCTCTACTAAAAATAAAAAAATTAGCTGGGCACGGTGGCACGTGCCTGTAATCCCAGCTACTCAGGAGGCTGAGGCAGGAGTATCGCTTGAACCCGGGTGGTAGAGGTTGCAGTGAGCCGAGATCGCACCACTGTACTCCAGCCTCGGGGACAGAGTGAGACTCTGTCTCAAAAAAAAAATTTAGACTCTCGGCTCTCAGTTGTCACATATTTTGCTTAAATCTTCCCTCTTTGAGAATACCAAGATGAATAGACCCTTGGCTGACTCTGGCAATTTTGAGAATTTTAAAAACCCCAGATATTAACCAGTTTTTTTTTAAATCTAAGATTACACATTGAAAGGAGAGAAACATAGGAAAACCTTGTTTCTTATTTAGCTTTCAAACCTGTGCCTGATTTTATCCGCTATGAAATGTATAGCCCAAAATTTATTGATTTACATATATTTTTCTAAGACAAGCTTCTTTGAGTATCATTCTCCAAGTTGCTGCTTTGCCTTGAAAAAAAATTTTCCATTTGTAATAACCAATGAAAAATAACCTTAAAAATAAGATAACTTCTCTAATAAGAATCCTCTTAGCTTTATTTATTATACAAATACCTTAATTTTAAATGGTGCTGATGTCCACAGGAAGCTCATGTAAATATACTGTGAAGGAGCAGTAGCGGTCATTTCAGCTGCACTCCACAGGAACAGAAACACAAGAGCTCTTGCTTTAACGGGCATTTATATTCTCTACATCCATGACCTTTCAAAGAGATGCCCAGATGCATGATAAAAATTAAAGTGATATTAATCTATTTGATGCAATGAATGTCTATCGAACACCTACCCAGTTCAACTGCACAGAGCTTGGTGCTGTGGAAAAAACAGAGATGAATAAAGTATGGCCCTGGCCCCTTGGGGTGGGGGGACATGTTTACAACTTGCTGTAGTTTCTGTAGTGAGTGTTGTAATTCAAATGTTAACAAAGCATTAAAGGGAAGTGGGGAAGCATGAGACCATCCACGTGCCCTTCCTGGTGGGCCTGGAGCCAGCCCAGCTGGGGCAGCGGCCAAGCTGGTTGGTGCCCAGATTTGGTCCAAGGCAAGAACTCAAATGCTGCATTCTTCTTGTCTCAAGTAGGAATAGTCAGAGAAGCAAGCAGGAACCAAAGTTCTTAAGGAGAACAAGGGTGGGAGCCGGGAAATATCCAATCCAGGTTGTCTCAACCTTGGCACTATTGACATTTAGGACTGGATAATTCTTTGCTGTAAGGAGCTGACCTGTGCATTGTAGGATGTTTTGCAGCATCTCTGGCCTCCACTCACTAGATGCCAGTAGCACCCTCCTACAGTTGTGACAATCAAGAATATCTCCAGACACTAGCGTATGTCCCCAAGGGGAATGAGGCAAAACTGCCTCTGGTTGAGAACCTCTGATTTAGTCCAGTAGTTTCAAAACTTTAAAGCAGCACTTTGGGAGGCCGAGGTGGGTAGGTCACTTGAGGTCAGGAGTTCGAGACTAGCCTGGCCAATGCAGTAAAACCCCATCTCCGCTAAAAATACAAAAATTTGCCAGGTGTGGTGGCACATGCCTGTAATCTCAGCTACTTGGGAGGCTGAGGCAGGAGAACTGCTTGAATCCAGGAGGCAGAGGTTGCAGTGAGCCAAGAAGGTGAAACGGGAAAAATTACCTTGTCCCCCTCGCAGGGCATGCAACAGGGGGATGTGGCTCGCTTTTTCAGTGCCCTGCTGCTCAAACCTCTAGGGGAGCATACAGGCAGGCAGGTTGTCGGGCTCCCACCCGATGGCGGTGTCTATAGGTGAATTTACAGCTGAAGCCCCAGTGGGCATATGTTACCAGGTGCTCTCTTAGTTTGCCATCTATAGGCGGTTTGTGTTAACCAGCTCAATTCACCCTCTACCTTGTTGCGAGGACAGAGGGATTTCTGTATCCCAGGTTCTTGCCTTTGTGTACCAGAGAAATCAGATCACACGTGGGCTTGGAGAATGAGTGCAAAGTTTTATTGAGTGGAAGTAGCTCTCAGCCGATGGAGGAGCCAGAAGGGCACCATGGTTTTTCCCATGGAGTTGGGCTGCTCAGCGGCCACAGCTTTCCTCCGACTAACTGCCCTGGCCAAACTCAGCCTCGTCCTGCCAGGTGCCTGTGCCTGCCGTGTGCTCTTCTGCTGGTGTGCTCCTCTCAACATCCTCTCCGTGAGCAGCTGCTTGTATCTTTTTCCGCTGAAGTGCTCCTCTCGACGTTTGGCTGCCTGGGTGTCTGCCCGCTAGGGTCTCGGGCTTTTATATGCCCAGGACGGGGGGTGTGGCAAGCCAGGGTGGTCTTGGGAAATGCAACATTTGGCAGGAAATGGCTGTTCTCATCTAGGTCCCTGGGGGTGAAGCCCTAGCCAGGGACCACGCCCTCCTCTACGGAGCACTTCCCCTACCCCCTTCTTCCCTTCCCAGCACTCCTGTATCAGTGGTACCACTGCACGCCAGCCTGGGTGACAGAGCGAGACTCCATCTCAATAAATAAATAAATAAACAAATAAATAAATAAAATAAAATCACCCAGGGAACTTTGGAAAATAGTGGTACCTAACTTCACCCAGAATGACTAAATCATAATCTTCAGGTATAGCCTGAACATTGTTTTTTTTTGCTTTTTTTTTTTTTTTTAAACTTCCTAGGTAATTCTAATATATAGCCAGGATTAAGAGCTTATCCATCCATAGGACAGAAAAAGTACTGCATCCAGGAACTAATAAATAATATAATTGAGCCATTGCTTCACTAAGAGCTTTGATACATGCCATCTCATTTAATCTTCACAACAACACTAGGATGTAGGTACTAAAGCTGGGAGCCCACAGCTGGGAAGTTGACCATGAAGTGAGATGGGTCTTGGACAAATAAGGTGATTATATGAGTATTATGGATGGACAGTTTGAGTACAGCTTAATGATACAGATTGGAGGAAGATAACTTTCGAGGGGGAGACTCTGTCAAGGCTTTTTAAAGGTAGTGAAATATAAACTACAGTAGTACTTCAGGCAGAATTAAGAGCCTGAGCTTTTGGGATAGATAAACCAGTATTCAAATCTCCACCACTGGCTGGGTGCAGTGGCTGACACCTGTAATCTCAGCACTTTGGGAGGCTGAGGCAGGCAGATCACCTGAAGTCAAGAGTTTGAGACTAGCCTGGCCAACATGGCAAAACCTGTCTCTACTAAAAATACAAAAATTAGCTGGGCATGGTGGTGTGCGTCTGTAATCCCAGCTACTCGGAAGGCTGAGGCAGGAGATTTGCTTGAACCCAGGAGGCAGAGGTTGCAGTGAGCCAAGTTCGCACCACTGCACTCCAGCCTGGGTGACAGAGTGAGACTCCATCTCAAAAAAACAAAAAACAAACAAACAAAAATATATCTCCACCACTTACTGATCCTATGATCTTGGGCAAGTGTTTATTTATCTATTACTGTGTAACAAATTGCCCCCAAATTTAGTGGCTTAAAGTCATAAATATTATCCTATAGTTTCTCTGGGTCAGGAATTTGGTAGCCGCTTAGCTGGGTGGTCGTGGTTCAGAGTCTCCCATGAGGTTGTAGTTAAGATGTCACAGGGGGTGCAGTCATCTGAGGGCCCAACTGGGGCTGGAGGTTCTGCTTTTAAGATGGTGCACAAACATGGTGCTGGTTGTTGTTTGGAGGCCTTAAGTTTTCCCCATCTGGGTCTTTCCATGGGCTGCTTGAGTATCCTCATGACATGGTGACTGGCCTCCTTCAGAGTGAAAGATTTGGGCACAAGAAGGAAGCATGGTACCTTTTATGACCTAGTCTTGGAAGTCAAATACCTCCATTTCCATCACATGCTATTAGAAGCAGGTCACCAAGTGCCACATTCGAGGTTTAATAATTAAGCTCTACCTTAGGGAGGGAGGAGTATCAAAGAATGTGTGGACATATTTATTTTAAAAGCATCACAGCATGTCTGTCTCTAAGCCTCCAGTTCCTTATTGGTAAATGTGGTTGTGAAGATACAGTGATACAGCTACAAATGGGATCGTGAACAAGCCCAACCTATAGTAACATGTGGCTTACTAAATGGTGAGTAGTGGTTTATTGCCATTGGTGGACATTGTGACATTCCAGGCCAAAGACCCAAAGATGGGAGAAGAGACAGGATTTGGTCCAGTCACAGGAAACCAGCATCGCTAGCTCCTGGAGTGTGTGAGGACATAGGGATGAGATGGAAGCTACGGCTAGAAGGCAGTTAGGGGGTGGATTATGGTTTTCAGTAAAAGAAAGAAGTTTGGGCATTATTCCATAAGCAAGAGATCATTCAAAGGCTTTTGAGCAGAGGTAAAATGGGATTAGGCTGTTTTGGAAAGATAATTCCTGAGACAGTGCAAAGGACATCTGAGATTGGGGAGAGCCTGGAGTTGGGGCTACTAGTTCCAAGCCTGTCTTTATAGCCGTAAGGTATTGAGTTAGGGCCATGTTAGTGGAAAAAGGGGGTTGTGGGATGGGTAGAATGGATGGATGACCCAGGATAAATTTAGGGGTAGAGAAGGGTTGTACCTGAAATGGTGAGATTTGCTCCTGGGTATGTGGGTGGCCCATAATGGAAACCAAGGGACCCAGCGAGAAGAGCAAGTGCAAGGGTTAAATGATGATTCCTGTCTGGGGCACTTTTAGATTGAGGTGCTTCTAGGATATCCATGCCAGAAACATTGGCCTAAAGCTTACAAGTAGGATATGAAGAGAAACGGTTTGGGAATCAAGAGCCCCACATTGAATGTATGGATTAAGTCAAGATGGACAAGGGCTGAACCGAGGGGTAGCCCAGAGTTGATTCCAGTTCAATGAATGGCACTTACTCTAAGTCATGTGTAAGTGTAACAATGACTTGTTTCAACTTAGCGTCTATGTTGATTTTAAATGACTGACAAGGAGAAATAGGGGTGTGTTTATTTTCTATTGCTGCTGTTACAAAGCACCCCAGAACTGGTAGGTTTAAAACAACACAAATTTATTACTATACTGTTCAGGAGGTCCAGAGATTGACTTGGATTTCACTGGGGTGAAATCAAGGCATTGGCAGAGCCTAATTCTTTTCTGGAGTTTCTAGGGGAAAATGTTTCCCTGCCTTTTCAAGCTTTGAGAAACTGCCTGCATTCCTTGGCTAGTGGCCCCTGCATTCCTCTTCAAAGCCAACAATGTTGCATCTCTCTGACCCTCTTTCTTAGTCATATCTCTCTGACTGTTTCTCTTTTGGGGGGCGGGGGGGTGACAGGGTCTAACTCTGTCACCCAGGGTGGAGTGCAGTTGTGAAATCTCGGCTCACTGCAACCTCTGCCTCCCGGGTTCAAGTGATTCTTCTGCCTAACCCTCCCAAGTAGCTGGGATTACAGGCATGCGCCACCATGCCCGACTAATTTTTGTATTTTTAGTAGAGACAGGGTCTCATCATGTTGGCCAGGCTGGACTCAAACTCCTGGCCTCAAGTGATCCACCTGCCTCAGCCTCCTAAAGTGTTGGGATTACAGGCGTGAGCCATCTCTCCTGGCCTCTCTGACTCTCTTTTGCCTCCATCTTCCACTTTTAAGGACTCCTGTGATTACATTAGCTCACCTAGATAATTCAGGATAACCTTCCCATTGCAAAATCCTTGACTTAATCGCATCTGCAAAGTTTCTTTTGCCATTGTCAGGTAAATATTCACAGGTTCTGGGAATTTTTTGGGAGGGATGAGAGGGTGACAGGGTCTCCCTCTGTTGCCCAGGCTGAACTGCAGTGGCACAATCACAGCTCACTGCAGCCTTGACTTCCTGGACTCAAGCCATCCTCCCACCTCGGCCTCCTGAGTAGCTGAGGCTACAGGTGCATGCCATCACGGCCAGCTAATTTTTGTATTTTTGGTAGAAACAGTGTTTTGGCATGTTGCCCAGGTGGGTCTCAAACTCCTGAGCTCAAGCAATCTGCCTGCCTTGGCCTCCCAAAGTGCTGGGATTACAGTTTTAAGCCACCATGCCCGACCAGTTTCTGGGAATTTTGATGCAGACATCTTTAGGACCCAAATTCTGCCTACCACGAAGTGTAATGGAGAATGTGGAGAAATTTAAAGTCCCTTTCTCTTAGAGATCACCTACATTTTGCTGAAGATTGCTTACATTTTAAAATAGTATTCCAGGTTTTGTATAATAAAAATGATACATGCTGAGTGAAAAAATTCAAACAAAACAGAAAAATCAAAAGAAAAATGCACAGATCACCGAAGAGCTGGCCTCCCAGATATAACCATTGTTGACATTTTGGTGAACTTTTCAGATGCTTTTCTATGTATCTCCATATGTATATAGATATAAAAAAATGTGTAAGTATTCCTCTGAGACCAGAGCTAAGAGTGAGAGAAAAATTGAGGTGGAGGGAGAAGCACTGAGAAAGTTCATGGTGGGTGCTGTCACTCACGTTCACATTCATGTAGGTGTGAAGGCATCTGCTGAGAGGGAGGCAGAGGTTTATGGAGGAGGGGAGGGGGTTGCAACAGCTGCTGTGGTGAAACCGACAGGGAATCAACGAGGGATAAATAGGGATGGCCCAGCTGATGGCCTGAATTTGTGGTGCATATAAACAGCCTGCTTATGTGATTGTCTCCAGCAACCCTCCACAGCTCTGGAAAGGGGGTGGAGAACAGATGGTTGGTAAAATCAGGGTTGAAGACTGGCAAAGCTACTCTAGTAAAAGGTCTAGACTGGGCCCAGGGGATCGTAGGTACAAGTGAAAGCATTGTTTCCTTTTTAAAGAATGTCTTACATTTTTAAATCATAAATTACCATATTTTCTGAATTATGTTAACGCTTTAGCAACCAATTTTCGGGAAGAGAAAGAAATCCTACATTAGGTGTTCACATTGAAAGTAAGAAATATACCAAACTCAGAAACACTAAGATGAGGGTAGTGGGGTCCATCTTAGAATCAAGACAGTTTGTTTTTAAAGATTCCAATGTGTGGATCTTAATTGGATCCCAATTCAAAAAAACGGTATAAAAAATTGGAGACAACTGAAAATTTGAACACTTAATAGCTGATGAAATTAAAAAATTATTATTTAAGATATGATGATGAGAATACTAATTTCATAGTCATGATTAAAAAGTTATTACTTTTCAGAGAAACATGCCAAAATATTTATATATGAAATTACATATTCTATGGACAGGGGTGAGGGAGGGAGGGAAGCTTCCATTCACTGACATGGAGAACAGTATAATTGAAGCTGGTTGATGGACACATGGATTCCTTTTAATTTTTTCTGTCTACTTTTGTATAGCTTTTAAAATTTCCATAACAAAAATTTTTTTAAATGAGATTAGGGCTAGATGCAGTGGCTCATGCCTGCCAGCACTTTGGGAGGCTGAGGCAGAAGGATTACTTGAGCCCAGGAGTTTGGACCAGTCTGGGAAACATAGTGAGACCCCATCTCTATAAAAAATCAAAAATCAGCTGATCATGGTGGTGCTCACCTGTGGTCCCAGCTACTCAGGAGGCTGAGGCGGCAGTATCACTTGAGCCCCAGAGGTTTAGGCTGCAGTGAGCTGTGGTTGTGCCGCTGCAATCCAGCCTGGGTGACAGAGTGAGATCCTGTCTCAAAAAATAATAATAATTAAAAAAACATTAAAATGAGATTGTTCAAAGCTCCTTATGAGCACTTGATAGTGTAGGAGATGTGCCCTGGGCGAGGTGGTATCTACTGGAGAGCAGTGAACCAGGAGGGCTGGGGGCCATTCCCTACTGGAGGTGGCTGGAGTGACAGACAATGGAGGACTGAGTTTTCCTATGAGCATGCTGAGAAACTCAAATGGCATTGAGGGAAAATGGCCCTGGGGAAAGGGGAGATGGCAGGTGCAGCCCAACTGACAAGTATTGTGGTGCTGAGAAGGTCTTGGTCACCCCTCCAGAGACCCAGCTCTGAATGTGCACAACTTCCCAACCAATTCTCTTATGTTAGTCTCAGATAACGCCAACCCTCCCACCAAACCCAAACCCAGTTTCCCCAGAAACAATGAGAAGGAGGATTAACATGATCAAAGCCTTGGGTTTGTTCTAAAGAACAAGTCTCCAATAATCTCAGAGTTCCTGGGGAACAAGGACATGGCTTTCTATGTCAAGGGTCAGCAAACTTTTCTATAGAGGATAGTTAAGTCTTTTAGGCTTTGCAAGCCACAGACAGTCTCTCAGCTACTCAACTCCCCAGCTGTGTCATGAAAGCAGCCATAGATGTACCATATATGAATGAATGGGTGTGGCTGTGTTCCAATAACACTTTATTCACAAAAACAGGTGGTGGGCCAGATTTGGCCCATGAGCTACGGTTTGTTGATTCCCTGTTTCAGGTGGACACCAATAGCCTTCCCAAACCATGGTCTCATGTAAAAGCAAAAAAACCAACATAATTAGAAGTAAGTAGTAGGTGGGAAAGATGGAAGGAGAGAAAAGTTTATGATTACATCAGGAGTTCAGGAACTTGATATGTGACAGTCTTCAGTGATGAACCATTCTAAGATGTGACCTTTCTGTTGGGTGACTGACCCAGAGGGATGGTAGGGGTCACTAGAAACATGTGGACCCAAAGTCATGGTATTGCGGGGGTCATCAGCATAGATAATGAAGTAGCTGAGAACACTGGGAGGAGACAGCTGAAGAAGATGACAGTGAGTCAAATCCCAAAGTTGCCAAAGGAAGTGTAGGAATGTTCTAGAAGTCAAAGAAGTGACAGTGTAGTGTGGTGGTTAGGAGCTTGGAAGCACTAGAATCACACCTCTGCGTTCTAAACCCAGCTCCACCACTTCCAGCTGTGTGACTTTGGGCAAAGATGACTTAATCCTTCCAAGCCTCAGTTTTTCCATCTGAAAAATGGCCTTTCAACTGAACAAAGTTCCCCCCGTAAGAGGAATCCTAGTGCCAACTATTATTATATTTCATTATTGGTACATATACCAAGCAGGTATGTTCCAGCTAAAGGGAATTATTTATTTAGCTAATACTTTTTTTTTTTTTTTTTTTTTTTTTTTGAGACAGGGTCTTACTCTGTTGCTCGGGCTGGAGTGCAGCGATGCGATCTTGGCTCACTGCAACCTCTGCCTCATGGGCAAGTAGCTGGGATTACAGGTGTGTACCACCATGCCTGGCTAATTTTTTGTAGATTTCACCACATTGCCCAGACTGTCTGGAACTCCTGAGCTCAAGTAATCCGCCCTCCTTGGCCTTCCAAAGTGCTGGGATTACAGGCGTGAGCCACTGCGCCCAGCCAGCTAATAATTATTGAATGCTTAAATATGCTTTAAAATTATGGGGCAGGTATATTCATAAGTGGCCTGGCTACCATTTATGAAACACCTACTATGTGCCGTGGAAACATGACATGTAGAAACGACAAACATGTTTCCCGTTTTCATGGACAGACATACTGTGTATAGTTGGATTGAAGTATATGTGTACTTAATTTATGCTAATTCAATGATATGCTTTTGAGAAGAAGAGAGAAAGACAGAGAAGGGAAGAAAGGGAAAGGGATAAGAATTTTTAAGGCCGGGCGTGGTGTCTTAGGCCTTGCCTGTAATCCCAGCACTTTGGGAGGCCAAGGCAGGTGGAGCATGAGGTCAGGAGTTCGAGACCACCCTGGCCAACATGGTGAAATCCCATCTCTACTAAAGATACAAAACATTAGCCAGGCGTGGTGGTGTGTGCCTGTAATCCCAGCTACTCAGGAGGCTGAGGGAGGAGAATCACTTGAACCCGGGAGGTGGAGATTGCAGTGAGCCGAGATTGCGCCACTGTACTGCAGCCTGGGCGACAGGGTGAGACTCTGTATCAAAAAAAAAAAAAAAAAAAGAAGACTTTTTAAAATGCAAGCAATTCTTGCCACTTTACTCTAGAGGTAACGCATAAAATAGGACACATGACTCAGCTCTTTCCTCAGTTGTTTTCAATTTTGGGTACCCCTCATAACATAAGCAGCTCATAAGGCAACTACTTCCTTCTGTCTGTCTGTCTTCGTATTTATATATTTAACTACCTACCTACCAAACATTTACATAGTGTTTACTTGGGTATTATTCTGGGCACTTTATAAATATTACCTAATTTAACTTACATCGCAACCCTACAAAGTAGAAAATCATAGTATCCCCGTTGTATTAGGCTAGGCTAGGCTAGGTTGCAGTTATAAACAATACCAAAATACCAGTGGCTTAACCCAACAACAGCTTACTTCTTGCTCACAAAAAGACTGTTGTAGGTTGGACAGCCCTCTTACCTCTGAGGTCACTGATGCAAAGGAAGAAAAGAATGTAGGAGGTCCCTCAGCTCTTAACCTTCTCAGTCTAGAAGGTTCTTAACTTTCTCACCTCTCTTTACAGAGCATGGCTTCAAGCCAGTTGCGGGGGAGGCAGGGATACGTAAAGGAACACGTGGATATTGGTGAACACTAGCTGTTCTGTTCTGGGCACAGGCTTTTTTTTTTTTTTTTTTTTTTTTTTTTTTTTTGAGAAGGAGTCTATCTCTGTCATCCAGGCTAGAGTGCAGTGGCACGATCTAGGCTCACTGCAATCTCTGCCTCCCCATTTCAAGCCATTCTCCTGTCTCAGCCTCCCAAGTAGCTGGGCTATAGGCACCCAACACCATGCCTGACTAATTTTTGTATTTTTATTAGAGATGGGGTTTCACTATGTTAGCGAGACTGGTCATGAACTCCTGACCTCAGGTGATCCACCTGCCTCGGCCTCCCAAAGTGCTGGGATTACAGGCATGAGCCACTGCACCTGGCCCACAGGCATATTTCTAAGAAAGAACTGAGGCAGAGAGAAATTAAGTCTTTGCCCAGGATCTCAAGCCAGTGCATAGCAGAGGCAGGATTTGAACATAAGCAACCTGGCTGCAGAGTCTATGCACTGTTAAGAGTGTGGCTAATTATTCTGCTCTACTTCCCCTTCTGTCACCTGGTCCTTAAAGTGATCAGTACTGAGACTGGGAGAAACCTGGCTGTGTGAGACAGCTTGAAAGATGCCATGTCCTGGGCACGGTGGCCACGCCTAGAATCCCAGCACTTTGGGAGACCAAGATGGGCAGATCACCTGAGATCAAGACTTTGAGACCATCCTGGCCAACATGGTGAAACTCCGTCTCTACTAAAAATACAAAAAAATTACCCAGGCTTTGTGGTGCACGCCTGTAATACGCCAGCTACTTGGGAGGCTGAGGCAGCAGAATTGCCGGAACCCGAGAAGCAGAGGTTGCAGTGAGCCGAGATGGTGCCACTGCACTCCAGCCTGGGTGATAGAGCGAGCCTCCGTCTCAAAAACAAACAAACAGACAAACAAAAAACGATCTGCCACGTACTCTAATTGAAGTGTGATGAGGGTGTTTTTGTTCTTACCTTTTAACAGGGGTAGATGATGTCATATCTCCCGTCGGCCTTAGTCCTGTTTATTAATCCAGCACCATCCTCTTTTGTAGTATATAGTCGTGACTCAACCAGCCAATCAGAGGCAATGAAATTATTTTCTAGCACATTAAGAAGAGAAAAAGTTTAAATTTCTATTTTGGCCAAAAAGAATGGCCCTGAGAATTGGTCAGATTCATTTGCAAAAATAAATAACTAAATGAGCACGAAGAGCAAAAGTGCACCACTGCCTTTCTGGTCTCATGTCCCAGAAGGGAAGGCTCATGAAAGACATCATTAAAACTGAGACCTTCAATGAAACAAAGATTGTGTTTTTGAAAAGAAAAGGTTGCTTTGGGTGAAATGTCTTTTCAGCTAAGTTTTATCCTTGAAACAAAAAAAAAGGTGGGGGGCTGGGGGAACCTATGATATGTTCATGTTGATGAAAGGTATCTTGTGACCAAAAACAGAGGTGAAAACAAAAGTGTCACTGTGTCGTTTGAGGACAAGCTCCAGTCGCTTGATGATCTATTTGTGCTGAGGCTGATAGTGGAACTGAAAATGCTCCTACCTTCAGAGTGGCACAAAAAACTGCATTTCGTACTAAAGATTATAATTAAATGGTGGCACAGCAGAAAATTTGTTGTCATGCCCTCTTGATAGAAAAAAAAATCCTTTTAATTTATTTTGTCTTATAGAAGAGTAGATTTCTTCTGTGTCAGTAATTTCGGAGGCCAGAGAGTCCCAAGAGGATAGTAAATCGTCTTTGCTTTTTATATTCACATTCATCTTCAAATAGAGGGAGGAAGGAAAGCTGTTTCCTGAATTTGGGACGTGCTGAGATGTATAAGTTCTCTAGTGCCTCTCTTTTGCTGGAGGTTTGACATGTGGGTGGCCCTTTCTCAGGCGCACTCAGTACTGCTTCCGTTCTTTCTTCCTGCTGTTTCTCCATGGCTGTTTAAGAACCAGTTCAGGGCCGGGCACGGTGGCTCACGCCTGTAATCCCAGCACTTTGGGAAGCCAAGACTGGCAGATGACTTGAGGTCAGGAGTTCGAGAGCAGTCTGGCCAACGTGGTGAAACCCCATCTCTACTAAAAAAATGCAAAAATTAGCTGGGCGTGGTGGTGCACACCTGTAGTTCCAGTTACTCCGGAGGCTGAGGTGAGAGAATTGCTTCAACCCGGGAGGCAGAGGTTGCAGTGAGCTGAGATCGCGCCATTGCACTCCAGCCCGGGTGACAGTGCAGGACTCTGTCTCAAAAAAAAAGAGAACCAGTTCAGAGAGCCTGTGCGAAGCAGTATGGCAGGCACATCTGGGCTCCAATCTTAGTTCCACCATTTAGTAAAGCGTTTTCCCTGAGTTCTATGAGCTGTTGTAGAAAATTATCGAACTTGAGGAGGGGGTTGTGGGAGCCCCCAATTTGTAGCCAAGTCAGACAGAAGTGTGAGTAACCTGGAGACCCATTCCTTGTGACTGGCATCTGTAGTGGAGAGCATTCTTGTGGGACTAAGCCCTTATCCTGTGGGCTCCCTGTGGGCCTTCTGTGGGGTCTGCACTAACTGTGGGCAGTTAGTGTCAGAGTTAAATTAAATTGTAGTGCCTGTAATCCCAGCACTTTGGGAGGCCGAGGCGGGAGGATTGCTTAGGGTTAGGAGTTTGCAACCAGCTTGGGCAACATAGTGAGACCCCTATCTCTACAAAACATTTTTAAATTAGCTGGGTGTGATGGCAGACACTTGTAGTCCCAGCTACTCCAGAGGCCGAGGGGAGAGTATCACTTGGACCTGGGAGATGGAGGCTGCAGCGAGCCATTAACATACCACTGCACTCCTGCCTGAGTAACAGAGTGAGACCCTATCTCAAAAAAAAATAAAAATAAAAACAAAATAAAAAATAAATTGTAGGATGCCCAGTTGGTATCTGCAGAGAGCTGGAGAACTGCTTGGTGTGAAAAACCCACACATTTGGTGTCAGAAGTCTTGCGAGTAGAGAAACAAAGGTTTTTCCTTTTAGTGCCCTCAAGATGTCCACATCCAATTCCCAGACCTTGTAAATATATATGTTCCCTTATATGGCAGAAGGGACTTTGCATATGTGATTAAGTTAAGGATCATAAGATGGGAATTAGTATATGAGTTTCCTAGGGCTACTGCGAGAAATTACCACAAAGTTGGTGCTTAAAACAACACACACAATTTTTATTTTGAGTCAGAGTCTCACTCTGTTGCCCAGGCTGGAGTGCAGTGGTGCGATCATAGCTCACTGCAGCCTCGAACTCCTGCCCTCAAGCAGTCCTCCCACTTCAGCCTCCCAAAGTGCTGGGATTACAGACGTGAGCCACCACACCCAGCCTTCAGTGTATCTGTTAAAAAGATCAGTCCGGCAGCTGGATGGGGTATTCACTGAAATCAACCTAATAGTGCATACAGGGAGGTGACTACAGTGAAGAGATGATGCCCTCATGGAGAGGAGGAAGTAAAATAAATTGGATTTGGGACATGTTTTGAGGTTGGAACCAAGAAGACTTGCTGATGGATTGGATGTTGTGGGAGAGAGAGGAGTCAAGAATGCAACAGAGATTTCAGGCCTGAGCAACTGGCTGAATGGGATCCCTTTACTGAAACAGAGTAGGGGAAATAACAGTTCTCTTTTGAAAATTTAATGAGTACACTGAAAAATCACAAATTATTGGGAATAAAAATATGAAAAGTTTTTTCTTTTTTCCCACTAACCACCACACTATATTACATTGACTCCATCTGCCATCTGGATAGCAGCTCTTTAATACTTTTTGGCCCAATTCCATAACTTTCTGGTCACTCTCTCTTTTTAGATCATCTCATTTCACCATTAGGATTTATCCTCGTTATTTTTTTAAATCACAAGTATTTTTTTAATTTTTACTTATTTATTTATTTTATTTATTTATTTATTTTTTTTGAGATGGAGTCTCGCTCTGTCGCCCAGGCTGGAGTGCAGTGGTGCGATCTCGGCTCACTGCAAGTTCCGCCTCCTGGGTTCACGCCATTCTCCTGCCTCAGCCTCCCGAGTAGCTGGGACTACAGGCACCTGCCACCACGCCTGGCTAATTTTTTGTATTTTTAGTAGAGACGGGGTTTCACCATGTTAGCCAGGATGGTCTCGATATCCTGACCTCGTGATCCACCCGTCTCGGCCTCCCAAAGTGCTGGGACCTTACAGGCGTGAGCCACCGTGCCCAGCCTTATTTATTTATTTATTTATTTATTTATTTATTTATTTATTTGAGATGGAGTCTCGCTCTGTCATCCAGCTGGAGTGCAGTGGTGCGCTCTCAGCTCACAGCAACTTCCGCCTCCTAAGTTCAAGTGATTCTCCTGCCTCAGCGTCCCAAGTAGCTGGGACTGTAGGCATGTGCCACCTTGCCTGGCTAATTTTTGTATTTTTAGTAGAGATGGGGTTTCACTATGTTGGCCAGGCTGGTCTTGCACTCCTGACCTCAAGTGATCTGCCGGCCTCCGCCTCCCAAAGTGCTGGGATTACAAGCATGAGCCACTGTGCCCAGCCAAAAATTTATTATGTTTTTTATAGAGACAGTGTTGCCCTGGCTGGTCTTGAACTTCTGACCTCAAGCCATCCTCCCTCCTTGGCCTCTCTAAGTGCTGGGATTACAGGCATGAGCCACTGCACCTGGCCCATCCTGTTTATTTTTAAATCCTTAGTCTTCAGTCTCCAGCTGGATATAAAACCCATCTTTCCCCAGCTCCAGCCACAACTAACTGTCTACGATTCAGGGGTCCCGGAACTTGGAAAGGGAAGGAAATTCCCTCTTTATTTTCACTAATCTCTCACTTAAATCCAGCGTCTCCTTTAAGTATGAATGTGGACAACAAACCTCAGTAGTTTCCATAGTATCTGTGAGTTTGTCCCTGACAGCAATCACAGATATTCTCCTGTCACATTACAGTTGTTGCAGAGATCGAGAAATACCATTTACACTTGTCACACCTTTCAAATTACAGTAGTTAATTGGCCTGCTATTAGCTCTTGTTATTTACTGCATAATTTAGAAGCGCATATATTACTATATCAGCAGCTCTTGTTTTAATATTTTGATACTTTTATTTCAATATAATTGGTTTGCTGTAATCCTATGTATTTACTTTCATGTTGTTAAAAACATTATTGTGAGAAGGAATCCAAACCGCCAAAGTAGAAAGGGATCCGTGACACAAAAAAATGAAGATCCCCTGTGAGAGGTTTGAAAAGGGTGGGGAGGTAGGTGGTCTGCTCTTCTGAACATCCCCCTTGCCTGGGCCCACCCTTTAAATCCAGGAGAGGGAGACTGGGGAGTAGGTGGGTCTCCTTAAATTTTTCCTTTAGTCACACTAGAGAAAATGTGTAATCAGTTACAAAGACGTTAAATAATACCACAATCTGGGAATATTTTATCAAGAAATATCAAGTATCACAGCCTTGTTTTTTTAAAAAATGGTTATATCTGAAACCCACATGGGAGCATGTGGTCTTGCACTTCGCTGCTTGGCGAGTTCTGCTATCTGGACACGTATGCAGCTTCAGTGATGGAGTTGGTTAAATGGGACTCAGCTCTGTGTGTAACTAGGAGAATGATTCAGCCTGATGCTGGAGTAATAACCGCTTGTTGATCTCCCAGGGTAGAGATTAGTGAAGGGGCCAAAGCAACATCATATCCTGGTAACCATGATTTCTAAATATGCTTTAGGCTACAGAGAGTAAAGCTCTGCAGGTTTTGGAGCTGTTCGTATGTTCACAGAAGGCTGGAATTGAAAGAATCCTATGAGATTCCATCCTAACGGCTAGTCACCATATGTCTGGGAGTACCATTCCAGATAACCTCTGTTGTACTTTTTAGAAATATTTTAAGTTTGTAAGCCAATAATGTGATGCCTCGGCAGGGCGTGGTGGCTCACGCCTGTAATCCCAGCACCTTGGGAGGCTGAGGCAGGTGGATCACTTGAGGTCAGGAGTTTGAGACCAGCCTGGCCAACATGGTGAAACCCCATCTCTACTAAAAATACAAAAATTAGCTGGGTGTGGTGGCAGGCGCCTGTAATCCCAGCTACTCGGGAGGCTGAGGAAGGAGAATTACTTGAACCCGGGAGGCAGAGGATGCAGTGAGCCGAGATCGTGCCACTGCACTCCAGCCTGGGTGACAGAGTGAGACTCCGCCTAAAACAACAACAAAAAAGAATGTGATGCCTCAGTATAGAGCATTTGGGAACCCGGTTAGGATGGAAGGCGAGGGCTGGGTAAAGTCTCTTTTGCTGACTGTGACAAGTGGCCGTTACAAATACTGGTGTATTGCAAAACTTCATGAGGATTGATTTACAGCATGTGCCGTCTTTGTAAATGGCTTTACATCCGGGTTGTGCTTTCATGTTCCAAGAAAACAACTTAATCTCTTAGTTAATGAAAAGTGGAAGGCCGGGCATGGTGGCAGGCGCCTGTAATCCCAGCTACTCAGGAGGCTGAGGCAGGAGAATTGCTTGAACCTGGGAGGCGGAGGTTGCAGTGAGCCGAGATCGCACCATTGCACTCCAGCCTGGGCAACAGAGTGAGACTCCATCTCAAAAAGAAAAAGAAAAGAAAAGTGAAGAGCCTGGGCACAACCTGGGCAACATAGTGAGACCCTGTCTCTACAAAAATACCAAAAAAAAAAAAATTAGCTGGGAATGGTGGTGTGTACCTGTAATCTCTGCTGTTTAGGAGGCTGAGGTGGGAGGATGGCTTGAGCCCAGGAATTTGAGGCTGCAGTGAGCTATGATCATGCCACTACACTGCAGCCTGGGTGACAGAGCAAGACCCTGTCAAAAAAAGAAAAGAGAAAGAGAGAAAGAAAAGTGGATAGAATTTTGATTCCAAAATTTCATTTTCAATCTCAAGCAAGCTTTCTTCCCTTCTTTATTCTGATTAAATGTGTTTTTTGATGACACCTCTCTAATTGTCTTTGAACTGGATGAAGAAATTGATCAAGACTAACGTCTCAGATTTTCTTATTATGTATTTTGTTAGCATGCTGTATCTTCACGTCCTGCAAATCTTTCACTTTGCATCTAAAAAAGAGAAAAGAAGCATGTGTATGCGCACACATGTGCACATACATTTATATATACACAACACAATCAGAAAAATAAATTTTTGTTCCTTCTCAGAATTATAGCGTTGATTCTTCTTCTTTTTTTGTGTGTGTGTGTGTGTGTGAGACGGAGTCTTGTTGTGTTGTGCAGGCTGGAGTACAGTGGTGCGATCTTGGCTCACTGCAACCTCTGCCTCCTGGGTTCAAGCGATTCTCCTGCCTCAGCCTCCTGAGTAGCTGGGGTTACAGGTGTCCGCCACTACGCCCAGCTAATTTTTGTGTTTTTAGTAGAGATGAAGTTTCACCATATTGGCCAGGCTGGTCTCGAACTCCTGACCTCAGGTGATCCACCCACCTCGGCCTACCAAAGTGCTGGGATTACAGGCGGGAGCCACCGCGCCTGGCCAGCATTGATTCTTAGGGTTCAAATGTATTCACATTTGAGAAAAAAAGGAGGAGGACATGACAAATGAGTATTACTAGTATAACAATTCTCCTTGGAAACATACCCAGCAGTGCTATCGTGCCCGTCTGAACATGCAAAAACGTCTGCTTTGGGGATGTCTGATTTAAGCACTTTAAGGCCTCAGCTGTCTCCTTCTGTGATTGACGTGTTCATCTCTCCCCTCCCTAGTTCCCTGGTGATGAGCAGTCGCCTCTTTATTTTTATTTGACCTTAAGCCAGTTGCACTGATTCCAAGAGAGGGAAAAGGGCCTGGCGTGGCTTCTCTGCCTTCAAGCTGGCCTGCTGAAATGATTGATAATTCCCAGGACTACTCTTCGAAGAGTAAGTCCTTTTCATTTGGCCTGATTTACCATGGCTTTCTCATACTTATTCTTGGTTTGGGAACTAGACAGCGCCCCATTATCTAGCTATGAAAGCAGGGATGTCACTAAAGGTGGCCTCTTATTACTGCTTAAAGGCCTATTAGAAATCTCATTTTGCTTTTTGGAGATGTCGTTGTGATGCATAGCGGTTCAGGGTTTCATTACTGGTGAAAGCCCTCTGTTTGGGCTCACCCGTTGTGTTCTGAGATTTGCAGTTCTGTTTTCCTGCTGCTGTTCCGAAACAGGAATACTGTTACTTTGAGGATTTCATGACATCGGTTGTGAAAAACATACTTAAAGCAGGAAAATTGCCGCTGAACAGAAAGGCGCTATCAAATCTCCCCTCCAACACAAGTGACAAACTCTACTCTGTTTAGCCTTCCTGACATAGGATTCCCTGCGGAGGTTCAGATAAATGAGTATCTGCCAAGTTATTACTGTAAAGTTCAACAAAGAGGGCGTTTTCTATGATTCTGCACCCTCCCTGCCCCCATTTTTTTTTTCTTCGAAGCAAATGATTGTGTTTTCTTCTCCTTAACACTCAGCAGCTGCTAGACCCTGACTTCGATGCTACTGACCTTGTGAGCTGGCCCCATCTTCTCTCTGGGCCACTGTTTCCTGGGCAGTTTGCATTCTCAGCTGGAAATGCTCAATGACCTTGAACACAGAGTCCCTTTACCCCTCTATGCCTCAGTTGTTTCAACTCTCAAGAAAGGGTAACAACTCATTCTTCATGTTGTGTGGATTTAACAAAATCACGTGTAGAAAATGCTTAACACACAGCTGGGCAGAGAGGCAACTACTCACTCCACAAGTATTTGTTGAGTGTGCCTACTATGTGCCAGACATTGTCCTAAGTGCTGGAGATACCAAGAGGAGCAAACACAGGACCAGTGTCTACTCTTGTGGAGCTTTCAGACCAGTACAAGATTTGAGCATTAATTAGATAATTACAAGGGCTTCTATCTCCAAACTGGGCCAAGGACCAGGAAGGAAAATTACACAGAAGCTTCCTGGGGCCCTGATGTAATCAAAGGACATTTTTCAATTACATTTTTTTCTTTTTGAGATGGAGTCTTGCTCTGTTGCCCAGGCTGGAGTGCAGTGGCACGATCTTGGCTCACTGCAACCTCTGCCTCACAGGTTCAAACAATTGTCCTGCCTCACCCTCCCAAGTAGCTGGGATTACAGGCACACACCACCACGGCTGGCTAAATTTTGTACTTTTAGTAGAGATGGGGTTTCACCATGTTGGCCAGGCTGGTCTCGAACCCCTGACCTCAGGTGATCCACCCGCCCCGGCCTTCCAAAGTGCTGGGATTACAGGCCCATGAGCCACGGCGCCCCGCCTCAATAACATTTGAATGGAGATCAGAAGCAGTAATAAGACAAACCAGGAAAAAGAGGTGTCAGGCCTTGCACCAGCCCCAAGGTGCATTTGAGCAAATTAGAAAAAGGTATCCTCACCTTAGGGCAGATGTGGTCACACACCCAGGAGCAGAGCATGTGCTGGGTTTTAGCACCCTTTGGCCGATCTGCTGGGTGCCCTTGAGCAGAGAACAACCAGGACCTCTGTACAGGGTGCCCCTGGCTAGGGGTATACTGGAGGCAGAGGAAAGCACCTTAGCAAAGGCCCTGAGGTGGGAGAAGCAGACACATTTGAGGAGCTGCCAAGTGCCAGTGAGGCAGGAGAATAGGGTCTGGAGGCAGGGAACCAAAGGCTGTCTCACACTGACATCCTAGAACTAAATTGAAAAGAAAACCCTAACTTTCCACGCCTAAGTAACAAAAGGACCAGAGGCTACTCCCTTTTCAAATCCCAAAATTTCCTGCACAGCTGATGGGAAATTGGCTGTCCACAACCAATCAGACTGATTGCGGGCCGAGTCTTTGTTTGCATAGAAGTCTTTGTTTGCATAACTTTATAACTTCACTTCAGCCTCTGGTTGGCTGCTTTCTACAACCAATCAGACTGATTGCTGGCTACCACTTACTTCATTTACATGAGGTGAGCATGAAGTGGCCAAAGGGAAACTTCTAGGGGGTATTTGGACCCAAGAAGATTCTGTATCCTGGCTCTTGAGCCGCTGCTTGGGTCCGCTCCCACACTGCAGAGTGTACTTTTGTCCTTTCGTTTTCAATAAATCCCTGCTTTTGTTCTTTTGTTGCTTCATTCTTTCTTTGCTTTGCTGGGCGTTTTGTACAATTCTTTGTTCAAAACGCCAAGAACCTGGACAACTTGCAGTCACGACCCTCTACCAGTGACACCCGCAGGGCCGGAGCATGAGGAGCAAGGCTGCTGGGAGGGGATCCAGAAAGTTCTCAGTAAATATCAGCCAGTGAGAATGCATTAGAGCATCATTCCCATGAATTCACTGCCAACACACCAAGGTCTCCTTAAAAACACCAAGGTCTCTCTAGAAGCTGTTGAATTTTAACTAGTGAAGGGAAATTACTTCAGGGATGTGATTTGTTGGTGTCACACAACTGAGATATAGAGAATCAGGACAGTGGATGAGGAGAGACATTTAATGTGGAAAACAGGGAGCCCGGGCGGGGCGGGTGGCTCATGCCTGTAATTCCAGTGCTTTGGGAGGCCGAGGTGGGAGGATTGCTTGAGGCCAAGAGTTGGAGACCACATAGCGAGACCCTGTCTCTACAGTTTTAAGAAAATTTACTTAAAAAATGTAAAAGAGGCTGTGCACGGTGGCTCATGCCTGTAATCCCAGCACTTTGGGAGGCAGAGGTGGGTGGATCACCAGAGGTCAGGAGTTTGAGACCAACCTGGCCAACACAGTGAAACCCCATCTCTACCAAAAAATACAAAAATTGGCCAGGCATTGTGGCGTGCTCCTGTAGTCCCACTACTCAGGAGGCTGAGACAGGAGGATCGCTTGAACCTGGGAGGCAGAGGTTGCAGTGAGCCGAGATTATGCCACTGTACTCTAGCCTGGGGGACAGAGTGAAACTTCATTGAAAGGAAGAAAGAAAGAGAGAAAGAGAGGAAGAAGGGAAAGAACGGAAAGAAAGGGGAAAAAAAGGAAGAAATGGAAGAATCACCTAGAAAAGAAAGAAAGAGAGAGAGAGAGAGAGAAGGGAGGGAGGGAGGGAGGGGGGATGGAGGGAAGGAAGGAAGGAAAGAAAGAAAGAAAAGGGGAGGGGAGGGGAAGGGAAGGGAAGAAAGGAAAGAAAAAGGAAGAAATGGAAGAATCCCCTTTACTTGGTCTCTTAGAAAGGACCTGTCCAGCCAGAAAATCAGAGCCTGGCAAAAGCACTGCACTCAACTGCTGATAACTTCTGTGTTCTTTGTGGCTTTGATTTCTTTGGTTCTGGAAGAATTCAAAAGAGCATTCATTCATTTAAACAAATAGACTATATCAAGCTTTTCTTTTTCTTTTTTTAAGTCAGAGTTTTTGGAAGGAAATGAAACCCTTGTATCCTGGAGAATCATGCACTGTTGCCAGTTAGCTTTGCAGTCTGTGGCAGGCCGGGCATCTGCATGTTTGCCCAGTTGAGGCTTGGTGTGTCAGCACTCCATGATAAGGGATGCTTGGGCTTTGGGATTGTATGGATCTGGGCCCAGATCCTCACTAGGCACCTACAAGCTGTGTGACCTTGGGCAGGTTAGTCAACCTGTCTGTGCCGTGAGTTACTGTAAGCTCTAGCTGTTATTTGGGAGAGTTTTGAGGCCAGGGCACTTGGGAGTCCCTTACTTGCAAAGTCATTTCTGGGGATGCTATACTGGGAGCAGCCTCCATGTGATCCACGTCCTTTGAGGGTTTCTTTCTTTTATATCTGAACAGTCTTGGCCTTTGCTTTTCAGACGTAGCTATGCTTTACTTTGGGGGAAACATAAAGAACCTGAATTAAGACAGATTTGTAAGACCTTGTCATCGGTTAGTGCCTCTGTTAAACTTTTAGTCTTGATTTTTTAATGTGGTATCTTTGATTTTTAAAAAAATCCCATGATATGAAAAATCCCACAAGAGCAGACACTATCAACTGATCCAGCACTTGAGATATTTTATTTCTTATTAAGAATTACTGTTTAAGTATTTTTTTCTAAGCAGAAACAATAATCCACAGCAGATTCATCTTTAAAAAAAAAAAAAAGAAGAAGAAGCAGTGAAACCAACCCAATCGTCCCATAGTTTTTGTTGTTGTTGTTGTTTTCAGATAAACATAGAAATTGACTTTTCTGGTCTTAAAGCTTAAAACTTAATTTATCTGAGTTCCTTCCTCAGGGAAGGACCCCCAGGCCTCTTAGAAAAAAAAAGGATCAAAGAACTGAAACTCATCAGATCACCACATCTAGACAATGAGATGCCAGAGCCCTCATTCATCATGATTGCTTCCTTGCTCCTCCCTAGTTCTTGTTTTCTTACACATTGTCACATTTCTTCCCTGCTGTATAAACCCCTAGTTTTTGTCTGTCTGGGAGGTGGATTTGAGACTGATCCCATCTCCTCCTGGCTGCAGCACTCGATTAAGATTAGAGCCTTCTTCCCTGGTAATACTCATCAGTTCAGTAATTGGCATTCTGTGTGGTGAGCAGCAAGACCTACACCAAACCCTTGATGTTTCTGTAACAACAGCAGAACTTAAAAATGTGCTTGAATTTAAACCACATTAACCTGGAATGCATACTAATCAGAGATAAATTCCAGTATTCCTTTCAGGAAAGAGAGGAACTGCAGTCCTTAATTTCAATGGAAAGTTGGAGAAAGAGCTCTTTATTATGTCTCAGTCATACTGCAGTACATAAAGGCGGCTGCTCCTCTGTCTCTTGCATTGTATCCAAATAGTCTCATGTCAGTAATATGTATGTTGCACCTTCAGGACTAAAATGCAAGAATAGCAGCCTGAGTCCTTCAAAAGAAGAATAGGCTAACAATGATTTAAGATTATGCTGTTTTTTTTAAAAAAATCCTTCCCAGAGTTTAAAATAATAAATGCTAACTCAAGCATACACTTTTCTATCTAAAATGACACTGTTGCCTGCTAAGAAAGGGGATGGATGAAGCACTTAATCAGAGAGGTCATTATGTTGTCAAAGGCAATGCCAAGGCTGAAGGACTGGATTCTCATGGGCATATAACCATTTTATTGCTTTTCAGCCCACGGCCGCCAATCCCACTCTCGCTCCTGCTGACAGAAGAGGAAGCAGCCCTCTACATTCAATCCTTCTGGAGAGCCTGTGTGGTAAGAATCATATGCGACTGTGGTATTTGATTTAATGGGGAACTTTTGTGAGGTGGAGGGTCCAGGGTAAACCTTAGATGAGTTAGGAACAGGATATTATAGCTAACATCCAGACCTCAGAAATACGATTCTCTGTAAAATGGGTCTTAAAAAGTGATTTAGAATTTTTACTGAAACTGGCTGGGCATAGTAGCTCATGGCTGTAATCCCAGAACTTTGCAGGGGCCAAGGTGGGAGGATCACTTGAGCCCAGGAGTTCAAGACCAGCCTGGGCAACATGACGAAACCTCGTATCTGCCAAAAAAAAAAAAGAAAAAAGAAAAAGAAAAAAAAATACAAAACTTAGCCCATGTGGCGCACATCTGTAGTCTAGCTGCTGTTGGGAGGCGGAGGTGGGAGGATGGCTTGAGCCCAGGACGCAGAGGTTGCAGTAAGTGGGGATTGTGCCACTGCACTCCAGCCTGGGAGACAGAGAGATACCCTGTCTCCAAAAAAAAAAAAAAAAAAAAAAAAACACAAAGACTTTTTACCAAAACTTATTTTGTAGTTATTAAAAGTACTGTCTTAACCTTTTAAAGTTGGGTTGACTGGCCTGTATTGATATATACAAAGAAAAAACTACATTGTCATTTTAGAAAAAAAAACTGGAAAATTCACGTAAGTCGAATAAAATAAATAAAAATTTTTGAGTCACTGATAACTCCGTCACCAAAAGATAATTATTGTTAACATTTTGGTATAAAACTACAAACTTTAAAAATCTGAATTCACATAGTGACGTATAAATACTTAACATAGAAAATAGCCTCTGCCTTTATAACTTGTCTTTTTTAACCATTTTTCTATTTGAGACTTTGAGGTTATTTACAGTATTTTTTATTGTTGTAATAAATGCTGCAGTAGACACCTTTGTGCAGTCATTTTTGCGCATTCGTCTGCTCATTTGTATAGGAGAATCCTAGAAGTGGAATTTCTAGATGAAAAGATAAGCTTTTTTTAAAGCTCCTGATCCTGGCTGTGCAAGATGACTCATGCCTGTAATCCCAGCACTTTGGAGGGACAAGGTAGGAGGATCTCTTGAGGCAGGAGTTAGAGACCAGCCTGGGCAACATAGTGAGACCCTGTCTCTACAAAAAAATACAAAAATGGGCCAGGTGCAGTGGTGGGCATCTGTAGTCCCAGCTAATTGGGAGGCTGAAGCAGGAGGATCACTTGAGCCAAAGAGGTCAAGGCTGCAGTGAGATATGATTGTGCCACTGTACTCCAACGTGGGTGACAACTGGGTGACAAAGCAAGACCCTGTCTCAAAAAAAAAAAAACTCCTGATAATATTGTCTTGTGGAAGAAGTTCTCACCAAATACATATGAGAGTAGCATGTGTATCTCATTCCAAAAAGTATACAACCTCTCCAATTATTTGGCAATTAGTGTATCAATGTTAACAAGCTTCCATGAAGCTCCCATTCTAGGTAGCAAGATGACTTTCCCTGAATCTGAGCATCAGATATCATGGAATGAGCTTACATTTAACATCAGCAGTGGCAAACACTGCCAGAGGGAAAGGTCCCAGTGGATTTCCATAGAGGCCAAAGCTCTTCATACTCTATACACAGCTGATGTAGGAAAAAGAGACTCTGAAAAACACACCAGCAAAAAGCTATCAGTTAAGAAGTTGGATTAATCCTAACAAGCTACAATTAATAACAAATATTTGCTACATGCCCATTAGTGGAACTGTCCCTGAACACAAGAGCTTACTGTATGAGTCAGTATTGTCCAGTTATTCCATTCCTTTTGTACATGGTACATTCCAGAAACCATGGGCTAAAGGGAAGTGTGAAAGTTAAGTAACATATTTGCACATTAAAGGAGAAGTCTGTGCCCAAAGAGTTAAAACAAACAAACAAACAAACAACAACAACAACAAAAAAACCACCCTGTTACAGAAACCCCTATTATTCCCCGTGATTTAGACATAGTTTTTTATAATGTAGGTTTTCAGTATTTCATACATATTTTATAAATGTGGTCTTTTTTCTTCATTGAACACCAGAAGGTTAGCTTACATCCAGGGATGTCTAACCAAAGCAAAATATTCCTGGCGTTCAGATACTACTTGAATTCCATCTTTGATTTGTGAGACTTATACTTGTTACACTAGAATCAGCAATTTTACTTTTCTATTTTTATGAAATGTTAAGAGCAGACTGTGAGTGGTGGCTCACACCTGTAATCCCAGCACTTTGGGAGGCCAAGGCAGGCAGATCTCTTGAGGTCAGGAGTTTGAAACCAGCCTGGCCAGCATGGTAAAACCCTATCTCTACTAAAAATACAAAAACTAGCTGGGCATGGTGGCATATGCCTGTAATCCCAGCTACTTAGGAGGCTGAGGCACGAGAATCGCTTGAACCCAGGAGGTGGAGGTTGCAGTCAGCTGAGATTGTGCCACTGCATTCCAGCCTTGGTGACAGAGTGAGACTCTGTCTCAATAAAGAAAAGGTAAGAGCAAAGTGCAATAAAATAGTCATTTTCAAGCCCGTCCTTGAAACAGGTGTGTGCTGTCAAACGAAATCATACCCAGAAGCCCAGTATGTAACCAGTATGTAACAGTAAAAGGGGAACTGTTTGTCCCTGATTCTCCCATGGTAAGATTCCACCCACCCTCATCCTTCCACACACAAGGAGCTTTGGGATTCGTTCTTAGTGATATGAATACAGCATAAAGCAGTCTGTAAGACAGCTGAATTCTACTTATCATACCAACAAACGCTGCCATATAAACAGATGTCAAAGTGGCTCGAAATTTAACTGTGGCTATAGCACCATCATCACACAATAGCTATAAATGTGTTTATAGCTAAAAAGATGTTTAGGGGGGTATCAGTGTATACTGTATGAAAGTTCAGGCTGTTCAAATCTAAACACCTCCCCTGCTAAAATCATAACCAGAGGGGGCTACAAAAGGGGGAACAATTTTGAGCCATCACTAGAAGGAAAAGATGCCTGATGTATGGATGACCTTAGAAGGCACCACAGAAAAGAGGGACTTCCTGAGTTTTAAAGAGGAGGTGGGCACTGGTATGTCAGCTGGGACCAAGAGGGTATTCTGGGGAGAGGAAACAGCATACATACATTGTCAAAAGAAAAACTTTAGACAAAATTAACAGAAGTTATTTGAGCAAAGAACAATTCATGAATTAGGCAGCACTCAGAACCAGGAGAGAGGTTCAGAGAGCTCTACCCAGCAACCTAGGCAGGCCTTATTTATAGACAGAAAGTGGAAATGACATCCAGAAACAGCTTGATTGGTTACAGCTTGGCATTGCCTAATATGGACGTGGTCTCATCAGTTGGCAGCCTGCAATTGACTGAAGCTTGTCTACTGTGATTGGCTGAGACTCAGCTACTTGTTACAAAAATGTACTCTCGTAGATTGCAGTTTATGATCCATGGAGGCAGGTTTAGGCCGCATTTAATTTAATACTATTATGCCATTTTTTGTTAAAGCATATTGTATATTTTGAATACATGCACACACACACGGATAGGAAATTAGCTAAAAGGAAACAGCAATCTGACAACAGTGAGTACCTTGGGGCAGCTGGGAAAGAACTAGGAAGACTCTAGCCTTATGTATACTGAACACCTTTTTTTTTTTTTTTTTTTGAGACGGAGTTTTGCTCTTGTTGCCCATGCTGGAGTGCGGTGGCGTGATCTCAGCTCACTGCAACCTCCACCTCCTGGGTTCAAGCGATTCTCCTGCCTCAGCCTACCGAGTAGGTGGGATTACAGGCGCCTGCCACCACACCCAGCTAATTTTTGTATTTTTAGTAGAGACGGAGGGGGGCGTTTCACCATGTTGGCCAAGCTGGTCTCGAACTCCTGACCTCAGGTGATCCACCTGCCTCGGCTTCCCAAAGTGCTGGGATTACAGGCGTGAGCCACTGCACCCGGCCACACTGAACACATTTTTTTACAAAGAGAATGTAGTATGATTTTGTTTAATTAAAAGTGAACTTAAACCAGAGATCATCTCAATGGATATAGAAAATGCATTTGTTAAAAATGTTTTCATGACAAAAACACTTAACAAACTGGGAATAGAAGGGGATTTCCTCAACCTGATAAAGTTATGAAAACCACAAAGATAACATCACATTTAATGGTGAAAGACTGGATATTTTCCTCCAAGATTAGGAACAAGAGGAGGATGTCCTCTCTTGCCACTTCAGTTTAACATAGTACTGGTAGTTCTAGCCAGGAAAAGTAGGCAAGAAAAAGAAATAAAAGCATTTGGATTGGAAACAAAAAAGTAAATATATTTCCAGTCATAGGTGACATGATCTTATATATAGAAAATTGTAAAGATTCACTAAAAACAACCTGTTAGAACTAATAAACAAGGTTGCAGGATACAAGATCAGTATACAAAATCAACTGAATTTCTATACACTTAGCAATGAACAATCTGAAAATGAAATTAAGAAAATAATTCCATTTGCAATGGCATCTAAAAGAATAAAATATTAGGAATAAATTTAACAGAAGTGCAAGGCTTGCATGCTGAAAACTACAAAACATTGAAAGATATTAAAGAAAACCTAATCAAATGGAAAGACATCCTGTGTTCATTGACTGGAAGACTTGATATTGTTAAGATAACAGTACTCCCCACATTGATCTACAGATTCAACACAATGCCTATCGAAATCTCAGTTGGGTTTTTTTTTTTTTTTTTTTTTTTTTTTTTTGTGAAATTAACAAGCCAGTCCTAAAATTCGTATGAAGATGCAAAGGGACCCAAAACAGCCAAAACAATCTTGAAAAAGAAGAACCAAGTTGGAGGACTCACCTTTCCCTATTTCAGAATTTACTGCAAAGTGCAATAATCAAAACTGAGTAGTACTAACATAAGGATAAATGTGTATATAAATGGAATAGAATTGAGAGTCCAGAAACAAACTCTTACATTTATGGTCAACTGACTTCCAACAAGGGTGCCAAGACCATTTAATGGGGGAAAGAATAGTCCTTTGAACAAATGATGCTGGAACAACTGGATATTCACATGCGAAAGAATGAAGTTAGACCCTTACTTCATATCTTATACAAAAAATTAACTCAAAATTAATTAAATATCTAAATGAAAGTGTGAAAACTATAAAAATATTAAAAGAAAGCATGGATGTAAATTTTCATGACCTTATATTAAGCAATAGTTTATATAACAAAAAGCAAAAGCAACAAAAGGAATAAAATAGATAACTTGGACTTCATCAAATTAAAAACACATTTTGTGCTTCAAAGAACATCATGAAGTGAGTGAAACAAGAACCTACAGAACGGGAAAAAATATTTGCAAGTTCAGGCATTCGATAAAGGTCCCGTATTTATAATATATAAAGAACTCTCACAACCCAACAGTAAAAGTACAAATGATCCAGTTAGAAAATTGGCGAAGGATTTGAGTAGACATCTCTCCAAAGAATATATACAAATGGCCAATAAACATGAAAAGATGCTCAACATCACTAGTCATAAGGAAATACAATCAAAACCACAATGAGATATCACTTCATATCCACTAGCATGGCTATAATCAAAAAGACAGTAACACAATAACAGGTGTTGGTGAAAATATAGAGAACTTGGAACCTCCATACACTGCTGATGAGAATGTAAAATGGTGCAGCCACTTTGGAAAAGAGTTTGGCAGTTCCTTAAAGAGTTAAACATAGAGTATCCACCTTATATCCAGCAGCTTCACTCTTAGGTATATATTTAAGATAACTAAAAAACATCTGTCCACACAAACACTTGTGCATGAATGTTCATAGAAGCATTATTCGTAGTAGCCAAAAAATGGAAACAGCTCAAATGCCCATCAACTGATGAAAGGAGAAAAAAAAAATGTGGTACGTTCATATATGAAAAGAAAATACTGTTACATGCTAAAAAACGGGTGAATCCTTAAAACATTATGCTAAGTAAAACGAGGCCGGGCACAATGGCTCATGCCTGTAATCCCAGGACTTTGGTAGGCCGACGTGGGCGGATCACCTGAGGTCAGGAGTTCAAGACCAGCCTGGCCAACATGGTGAAACCCCATCACTACTAAAAAAATGCAAAAATTAGCCGGGCATGGTGGTGGGCGCCTGTAATCCCAGCTACTCAGGAGGCTGAGGCAGGAGAATTGCTTAAACCCAGGAGGCGGAGGTTGCAGAGAGCCGAGATCGCGCCATTGCACTCCAGCCTGGGCGACAGAGCATGACTCCGACTCAAAAAAAAAAAAAACTAGAAAAACATGTTATGCTAAGTAAAAGGAGCTAGAGAGAAAAGTTCGCATTTTTACATGTAAATGATTCCGCTTAAATGAAATATCCAGAATAGAGAAATCTATAGATGAAACTAGATTAGTGGTTGTCAGGGGCTGGAGAAAGGGGAGAATCAGTGACTTCAAATGGCTACAGGGCTTCTTTTTGGAGTGATAAAATGTTCTGGACTTAGAGAGTGGTGACGGTTGAACAGGTTTGTGAATATAAGAAAACCACTGAATGGTAAACTTTAAACGGGTGAATTTTGTGTCATGTGAATTATATAAGAGAAAATGAACAAATATTATGGGGAAAAATATAAAGCAAGTCATCCTTTTATTCCTTTTGACCATGTGTTCTTTCGATACAAGTTCTTGATTTTTGACCTGGTTTTGGCAGTAAAAAGTAAACGTCCTATGACTAGCAGAAGGGACTTTCGGGAATTCACGAAATGAATCTCGAAGCTTCCTTACTCTGTCCTTACCCACTGCCATGTAGGTTTTACTAGATTTGCCAGCAACAAAAACTTTTACTTATATTCTCTCAAATGCCCTGAAGGAAAAATAGAGTCTTTCTACAAGTTTTTTGTTTTTTTTTTTTTGGTGTGTGTGTGTGTATAGCAAAATGTACCTAACAGAATTTACCGTCTTAATTTTTAGGTGTACATTTCAGTGGCATTAAGTACATTCACAACATAATGCAACCATGACCACCATCCATATCCTTTTTCCTCTTTCTCAACTGAAACTATGTACCCATTCAATAATAACTTCTCATTCTCCCTCCTCCTAGCCCCTGGCAATCACCATTGTATTCTCTGTCTATGAATTTGACGACTCTAAGTATGTTATATAAAGGAGGTCATATAGTGTTTGTCTTTTTGGGACTGGCCTATTTTATTGAGCCTAATGTCCTCAAGGTTGTTACATCCATGTTGTAGCATGTGTCAGAATATTCTTCCTTTTGAAGGCTGAATAATCTTCATGCCATGAAGTTTTAAAATCCAGAAATCTGACATCTTCACCCATCTAACACAAAACTAGCCAGACGTCTCATAAAAATATTAATATATTTTAACCAACCGCAGTAACAGAGATGTCATGTGATCTGAAAGGCTATTTGTAGTGAACCATTCTTGGTAGCTGTGATTTTGGAATTAGCATTCTAAATAGGTCCTGGATATTTATGACTACACATTAAGCACTTCTATAGAAGTGGACATTCTCTTCGTTCGTTCGTTTATTTATTTATTTATTTATTTAGACAGGGTTTTGCTCTGTCTTACAGGCTGGAGTGCAGTGGCGTGATCTCAGCTCGCTGCAACCTCTGCCTCCCGGGTTCAAGCTATTCTCCTGCCTCAGCCTCCTGAGTAGCCGGGATTACAGGTGCATACCACCACACCTGACTACTTTTTGTAGTTTTAGTAGAGACAGTGTCTCACCATGTTGGCCAAGCTGGTCTCAAACTCCTGGCCTCAAGTGATCCGCCCTTCTCAGCCTCCCAAAGTGCTGGGATTACAGGTGTGAGTCACTGCACCCGGCCTGTTTCTTCATTCAGAATTCGAGTCTAGTGGTTGAAAAGTCAGATTGTTTGGGTGGTCAAGGTGGTAGATCACCTGAGGTCAGGAGTTTGAGACCATTGAGATCAACCTGACCAATATGGTGAAACCCCATCTCTACTAAAAATACAAAAATTAGCTGGGCGTGGTAGCGGGCACCAGTAATCCCAGCTATTGGGAGGCTGAGGCAGGAGAATCGCTTGAACCTGGAAGGTGGAGGTTGCAGTGAGCCAAGATCGTGCCATTGCACTCTAGCCTGGGGGACAAAAGCGAGACTCTGTCTCAAACAAAGAAAGAAAAGTCAGATTGTTTCAATGTGCAAAAACTGAGTGTTAGTTTTTAATGTTGTGAATGAATTCTGGTCCTCTTCTGAAAACTCTCCTTTTCCAAGTGTGATTGGTGATAAGTCACGCACTTTTGCATCACTGGTGTTCTTTGGTTTATGAAATCTTGGATACAATTGGTAAGAAAAAAAACCTTGCTTTCTTGTGAGGTTCAAATATAAGGTTCTTATGGGCCATCATGATGGAAATTTCTTTAATGATTTTAGAAGTAGAGACCAGATAAATCCACTGAATATTTATTCCGTCTAAATAAGCGCCCGTGGTGTTTTATGCCTTCTACTCATTTGTTTTGTTTTATTCTAACTCAGCAGAGTCACCCAGGGTGGCATGCATTAGCAATCCTCCCCTCGTCCCAACATCAGCTCCCCTTCCAGGCATTGTGACAACTGAGAATTACGAAGTCCATCAATCATTACCCGTTATTTGATGAACAATACAGTGCCAGGTTGCTGCAGCAGCCCCTTTGAGGCCTTGCAAAAAAAAAAAAAAAACAAAAAAACCAATAAAATAAAATAACGGAGATTTCTGATCTCCACTTGCAGAGAACAATAAGAATCTGTGCATTGGGCGAACTAGGGTAAATGAGGGAACCCCCAAGGAGAAACAGCTTGGTATCAGCAGAGTACAAGGTTGAGGGTGGGACAGATCTCACCCTAGATGTGGAGGGGCTGTGGCAGCCTGGACACGTATTCCATCCTTCTGGCTATAGGACTTAGTTCATGATGGGCAGCAGACGGAAATCAGCCCAGTCAGACCTAGTGAGACTCCATTCTGGGATCCTCAGTGGAGTGGCTGGGACAGAGCAGCCCTCTTTGCACTGGGGTTACCGTGAGGCCAGACTGTCAGCACCATCTTAACACAGTGTGAAGAGCCTGTTGGAAAAATGACCACAGAGGCAAGCAGGGGTAAGAGGCAGAGAAAGGGGCTGGGTCCTGAAGTTGTCGTTTGAGGGCCTGCATTCAGCTATACCAATGAATCCCCTTAAA
Source organism: Homo sapiens (assembly GCF_000001405.40). NCBI lineage: Eukaryota > Metazoa > Chordata > Mammalia > Primates > Hominidae > Homo > Homo sapiens. Next base: position 19,798,125 of record NC_000016.10, read on the forward strand.
GATGGACTTCAGGGCGGGCACAGTGGCACACGCCTGTAATCCCAACACTTTGGGAGGCTGAGGCGGGTGGATCACTTCAGGTCAGGAGTTGGAGACCAGCCTGGCCAACATGGTGAAACCCTGTCTCTACTAAAAATACAAAAATTAGCTGGGCATGGTGGCGGGTGCCTGTAATCCCAGCTACTTGGGAGGCTGAGGCAGGAGAATCGCTTGAATCCAGGAGGAGGAAGTTTCAGTGAGCCGAGATCATGCCATTGCACTCCAGCCTGGCGACAGAGCCAGAGTCCATCACAAAAAATATATATATATATATATATATATTTCGGTCACTTACAGCCTAGAGTCCTGACAATAAAATTTTCAGTATGAAAATATGCAGACTTTTTATTACTGGCACACAAAGGAGGATATTGGCACAAAATGAAAATCTGGACCCAATGGTAGAGAGCAGCCATTTCAATTTGTCCCAGGAAAAGACTGTCCTATGTCAGCTTGAGGCTTGGCCATGGCTGGAGAGGAGAGCCTACCCCAACAAGCAAATTTGTCTAAAACGTATATATATTTTTTAATTGTGCAAGTAATGCATATCACTTGTGGAAAAAATAGATAATGCATATAAGTTTTGGGGTCTTTTTTTTTGACAGACAGTGTCTCACTTTGTCACCCAGGCTGGAGTGCAGTGGCGTGAACATGGCTCACTGTAGCCTCAATCTCCTGGGCTCAAGCAATCCTCCCACCCCAGCTTCCTGAGTAGCTGGGACTACAGGCATGTGCCACTATGCCCGGCTAATTAAAAAAAAAAAATTTGGAGAAGGGATCTCACTATGTTGGCCAGGCTGGTCTCAAACTCCTGGATATAAGGGATCCTCTCACCTTGGCCTCCCAAAGTGTAGGGATTATAGGCATGAGCCACCGTGCCCAGCAATGCATATAAGCTTTTTAAAAATATATACTATTCATCCTTCTAGAATTTTTTCTATTCATATGGAAATTTTTAAAACATTTTTTACAAAATTGCAATTATAAACACTTTTTTAAGCCTACTCTCTCTCCTTAATATATATTGGGAATATGTTTCATTATTGCCACACAAAGATGTACCTCACAAATTTTAATTCTTCTATGGTATATATATATATTTTTTTTATTTTTTAAATTTATTTTTGAGATGGAGTTTTGCTCTGTCACCCAGGCTGGAGTGCAGTGGTGTGATCTTGGCTCACTGCAACCTCCGCCTCTGGGTTCAAGCGATTCTCCTGCCTCAGCCTTCTGAGTAGCTGGGATTACAGGCGCCCACCACCACACCCATCTAATTTTTGTAGTTTTAGTAGAGACAGGGTTTCACCATGTTGGGCAGGCTGGTCTCGAACTCCTGACCTCAGGTGATCTGCCTGCCTTGGCCTCCCAAAGTGCTGGGATTATAGGCATGAGCCACCACACCTGGCCTATATTTTATTTTATATATATATATATACACACACACACACACACACACACACACACACACACACACACACCCAGTGAATACATTGAGTCATAACTTAATCATAGGTGGTTAGACATTCTTGTTTCCTCTCCTATATATTCAGTGAAAAACATTATTGTTCAAATTCACACACCTGTAGTCCCAGCTACTCAGGATGCTGAGTGGGAGGATCACTTAAGCCCTGGGAGGTCGAGACTGCAGTGAGCTCTGATAATGCCATTGCACTGCAGCCTGAGTGACAGAGAAAGACCCTGTCTCTCAAATAAAACAGAGCAAAATAAAAAACAAAAACAGAAAACCAAAAACCCAAAAGCATCCTCGTTCATATGTCTGCACACCTGTCCGATTTTTCTCCAGATTAATTGCTGGCATTGGAATTGATAGCTCAAAGAGTAAGCACCGTTTCTCAAGAGTTCAGATCATTATTGATAAATTACCCTCTAGAGAGGCTGGAGTTCAACCCCTAGACCAATCTATATGCACACCAGCAATGTATGCAAGTGTACTTTAGCCATAGGTTTTGATGGGAAAGTAGAGAGAGGAAGGAAGGGATTGGGAGCGTGATGCATGTCTCGGGAGGGTGGAGTTGTGAGGACACCATGCTAGAGGGTATGAGAAGGGAGGACCAGTTTGTTCAGTTGTGTGGGCTGTGCGCTGCACAACTCGGGGATACCATTCAAAACCATATGTATTAGACATCTGAGGCTTGGAGAAGCTTGGGAAATAGTAGTTGAGTGGCCACTTGCTACATATTTTTAAATTCCGCTGGCCTACCCAGCTCCTAGCCTATGGTTTTTAAAACCCCTCTGCTAGCTGGAGGCTGGATGAGTCAATGGAGCGTGTATCGGTGATACCGTATAGAAGCACTACTGTCTTGATCAAGAATTTGCATTTTCTTCCTGAAATTATGCAGCATCTTAAACATGAATATTCAATAATATTTAATATTCAATAATAATAATTATAAAATAAATATTGGGAATTTAATCCATAGAGTATTATTTAAACACTAAAAATAATCAACATCAGTCATGGTAACAAGATGGAAATTGCCCATAGTATTACTAAGTGAAAAATGAATAAAATGCCACGTGCAGATTATTTTATGATTATGTAAAAAATAACTTTATATAGAAAATAGGCTACAAAGACATATGTAAAATATTGTGATTGTTCAGTGGCAGGATAAGGAGTGATGTTTTTATTCTCTCTGTTTTATATTTTTAAAATTATTTACAAAGAACATATATGGCTTTTACAAAGTAATAAAAACTTTACTTAGAAACCTATATTCCACCATGATAATGTTTTTTACTCTTTTCTTCTTTAGTTAAAATTTGACATACTTAGACTATTTTTTCTGAGCCTTTTTAGGAGTGTGTGTTTGTGTGTGTGTGTAAATATGCAAAAAAAATTTGAAACACTAGTATTTGGAAAGTGTTCTTTGTTTTATTTTAATCTGATTGTTAGTGTACTCTGTTCATTCTGAAATTCCAAAATCATCTTGTTTTGTATTTCATAGTCTTTCTAATAGTGTTTTTGGTTTTGGGTTTGGGCTGTGTGTGTGTGTGTCTATGTACACAATAAGTGCTTATGGTTAAATAATATTTTCACTAGCAGAGAAGTTTGAGGATTTTTGCCTATAGACCTCCTATTACAAGTCTTCACAGTCTTTCTCTCTCTCTCTCTCTCTTTTTTTTTTTTTTTTATGAGACAGGATCTCTGTCTCTGTCACTCAGGCTGGAGTGCAGTGGCGCAGTCACAGCTCACTGCAGCCTCCGCCTGCTGGGCTCAAGTGATCCTCCCACCTCAGCTTCCTGAGTAGCTGGGATGACAGGCACACTCCACCATGCCTGGCTAATTTTTGTATTTTTTGTAGAGATGGGGTTTCATCATGTTGCCCAGGCTGGTCTTGATCTCCTGGGCCCAAGTGATCCTCCCTTCTTGTCCTCCCAATGTGCTGGGATTCCAGACATGAGCCACTGCACCCAGCCTCTTCACAGTCTTAACTGACAAGGAATCATAGACCGCAAGTCATTTGGAGAACAGTTTGGCCTCACAGAGAAAGCCTTCCACGCTACACGTGTTATACTTCACTGGAGAATATGCACTGAATCAGCGGACAGTCTAAAAGGCAGGGCATTCAGAAGACTCAGTTAAAAGTGGTGGGTGTTCAGGTGTGTTTTGATTTGATTTAACTTTATTTTTTATTCTGAAAAACCACTCCTTTCTATTTAGAGAAGATCTGGCCTACATAGTTAGATAGAAAATAGATGATGAAAACAGCTCAGGATAAAAACCAAACACGTATGGAAAGGACCTTTAAACAATACAAATAAAAGGTTTTGTAGTTCCTCCCATATTTTTCTACAAAAAGCGGAAATTACAACTTAAGGCTCAGCACTGAGAGGGAGAGAGGTTTCTCCAAGTCGGGCAGCTGGCTGGGCTATTAAGCACGACAGGTTTTATTTTTTCTGAAAGGTCACTTGAAGTTCTCATTACTGGCCTTAACTTTCTTGTCTTCAATGTTGTGGCTGAAGACAAAGACTTATTTTTTTTTTCCAGGTAAAACATGCCCTATGGCAATTTGTTAATAATGTGGGCTCTAGCAGCAGACAGACCTGTTTGAATCCCAACGTGTCAGGTTATTAACCCATTTATGCCTGAGATTGTAATTTTTTGAATTTTTGCAACCAGACTTTGGTGACGACTTTGAGCAGTAGGATATAAATAACTCCCACGTGCTTAGCGTTCCAATAATGGAACACTAGGCATAAATGGGTTTTAATAACCATGGGCAGATTATGTAACTTCTGAGCCACAGTTTTCTGTTTGTAAAATGGGAGTAATAATTCCTGCCTATGAAGATCGAATCAGATGCTTCAGTCCACATAAGGAACATGGCACAGTGCCAAGGACATAGTAAATCCACAAGAAATATTGGCTGTTGTTGTTATTGTTGTTGCAGCTGTTGGCTCTATTTTCCTGAATAGGGGTTCTTTTTAAAAAGCCAACTAATGCCCTCCTTTAAGTTCTTCAAAGGCACAAAGCAGGCTCCCATCTCACCTTGGAAATCACTGATTTGTTTTCTGCTCCTATACTTTTGCCTTTTCCAGCATGTTACATAAATGGAGTCATACATCATGTAGCCTTCGAGTCTGGCTTCCTTCACTTGGCTCCATGCGTTTGCTGTTGTCCCACGTGTTTGGGTGTGTGCGTAGTCCCTTCCTTTTTATTGCTGAACAGTATTCCACTGTAGAACCCAGCAAGAGGAGAAACATGAAGGAAGGGGTTCTTAACTCTGCTGAGGAATAAACACATACGACTTTTACGTAAGACTCGTTTATTTGAACCTATGGATTGTGATGGTCTCGAGCTTCACTGTTCATCAAAGCCATCCACTGACAGATTTTGTTTTTAATTTCTGATACCTGGGGTCTTATTCCCCTGAGATTCTTGTTCAACTGGTCACAGTGAGAACAAGAGATAGGTTTGCTATTGTTGGCTTTTTTGTTTTGTTTTGTTTTGTTTGTTTGTTTTTTTGTTTTTTGAGACAGAGTCTCACTCTGTCACCCAGGCTGGAGTGCAGTGGAATGATTTCAGCTCACTGCAACCTCCACCTCCCAGGTTCAAGCAATTCTCCTGCCTCAGCCTCCGGAGTAGCTGGGATTACAGGCGCACGCCACTGCACCCGGCTAATTTTTGCATTTTTAGTAAAGACAGGGTCTCACCATGTTGGCCAAGCTGGTCTCAAACTCCTGCCCTCAAGTGATACGCCCACCTCAGCCTCCCGAGGTGCTGGAATTGCAGGTGTGAGCCACAGCATCCAGCCAGAGATGGGTATTGTTTAATAGCTCCCAGGTGACTCTAACATGCAGCCAGGATTGAGACCCACTGATGTATTGGAATTGACTTTGCTACCTACCAGTTTTATGATTCAGGAGAAATCACTGAATGATAAATCACAACTTTTTTTCTTTTTAGATGAAGAATAATAATAGCTGCCCAGTCTAGCTCACCAAGTTATCATGGAATTAAAATGTTTTATTTTTTATTTTCAGAGACAAGGTCTTAGTTTGCTGTACAGGCTGAAGTGCAGTGGTGCAATCATAGCTCACTACGGACTTGAACTCATGAGTTCAAACGATTCTCCCAGTTCAGCCTCCCAAGTAGATAGGGCTACAGTTGTACACCACCACAAACAGCTAATTTTTTTTGTAGAGATGGGGGTCTCACTATGTTGCCCAAGCTAGTCTCGAACTCCTGGCCTTAAGTGATTCTCTCACCTTGGCCCCCCAAAGTGCTGGGATGACAAATGTGGGCCACCGTGCCCAGTCTCTAAATGTAACAACACAGGAGATAGTGTTCTGTAAACTGTAGATGCAGAAATGAATGGTGTCAGTATGGAGGTGATTATATATCAGTGACTTTCCTATTTGAAAAGTACTGGAGGTTCTTTGCCAGGTGCGGCGGCTCACGCCTGTAATCCCAGCACTTTGGGAAGCCGAGGCAGGTGGATCACGAGATCAGGAGTTCCAGACCAGCTTGGCCAATATGGTGAAACCCTGTCTCTACTAAAAATACAAAAAAAAAATTAGCTGGGCATGGTAGTGGATGCCTGTACTTGGGAGGCTGAGGCAGGAGAATCACTTGAACCTGGGAGACAGAGGTTGCAGTGAGTTGAGATCACACCACTGCACTCCAGCCTGGGTGACAGAGGGAGACTTCATCTCAAAAAAAAAATAAAATAAAAAAGTACTTGAGGTTCTATTTCCTAAACAGAGGTAAAAGGTTTGTTGTGTGTATGTGTGTGTGTGGTGGTTTTTTTTGTTGTTGTTGTATTTTGAGACAGGGTCTCACTTTGTCACCTAGGCTGGAGTGCAGTGGTGCAATCTCACCCTACTGCAACCTCCACCTCCCAGGCTCAAACAGCCCTCCCAGTTCAGCCTCCCAAGTAGCTGGGACCACAGCTGTGAGCTACTACACCAGCTGATTTTTGTATTTTTTTAGAGACGAGTCTTGCCATGTTGCCTGGTCTGAAACTCCTGAGCTCAAGCGATCCACTCCCTCCGCCTCCCAAAGTGTTGGGATTACAGGTGTGAGCCACTGCACCTGGCCAGTATTTGTATTTAAAGAAAAACACAATACCAGTGTGGCTGATGGGCTGGCATTTAGCCAAACATTTCTCATTCACAATACTTTCAACCCAGGGTGAGCCCTGAGATGGCAGGACCAAAGAAACCTTTAGGAGTTGGTCTTGATTTGTATTATATTTCATCGTAAAGTTCCAACAATCGTTGTTTAAGCGCCAGATTCTTTTTTCCTTCTGCTTTCTCTTGAGTATGTGGCTTCCCCACATTGTTGGTCTGCTTTCCCCAGCTTCCTCTTCCTCCTTTCCAGAGAGGGGCGTCTCCTGCTGCAGCTGTTCCAGGAAGGGGGGTGGGGGTGCATTTCCTCCCTTTGTGTGAGCTCATTAGCCCTGTCTCTGGCTTTCCTCCGGGGACAGCCAGCCAACCAGGTGAGCCAGTGTCATTTAAAGGAGCACTTCCGTTCTCAGGCAGGGGTTGGTTGTCGTTTCTGGCTGACTTCAGATATGGCCCAGGTGAAGAGAGATGGCATCTGGCACAGAGAATGGCCAGCAGCTTGGTGTATGAGTCACATTTTCCTGGTAAATAGTATGCTGCCTAGATCTCCTGTGCAAGACAATTATTTTTTGATCCTTTGCAATTTGGGGTCTGATTTGAAGGCAATATAGCATCATAGTTAAGCAAGCAGGTGCTACAATGAGATGGATTCATTTGCTAATATTCACTCACTAGTAATTATTGAGTGCTTACAATGTGGCAGGCAGGCATTGTTCTGGATGCTAGGCAACCTGCAGGGAAGGAGACAAAGTCCCTGCCCTCATGGAGCTTGCATTCTTTCAGGAGACTGTAAACAGATACAAATAAATGCATAGTAACATAATGTCAAAGAGTGTGTCAGTTAGCTATTGTCACAATAATGCTGCATAACAAATCACCCCCAAACTCCAAAACTCAGCAGCTCACAATATACATTTACATCTTATAACCACACCATGGGTTCTTCCTGTGTGCTGTACAAACAAAAGCAATTCATAGAAACCAGGCATTGCAGTAAAGAAAGAGTTTAATTGACACGAGGCCAGCCATGCCACATGGGAGACAGAGTTATTACTCAAATCAATATCCCCAAAGGCTCGGAGGCTAGAGGTTTTTCAAAGATAGTTTGGTGGGGTGGGGGGGCTAGGGAATGGGTGCTGCTGATTGGTTGGGGATGAACTCATAGGGGTGTGGAAAGCAGTCCTCATGTGCTGAGTCTACTTCTGGGTGGGGAGCCACAGGACTGGTTGAGTCACAGCACAGGTCTGGGTGAGGCCATCCGGTAGTCAGAAATGCAAAAGCCTGAAAAGACATCTCGGCTACTATTTTAGATGGTGAATTTGGTCAAGGAAGGCCTCTCTGAGAAGGTGTTATTTGATCTGAGACCTGAATGAAGTTCATTCTAGGCAGAAGGAAAAGCACATGCAAAGGCCTGCAGGAGCAGGAGGGTGCTGGATGTATTGAGGACCAGCAAGAGAGTCAGTGTGTAAGTGAGCTGGAGCTGGGCATGGTGGTAGAGGCTAATGGAGGCTAAAGTGAGGGGATGGCTTGAGCCCAGGAGGTTGAGGCTACAGTGAGCTATGATTGCACCACTATACTCCAGCCTGGGTGACAGAGCGAGACTCTCTGTCTAAAAAATACATTATATATATATTAGAAAATAAAAGTGAGGCCAGGCTCAGTGGCTCACACCTGTAATTTCAGCACTTTGGGAGGCTGAGGCGGGCAAATCACTTGAGTACAGGAGTTTGAGACTAGCCTGGGCAACATGGTGAAATGAACTCACTACAAAAAATACAAAAAAAAAATAGCTGAGTGTGGTGGCACACACCTGTAGTCCTAGCTACTTGGGAACCCGAGGTGGAGGATGGCTTGAGCCCGGGAGGCAGAGCTTGCAGTGAGCTGAGATCATGCCACTGCATTCCAGCCTGGGTGACAGAGCAAGACCCTGTCTCAAACCACTCCCCACCCCCCCACCCCCCAAAAAAAGAAAAAATAAAGCAGTGAGCTAGAGGTGAATGGGAGAGGAGATGAGGAAGCAGTCAGGGGACAGATCTTGTAGAATCAAAGGTGAGCTTTCATTTGGATGCTGGAACTTTGGATTTTATTCTGACTGATAAGAAATGATGGGCAGAAGAATGACATGATCTGAGTTTTCATCAGGAAACTGTAGTCAGCATCCACAGTGACTCCCCAATAACCCCCACCCCCTGGGATTCCCATTACTGGGGAGTCTCTTCCCACATTGTATCAGGGTTAATATGTGTGGCAGTAGAATATGGCAGAAATAATGGTGTGCCACATCCAAGATTAGGTTATTAAAGACACAGCAGTCTTGTGCTCACTTGTTCTCTCCCTCTGGGATCATTCCCTCTGGAGGATGCCAGCTGGTCTTGATCATCCCTATGGGGGCACCTACATGGCAAGAAACTGAGGCCTCTAGCCAACAGCCATGGGAGGGAGCCATTGTGGAAGTGGATCCTCCAGCCCAGTCAAGCCTTCAGATGATTGCAGGCCCAGCTGACATCCTAACTGCAGCCTCAACCCTAAGCCAGAATGCCCCAGCTAAGCTGCTCCTATGTTCCTAATCTTCAGAAATTGTGTTGTTTCTTAAACCTGCCACGCCTGGGGGATGTTTGTTATGCAGCAATGGAGACCAATACAATAACTCAGGCTGCTGCAGAGAGAACAGATTGTAAGAGGATAAAAGTAGAAGCAGGAAAACTTGTAATATTTGTTTGCATCCTTGCTACTCAAATTATGGTCCAAGAACCAGTGCTATTATCATCATCAACTGGCATCTGGTTGGCATGCAGAATCTCAGGCCCCATCCAGACCTCCTGAATCAAAATCTGCATCTTTACATGGTTCCCAGGAGAGTCTTTGCATGCTGAAGTTTGAGAAGCAGCCCTATGGGTGACAGCCTAGTAGGGTGCCATGATCTGGGTTTTAATCCTGGCTTGCCAACAATGTGACCTTCAGTACATCACTTAATTTTCCTAAGCCTCAGTTTCCTTTCTTGTAAAATGGGGATAATAATATTGCTGCTGTCACAGGGTCATATGTGAGGGCATAAATGAAATGGTGCAGGTTGCACAGTGCTTGGCACATGGTTAAGGGCTCATAAGTATTAGCTCTGTATTGGCTGGGTCTGATCCATGCATTTTCTCCCTAAGAATATATTCCTGATCATTTCCTGATGATGTTCCTTAAATGAGTATTTTTTTTAATTCCCTGTCAAAGAAAATCCTGTTTTGTTTTTTTTAAAAAAACATCCTTGAGCTCATCAAGAAAACTTTTGTCTGTGCCCAGCATGATTCCAGCCATACCCCAGAATGAAGGCGCCTGGTTTCCATGGTCTGTTTCTAGGCCCAGTTCTCAGGGCAATTTTCAGGGCCACCCGGCAGGCCAAAATAGGCCACAGCACTATAAATAGTGGATTTGGGCTGCTTCGGGCCTGACTTCTCAGGTCAGGCCCTTCCCTTCCCCCTGCCTGCTCCTGTAGTTGTTTAAACATACTCTGGGTTAGAGCTGCAAGTGTATTTTCCTTAATATGCCCAGAAAATGTCTTGCCAACTTGCCAGGCTATCAGCAAAACTCCCTTTTTATTTGCTCAGTCACAATGTACCCCCAGTATGTGACGAAAACTGATAAACCACACTCCAGGTTTCACTCAGTGGTTCACACAGGGTTCACTGCAGTGAACTGGCTCCAGGGCTCAGGGATTTGAGAAGCCTGAGTGCCACCCTGCCTCTCTTGCCATGTGACCTTGTATGAGTATTTCACTTCTCAGAGCCTCATTTTCCTTATCTGTACGTGAGGCTGATAATAATAAGGAATTCTAGTTCCTAGGGTGGTTGTGTGGAGTAAATGAGAAACCTGTATATTAGCAGGACTGGTTATATATTAATTTGCAGGGCCCAGAGGAAAATGAAAATGCGGGGCTCCTTGTTCAAAGTGATTAAGAATTTCTAGATAGTGTCAGCAGAGCATAAAATAAGTGTGAGGCCCTTGTAAGCATGAGTCCTGTGCAGTTGCACAGGGCAGTGCCCATGAAGCCAGGCCTGCATGTGAGCCACCTAGTACCCTGCCTGGGGTTAGCACCAGCCAAATCTCCAACTTTCCTAGGGTCATTTTTTTTAGACAGAGTTTTCACTCTTGTTGTCCAGGCTGGAGTGCAATGGCGCAATCTTGGCTCTCTGCAACCTCTGCCTCCTGGGTTTAAGTGATTCTCTTGCCTCAGCCTCCCAAGTAGCCTGGATTACAGGCATGCGCCACCACGGCCAGCTAATTTTCTGTATTTAGTAGAGACGGGGTTTCACCATGTTGGTCAGGCTGGTCTCGAACTCCTGACCTCAGGTGATCCACCTGCCTCAGCCTCCCACAGTGCTGGGATTACAGGCGTAAGCCACCACACCCAGCCACATCCTTTTCTTTTAAGGGCTAACCAGTTTCCCTCCAGGGCAAAGTTTAAGGGTAAATTGCGCAGCTGCAATCTAGTCCCTTCTGCTGAGTAACAAACCACTCTAATATTTAGTGACTTAAAACCACAGCAGTTGATTGTTTTTCATGACGTGTGTTAGCTGGGTAGTTCCTCTACTGGTCTCACCTAGACTCGATCATGTAGCTACATTCAGCTGGTGACCTGGCTGGGCTGGAATGTCCAAGCTGGCCTCACATGTCTGGCAGGTGGTGCTGGCTGCTGGCTGGGGCACCACAGTTCTCCTCCATGTGGCTTCTCATCCTCCAGTAAACCACATCAGCTTCCTTAAATTGTAGCAGATACAATCCAGGGGACAAAAACAAAAACTTCAAGCCTTCTGGAAGTTGCACAACACAGCACTTCAGTTACTGTCTATCTGTCAAAGCCAGTCATGAGCCTTGCCTAGATTCAAGAGAGAGGTGATAGACTCCCTCATTCAATGAGAAGCACGACAATGTTTTCAAGGGGATAGGGACCCAGGAAGATGTGATTCAATGGGGCACAGTGCAGCGGTTCTCCGACTTTAGCCCACATCATAATTATCCAGAGGGCCTGTTAACACACAGCCGATGGGCCCCACCCCCAGAAAACTGGAGTCAGTAGGAGTGGAGTGGGGCCTGAGAACTTGTGTTTCAAACAAGTTCTCAGGTGATGCAGATGCTGCCAGTCTACGGATCCGACTTTGAGAGCTGGCAGAGGAGTTAAGTGTCCACACGTGAGGGCAGTGGTGCTCAACCTTGACTGTACATTAGAAACACCAGGGCGGCGATAACAATCCTGAAGCCAGCAGTTAAATCAGAAGCTGTGGTGGTACGACTCAGCCTTCAGTGGGTTTTTTTTAGAGCACCCCCAAGAGAGTCCAGTGGGCAGCCAAGCTAAGAACTGCTACTTTAGAGTTAGGCCATGTAGGTTCAAGTGCTGGCTACAGTATGCACAAGTTTAGGCAAGTTATTCTACCTCTCCTTGACTCGGTTTCCTCTTTGAAAATAGGGATGTTCGGCCAGGCGCGGTGGCTCATGCCTGTAATCCCAGCACTTTGGGAGGCCGAGGCGGGCGGATCACGAGGTCAGGAGATTGAGACCATCCTGGCTAACACGGTGAAACCCTGTCTATACTAAAAAATACAAAAAATTAGCCGGGTGTGGTGGCGGGTGCCTGTAGTCCCAGCTACTCAGGAGGCTGAGGCAGGAGAATGGTGTCAACCCAGGAGGTGGAGCTTGCAGTGAGCCGAGATCGTGCCACTGCACTCCAGCCTGGGTGACAGAGTGAGACTCCGTCTCAAAAAAAAAAAAAGAAAAAGAAAATAGAGATGGTAGCCAGGTATGGTGGTTCACACCTGTAATCCCAGCACTTTGGGAGGCCAAGGCGGGCGGATCACCTGAGGTCAGGAGTTTGAGACTAGCCTGGCCAACATGGCGAAACCCTCTACTAAAAATACAAAAAGCTAGGCACAGTGGTGGGCGCCTGTAATCCCAGCTACTCAGAAGGCTGAGGCAGGAGAATCACTTGAACCTGGGAGGCGGAAGTTGTAGTGAGCCAAGATCGTGCCACTGCACTTCAGCCTGGGTGACAGAGCAAGACTCCAGCAAAAAAAAAAAAAAGAAAGAAAATGGGGATGGCAATAGTTTCTAATTTGTATGGTTGTTCTGAGAATTAAAAGTTAATATGTATAAAAGTCTTAAAATAGTGCTGGCACTATTATGTAATGAAAGTACTACGTAAAAGTCAGCTCTTGAATACGTATTAGTGGTAAAGAAGAGATCAAGGCATTGAAGGCATTGTACGGTCTGGGTACAGTGGCTCACGCCTGTAATCCCAACACTTTGGGAGGCAGAAGCTAGTGGATTGCTTGAGTTCAGGAGCTTGAGACCAGCCTGGGGAACATGGCAAAACCTGGTCTCTACAAAAAATATAAAAATCAGCCAGGTGTAGTGGTGCATGCCCGTGGTCCCAGCTACTCGGGAGAATGGCTTGAGCCCAGGAGGTTGAAGCCGCAGTGAGCCCAGATCATGCCACTGCACTCAAGCCTGGGTGACAGAGCGAGACCCTGTCTCAAAACAACAACAATGCATTGTACAATGATATGGTCTCTAGCATAGCAAACTTTGCTGTAGTTTAACCCTGTAAATCATTGGAAAGTTTATCAAATACCTTAAATGCTTTTGCAACTTATTCATTCCCTGGTTATTTGGGTAAACAAGTACAGCGAACAGTTGGATGAACTTTATCTGAACTATTATCACTGAGCTGTTGGGGGAAATTCCGTCTTTTCCAAATCTGTACTGCGATATAGTCTTATTATTAAAGGGACTTTAACAAAAAATAGGTGTGGCTTCCTGGGAGGCCTCTTTATATCTGGCACTGCAAAGACGACCCCACCAAAAAGCAGCTGCTCTTCATGAGTCACAGAGATAGTGCCTTGCTGACTATACATTAATGACCTGAGCAGTCCTTTTTGACTCAGATTTTGTGGATTTGAAATAATCAACGTGCCATTCATGTGAGCAAGAACTGAAAGTTGTACAGATGTTAGGATGCTAAGTCTTGTAACATTAAGTTCATTCTTAACATTCTGTTTATTAGAACAGTGTTCCCCAAACTTTTCAGATCATTAGAATCACCTAGGTTTCTTCCTGAACATGCTGAAACCTTGGTTCTACCTCACACATACTCAATCAGTACCTACAGGGAAAGGGTCTGGGATTCTGTTTTGAACAAGTACCTTCAGTGATCTCAGTGTCATCAGGTAAATTTAGGAAATAGCCTTAATTTTTTTTTTTTTTTTTTTTGAGACAGAGTCTCACTCTGTTGCCCAGACTAGAGTACAGTGGTGCAAACTCGGCTCACTGCAGTCTCTGCCTCCCGGGTTCAAGCAATTCTTCTGCCTTAGCCTCCCCAGTGGCTGGGATTACAGGCGTGCACCACCACACCCACTGATTTTTGTAGTTTTAGTAGAGATGGAGTTTCACCATGTTGGCCAAGCTGGTCTTGAACTGCTGACCTCAAGTGATCCGCCCACCTGGGCCTCCCAAAGTGCTGGAATTACAAGCATGAGCCACTATGCCTGGCCATGGAAATAGCATTAAATTAATATTTATGTAATACATATAGACAGATGGAAGAGGCAATAGGGAAGCTGGGGGCTATAGGTTCTAATGACCACTCAAGAGCGGGTGTTTGTAAACTATAGCCCACAGAGCAAATCTAGCCTACTGCCTGTTTTATAAAGTTTTGTTAAAATACAATATGCCTATTTTAAAAACATGTTTTCTATGGGTGCTTTTGTACTATAATGTCAGAGTTGGCATTATTATGACAGAGACCATATGATGCACAAAGCCGAAAATATTTACTATCTGATCTTTTACAAAAAAACAGTTTACTGACCCCTGGATAAGAGATATGATTTCAGATGTGGGCAAACTTGGAACTAATAGTTATGAGCTCATAATAAAAAATAAACCAACAAGAAAGGAGGGGAGTCAGTAGATACAATCAACTGGAAAATCCAAATCCCCAAGAGTGGCAATTTGAGACTATAAAATAAGTATAAGATTATAAAGATTTGCTAGAAAAAATATATAAATCTTGCTGAAAGAAAAAGGCAATTCATTGCAGAAAAAGGTAGGGGGGGAAATTCAGATTTGAAAAAACTTAAGTGCATCCTCTAGAAATGAAAGCAATTGAATCAATGTACTAAAGCAGTGCTTCTCAAACTTCAGTGAGCATCACAGTCACCTGCAGAGTTTGGTAAAACACAGATTCCTGGGCCCCACTCTGTTAAATGGGTCTTGGGTGAAGCCCATGAATTTGCATTTCTAATAAGCTCCCAGGTGATGCTGATATTTCTGATCCATGGACCATATTTTAGGTATGAGTTAAACAGCAGATAGACACAGCTGGAGAAGTAATTAGTCAACTGGAAGACAGATCTGGGAGATAGAATGCAGTAGAGAGATAGGGATAGGAAATGTGGAAAAGCAGTTAAGAGACAAGGACAGAATGAGAAGGTCCAACCTAAGTCTAATAGGAATTCCAGAGGGAAACAATAGAATGAATGGGGGAGAAGCAATATTCATAGAGATATTGAGTGACAGTATTCCAAAGTTGAAGAAACATGAATCTTGAACTAGATAAATAAGGACAAAACAATACCAAAATGCTTCATGGTGAAACTATGCAAAGAAGAAGCCAGCAAGCTATCTTAAAGGAAAGATTACCTACAAAGGAAAGCAATGAGATGATTATAGACTTCCAATCAGCAGCAGTATATGCCAGAAGACAGGGAAGTGTAATGTCTTCTAATCCAGACAAAATAATATTCAACCTAGAATTATGTGCCTACTAAATTACCATTCAAGAGCAAGGGCTATAAACAAAGGCATTTAAAAACACATCTCGCATTGAAAGAACTGCTAAATGATATACTTCAGCTAGAAGGAAACTGAACCCACAAGGAAGGAGTGGGATGCAAGAAACAATGGTGAATGAGGAAGCTGATAGATCTAAATAGTTATTAACCAATAGGAAATAAATTAGGGGAAACTAAAATACTAGATAACAATAATATAAAAGTTGAGAATTGGAAGGTTGGAGTTAAGCATTTTAAAGTCCTTGTGTTGTTTGGGAGGAGGCTGGACAGCCTTTTGTTTTGTTTTGTTTTGTTTTTTACTCTAAGTAATTTATTACATTATAACAACACATTAAAGAAAACAATTAGGGCTGGGTGTGGTGGCTCATGCCTGTAATCCCAGCACTTTGGGAGGCCAGGGTGGCGGATCACTTGAGGTCAGGAGTTCGAGACTAGCCTGGCCAACGTGGTGAAACCCTGTCTCTACTAAAAATACAAAAAAATTAGTTGGGTGTGGTGGCGGGTAACTGTAATCCCGGCTACTCAGGAGGCTGAGGCAGGAGAATTGCTTAAACCCAGGAGGTGGAGGTTGCAGTGAGCCGAGATCGTGCCATTGCACTCCAGCCTGGGCAACAAGAGCAAAACTCTATCTCAAAAAAAAAAAAAAAAAAAAAAAAAACCACAAAAATTGGCTGGGCATGATGGTGGGCACCTGTAATCCCAGCTACTCAGGAGGCTGAGACAGGAGAATCACTTGAACCCGGGAGGAAGAGGTTGCAGTGAGCCGAGATCGCACCATCGCACTCCAGCCTGGGTGACGAGAAACTCCATCTCAATAAAGAAAAGAAAAGAAATGGAATGTGAACTAATAAATCAGTAGAAGGAAACAAGTAGAATGCAGAAAATTCAATGCAACAGAAAGCAGGATAGAAAAAGACAAAATTATGACAAAAAACAGAGTGAGAGACATAAATACAAACATATCACTAATCTCAATAAATGTAAATAGAATGAAGTTTTCTCTGATTTTCAGATTGAATTAAAAAAGAAATCTGCCTTTATGCTGAAGGTATAGGCACATAAAATGACCCAGAATGGCTGAAAATAATGAGATGGGAAAGACTGACAACACAGATACTAACCAAAAGAAAAGTAATATAGCAATATTAAGGTGAGATAAATAGACAAAAGGCCGAAAACATTAGGAATAAAGAGGGTCTTTTTTTTTTTTTTTTTTTGAGACAGGGTCTCAGTCTGCTGCCCAGGTCGGAGTGCCATGGTGCAGTCACATTGACTGCACCCTCGACCTTCTGGGCTCAAGCAATCCTGCCACCTCAGCCTCCCAAGTAGCTGGAAATACAGGCATGCACCACCACACTTGTCTAAAATTTAGTTTTTTTGTAGAGCTGAAGTCTCACTAAAATGCCTAGGCTGGTCTCGAATTCCTGTGCTCAAGTGATCCAGCTACCTCATCCTCCCAAATTGCTGGGATTATAGGCGTGAGCCACTACGCCTGGCCTGGAGAGGGTCCTTAATGATAAAGGAATAATTATCATTTTCTGTATTTTCCATTTGATTATATTTTTTAATGTCATTCACCAGCCACCCAACTGAATTTACCACTCACTAATATGACACAACAGACTGAAAAATGCTGCTCTAGAACACACTTCTAAACCTCCCTGAAAGCCCCAAGTAACTCTAAGAGGACTACTGTCCCACCGCAGTAGAATATCTGTAACACTTCCACAATACCAGGGAATAGGTGATATCTACAGCTTTTACAAATTAGATCCTTAAAGGCCGACGCCAGTGGCTTATGCTGATAATCCCAGCATTTTAGGAGGTGGAAGTGAGATGACTGCTTGAGCCCAGGAGTTCAAGACCAGCCTAGGCAGCATAGTGAGACCCCATCTCTACAATTAGGAAAAAACAAAACAAAACAAAACAAAACAAAACTAGGCATGGTGGTTTGTGCCTGTAGTACCAGCTAGATGGGAGGCTGAGGTGGGAGGATCCCTTGAGCCCGGGAGTTTCAGGCTGCAGTGAGCTGCGATTGCACCACTGCATTCCAGCCTGGGCAACAGAGCAAGATCCTGTCTCAAAAACCAAAAACAAACATTAGAGGCTTAAGACAATAAGGAACACTAATAATTACCAGAATGAAAAACTAGCTTTTGTTTTGTTTCATTTTGCCAAAGATCTAAGAAGAAATCACAAAGCTTCCTTATAAAGTTGAATTCAAGAGAGTTATGAACTCTGAATATTTTATTAATATAAGATCATTGAAAAAGATTTTGCAAACATATACTTCCTTTATGTTGAAATCTGCTTTTCTTGAGTATAAAATCCTCCAGTATAATCATTAGTATGTCACATCATTAGCAAAGATGTATTAAGAACCTTCTATGAGGCATCTCACACCAAGTCGGTGGTTCACTCTTGTGAACATGACTGAAGAGGCCTGACCATTATGTTATTTCCCCAGCTTCTTTCCAGCAACTGTAATATATGAACTGCCTTCCTCCAGAGCAATTAGAAAAAGCCCTGGGAATCATCCTCAGTCATCCAGGCTGTTGCTAGGTTTTTGTCTGTTTTGCCAAGAATCAGAGAAAACAACTGAGGAATTTAGAAGTCTAGATCCACAATGGGTAATTTCAGAGTCCCAGGCAACAGTCTCCCTCCTCTTCTCTGCCTGCAACCACCACCTCACAGCAACACTTCTTTTTTTTGAGACGGAGTCTTACTCTGTCACCCAGGCTGGAGTGCAGTGGCGTGATCTCGGCTCACTGCAACCTCCACCTCCTGGGTTCAAGCGATTCTCCCACCTCAGCCTACCAAGTAGCTGGGATTACAGGTGCGTGCCACCACACCCAGATAATTTTTGTATTTTTAGTAGAGACGGGGTTTCACCATGTTGGCCAGGCTGGTCTCAAACTCCTGACCTCAGGGGATCCACCCGCCTCAGCCTCCCAAAGTGCTGGGATTACTCAGGCGTGAGCCACCGCGCCTGGCCAACACTTCTTTCTGCTGCCTGGCTAATGCCTAAAATTATAAAATTACAAAATCATTTATATATTCAATACTTTGTAAACCCTTGGGAGGAGACTTGCTTTCAGTTTTCTGAATAACTGGCTCCTCAGCCACTTGGTTCCATGTACTAATAGCAATTGTAAGATTCAACCTCAGAGCTGAATCCAGATTATTCTCACTACTTCAGCAATTGATTTAAGAAATTACTAACAGTGAGAGCTTGCTATGTGTAATGACACTGGTTTAGCACTTTGCATGTATTATCTCAGCTTATTTTCACACCAACCCAATGAAAAAATATTTTTATTTTCCCCATTTTACAGATGAGAAAATTGAGGCTCAGGGAGTTTAAGGAACCTGCCCAAGGCTCCTTAGTTTGTAATTTGTGGAGCTGAGATTCAGCCTCAGGCTATCGGATCCAGGGTTGGCTTTTAAAACCAATATGGTACCCTGTACTAGCTTCCATCAGGGTAATCTATAATTAGGAGAATCTGATGGTGTCATGGGCATTTTTTTAAAAAAACTGACATAAATAATGTATACCCTATTTATGTTCCCGTCTTGAAGGAGCAAATAGAGACTCCACACAGTACTTTTATTTTAAAAATAAAAGTAGAAAGCTCTTAGTAAGGGAGGCTTTGTTTGGCAATGAAATTGTTTATGTGTTAAACATTAAACTGCATTCCATGGTATTTGCTGATTGGCACAACTACTGCCATTGAAATTGATTCCCTAATCATGATGATAATGACTGGGATTAGCCCAGTTCAATGGGTGCGTGCTTTCCCCAGGGCTCACAAAAGCCTTCTCTAGAGATCCAGGCTTCCGTGGTAATGAACTAACAAGGCTGCTGTATTCTCTATGGGTAAATAGCAGTCCTCACTTCAAAATGAAGGAAATTAAGGAAAAGATGAAAGGGTCTCTGGCCAGACAGAGCAAAATCACGCTAAACTGGTCAGCAGAACCCTATGAACAACTGCAGGCTTCCAGAATGATGAGGAAATGGATGTTTCTGTTTTTGTTGTTGTTGTTGTTGAGTATTTAGGTAATGGAGAGTCAAACGATTATAGGAAAAATTAATTAATTATTTATAAGTTAAAGGACTTTTATTTGCCCCTCAGAACCTGTTAACTTAAAATTTTAAACAGTTCTTGTATTCCTAAAACAATACATGCTCATTGTAAATATCCCAAACAATCCAGTCCAGAAAAACATGGACTGAAAAGTGACAGTCCCTGATGACGAACCCACCTTGTATGTCCTTCCAAACATTAAGAGTAAACCAATTGTAAAGAAAGAATTTGACTGTGATAAAACATAGTCAAGTTGCTGATTATAACTAGACCTTCCTTTAATGATTCAGAAGATCCGTTGGGTTTATTCTCATGAAGGTTATCAGTTGTCGCGGTCCAGAAGTATGGGTATTCTTGTGTGCTTAGATCCCGATAAACACGAGCCTGTGGGAAAGTTGGGGTTAATCCCTTGTTTGCCTCCTCCCCTGCCCTTCGCCTCTAGGAGGGTTTGGGTTGCTGAGATCACAGCTAAAGTTATGGCTAGTAAGATATGATAACTCATCCTACCCAGAACCGAGATGTCTAGGATGCCTGATTCTTATGAGCATGAGACTTTAAGAAATACTGTAAAAACACTGGTTTGTAATCATAAAGATCTGGGGGCTTATCCCATGTTCTGTGACATTAATATAGAGCTGATTTTCCTCTCTGAGATTTGCATGACACACTACTTTGTGTGTGTGTGTGTGTGTGTATACACATATATAACGTTTTACATATATACATTTTTCTTTTTGAGACGGAGTTTCGCTCTTGTCATTCAGGCTGGAGTGCAATGGCACGATCTTGGCTCACTGCAACCTCCGCCTCCCAGGTTCAAGTGATCCTCCTTCCTCAGCCTCTTGAGTAGCTGGGATTACAGACATGTACCACGATGCCCACCTAATTTTTGTATTATTAGTAGGGATGACGTTTCACCATGTTGGACAGGGTAGTCTCGAACTCCTGACCTCAGGTGATCTGCCCGCCTTGACCTCCCAAAGTGCTGGGATTACAGGTGTGAGCCATCGTGCTCAGCCGTTTTTTATATATATTTAGAGATAAATTGTGTATTTTCTTTTTATTAAGCAAGGTAAACTTCCATTTGTAAGTTTAGCTGAAAACAATCAATCTTCTTTATTTGGGAGTAAAAAAATCAGTTGAATGGTTTTCTTAAAACAAGTAAGGCACCCTATGCTCTGGAAGAGGAAGTAATAGGAACGACTTTATTTTTCTTGAGTTTGACAAGACCGTCTATCCAAATTCCTCTCGGCGAGTAAAGCTCTGGGGTGGCATTGGATCAATTGGCATAAAAAATCTAGAATTGTCTGGGAGGAAAGGGATTGAGATCACCGCAATCCCAATATTTCTCCCCAAGTTTCCTAGTTATCAAAACCTGTTGGAGGCCTTTGCTATAGAAGAACAGGATCAGAGAGATGAAGTGTTAAAGGGTGTCCACGATGGTGAGTGTGTTAAGGCTGGGCTCCCCACCACTGGTGGATCTGGACCTATCACGGTAGCTTTTGCTACTTATTCTTTTGTTTCAAATTCCACAGGGGGCTGGGTGTGTTGTCTCACGCCTGTAATTCCAGCACTTTGAGAGGCTGAGGCTGGCAGATCACTTGAGGTCAGGAGTTTGAGACGAGCCTGGCCAACATAGTGAAATTCCGTCTCTACTAAAAATACAAAAATTAGCCGGTCATGGTGGCGGGTGCCTGTAGTCCCAGCTACTCAGAAGGCTGAACCAGGAGAATTGCTTGAATCCGGGAGGTGGAGGTTGCAGTGAGCCGAGATCGTGCCACTGTACTCCAGCCTGGGTGACAGAGTGAGACTCCATCTAAAAAAAAAAAAAAATTTCACAAGGGCAAATCTCTTTGGATCGCCAGTAGACTTAGAATGTATTCTATAGACAATATTTCCACATTTCCCAAATGCTCTTTCAATCCAGCTGTGATTAACATGTTTGGAAGTAATTCATATGATAAATTGGAAGCAGTATTGACTATGTCAAAATTTAATAACTAGAGACTTAGTTTTATTTACCACTCCTATACCTTATTTAGAACGTCCATACATTTTGGCCGGGTGCGGTGGCTCACGCCTGTAATCCCAGCACTTTGGGAGGCCACGGGGGGCAGATCACGAGGTCAGGAAATCTAGACCATTCTTGCTAATACGGTGAAACTCTGTCTCTACTAAAAATACAGAAAGTCCATACAGTTTAACTTGAAAAAAAAAAACATGCATTGTGGGAAAAGAATTAAGAGTCTAGAAATAAACGCATACCTCTGTGGTCAATTGATTTTTGATAAGGGTGCGAAGACCATTCAGTGGGACAAAGAATAGCCTCTTCAACAAATGGCTCTGGGGCAACTTGATATCCACATGCCAAAAATGAAATTGGACCCTTACCCCACACCGTATATAAAAATTAACTCAAAATGGATCAAAGAGCTACACTACCCAACTCTTAGAAGAAAACATAGGGATAAATCTTTATTATCTTAGATTTGGCAATAATTTTTTATCTATGACACCAAAAGCACAAATAACAAAAGAAAAAAAAATAGATAATTTCAGGCCAGGCGCAATGGCTCAAGTCTGTAGTAATCCTAGCACTTTGGGAGATCAAGGTGGGTGGATCGCTTGAGGTCAGGAGTTCGAGACCAGCCTGGCCAACATGGCAAAACCCCATCTCTACTAAAAACACAAAATTGCTGGGCTTGGTGGCTCACGCCTGTAATCCCAGCACTTTGGGAGGCCGAGGCGGGTGGATCATGAGGTCAGCAGATCAAGACCATCCTGGCTAACATGGTGAAACCCCGTCTCTACTAAAAATACAAAAAATTAGCTGGGCGCAGGGGCGGGCGCCTGTAGTCCCAGCTACTCGGGAGGCTGAGGCACGAGAATCACTTGAACCCGGGAGGCAGAGGTTGCAGTGAGCCAAAATTGTGCCATTGCACTCCAGCCTGGGCACCAGAGGGAAACTCTGTATCAAAAAAAAAAAAAAAAAGATAAATTTGATTTTATCAAAATTTAAAACCTTTTGCATCAAAGTACACTATTAAGAGAGTGAAAAGACAACTTACAGAATGGGAGAAAATACTAGTATATAATACATTTGAGAAGCGTATAGTGTCCAAAACATATAATAAACTCTTACAACTCAACAACAAAATGACAAGCAACCCACTGTTTAAAAGGGCAAAGGGAAGTGGAGGGAGAAAAAAGTAAACAAATAAAATGGGCAAAGGCCTTGAATAGACATTTCTCCAAGAAGTTATACAGACAGGCGACAAGCACATGAAAAGATGCTCGATGTCATTAAACATTAGAGAAGTACACATTTAAACCACAATGAGATGCCACTTCATATCTACTAGGATGGCTATAGTGAAAAACAAACAGAGCCAGGCACAGTGGTACACACCTGTAGTCCCAGCTAGTCAGAAGAATGAGGTGGGAGGATTACTTGAGCCCAGGAGTTTGAGACCAGCCTGGGCAAAAAAGCGAGACCCTATTTAATTTAAGAAAAAATTAAATTAAATTAAAAATGAAATTTAAATGTAAAATTAAAAATCAAAAATAACACGTGTTGACAAGAATGTGGTTCAGTTAGAGCCCTCATTCATTGCTGGTGAGAATACAAGATGATTCAGCCACTGTGAAAACCAGTTTGTTTTCTCAATAAGTTGAATGTAAAATTACCCATGTCACCCAGCAATTCGACTTCTAGGTCTACAACTCCCCTTCCAAATTGAAAATAGGTATTTAAACAAAAACTCGCCTGTAATCCCAGCACTCTGGGAGACCGAGGCGGGTGGATCACCTGAGGTCAGGAGTTCAAGACCAGCCTGGCCAACATGGTGAAACCCCGTGTCTACTAAAAATACAAAACATTAGCTGGGCATGGTAGCATGTGCCTGTAATCCCAGCTACTCAGGAGGCTGAGGCATGAGAATCGCTTGAAAGTGGAGGTTGCAGTGAGGCGAGATCACGCCACTGCACTCCAGCCTGGGTGACAGAACGAGACTCCGTCTCAATAAATAAATAAACAAACAAAAACTCATACACAAATGTTCATAGCAACCCTGTTCCCAATAGCCAAAAGGTAGGAACAACTTAAATGTTCCATTAAGTGCTGGGCTCGGTGACTCACACCTGTAATCCCAGTACTTTGGGAGGCTGAGATAGGAGGATTGCTTGAACCCAGGAGTTTGAGACCAGCCTAGGTAGTATAGTGAAACTTTGTCTCTACAAAAACAAAAAATTAAAAAATTAGCTGGGTGTGGTGGCACGCCTGTAGTCCCAGCTGAGGTGAGAGGATTGCTTGACTCTGGGAGGTGGAGGTTGCAGTGAGCCAAGATCATGCATCACTGCACTACAATCTGGGCGACAGAATGAGACCCTGTCTCAAAAAAAAAAAAAAAACAAAAAAAAAAACAAAAAAAAACGGCCAAGTGAGGTGGCTCACGCAGTAATCCCCGCACTTTGGGAGGCCGAGGCAGGCAGATCACACGGTCAGGGGTTCGAGACCAGCCTGGCCAACATGGTGAAACCCCATCTCTACTAAAAATACAAAAATTAGCTGGGCGTGGTGGCAGGTGCCTGTAATCCCAGCTACTCGGGAGGCTGAGGCAGGAGAATTGCTTGAACCAGGGAGGCAGAGGTTGCAGTGAGCTGAGATCATGCCACTGCCTTCCAGCCTGGGTGACAGAGTGAGACTCTGTCTCAAAAAAAAAAAAAAAAAAAAGCAAAACAAATGTCCCATTAAGTGATGAATGGATAAAAATAAATGTCCTATACCTATACGATAGATATTATTCAGGAATAAGTATTGATACATGCTGCAATGTGGATAAACCTTAAAATATGATATGCTGACTGGAAGAATCCAGACACAAAGGACACATGATTGTACGATTCCATTTGTAGGAAATATCCAGAATAGGCAAATCCAGAGAGACTGTGGATCTAAAGACACAGAGAGGCTATGGAGACTACAGTAGGTCTGTGGTTGGCTGGGGTAGAGAGAGGGGAGAATGGGAATTCACTGCTTAAAGAATGTGGGATTTCCTTTTGGCCTGATGAAAATGTGTTGCAATGAGAGAATGGTGATGGTTGCATAACATTGTAAGTGTACTTAATGCTACTGAACTGTATACTTTAAAAGGATTAAAATGGTACAGTTTATGCTACGTGTATTTGACCAAATTTTAAAAAAATCACTAAGGTTCCTTGTGAATCTGATAAAATTTCAGTGGAGGGAAAGGACAACAAGGCTCTTTGATGTAAAATTATTAAGAGAGTTGGAAGAGGTGGCCCCTCTATCAATAGGGGATAGACGAGAGGGAATGGTAGTTCTGGGGCTAGGTGGTAGCTGATGGTGAAACCTGGCTCGGTCTCACCCTTTGGGGACTGTGTTTGTGTCCTAAGATGGTGGATGTGTGGGTAACTCGAGCAAGTTGAAACTTGGGAGCCCAGGCTTGGGCTCCCTCAAAGGATAGCAGTGACCATGGTAGGAAGCCCAGGGACCAAGGTAGGAAGTCCCAAGATCCAGTGGTGATCTGAAAAAGCAAGAAATTGAGCTTTGGCTTGGTGGCATCCCCATGGTCAGCAGAGTTGGGGAGCAGCCGACCCCTTTAGACAAGCCTGGCTCTCTGGTCTGTCCTCATCCTGCACTCCCTTCACCAGTTTCTCTTAAATGCTGGGTCCTGCAGGCCTAGCAGGTTTCTATTTCTGCTTCAGTGTGCCCTGCATCCCTCCCAGCAGGAGAGACAGTAGTTCCTGACTATCAGACCGGCTGGTCTGAGTTGTGGCTTTAAGAAGAGAAGAGGACACCTGGGGTCCCTGGGGAGACATGAGGGGACCACGGCCTAGAGAGGGAAGCACTGACCGGGGCATGTGGCATGTGACTGCCCCAGTTCTGCATGCTCATTCCAGTTCAGGCAACTGTTCCTCTAGAATACACAGCTACTGCCTCATTTAAAATGAATGGAGCTGGCTGGGCACAGTGGCTCACGCCTGTAATACCAGCACTTTGGGACGCCGAGGTGGGCAGACCACCTGAGGTCAGGAGTTCGAGACCAGCCTGGCCAACATGGCAAAACCCAGTCTCTACTAAAACTACAAAAATTAGATGGGGTGGTGCATGCCTGTAATCCCAGCTACTCGTGAGGCTGAGGCAGCAGAATTGCTTCAACCCAGGAGGCGGAGGTTGCAGTGAGGTGAGATCACACCACTGTACTCCAGCCTAGGCGGCAGAGTGAGACTCCCTCTTAAAAAATAAATAAATAAATAAATAAATAAATAAAGTTGATTAAGACAGTGGTCCCCAACCTTTTTGGCACCAGGGACCAGTTTCGTGGAAAACAGTTTTTCCATGGATGAGGGACTGGGGTTGGGGGATGGTTTTGGGATGATACAAGCACGTTACATTTATTGTGTACTTTCTTTCTATTATTATTACATTGTAATATGTAATGAAATAATTATACAACTCACCATCATGTAGAATCAGTGGCAACCCTGAGCTTGTTTTCCTGCAACTAAGTGGTCCCATCTGGGGGGTGATGGGAGATGGTGACAGATCATCTGGCACTAGTTAGATTCTCATAAGGAACATGCAGCCTAGATCCCTCACATGTGCAGTTCACAATAGGATTCATGCTCCTATGAGAATCTAATGCTGCCACTGATCTGACAGGAGGTGGAGCTCAGGTGGTAATGTGAGCGATAGGGAGTGGCTGCAGATACAGATGAAGCTTCCCTGCTCACTCGCCACTCACCTTCTGTTGTACCGCCTGGTTCCTAACAGGCCATGGACCGGTACCAGCATGTGGCTGCAGGGGCTGGGTACCTCCGAAATAAGGGGAACCCCCAAAGTAGCCCTATTTAATAGTTAGAGAGCTGAGTCAGGGACTTCTTTGGAAAATGTTGGATCTCATTTCTCAGGTTGTCTCACAGCATTCTTTTGTGACTTTAACTTATCTTTCAAGATAAAGTTGACACACATCCACATATGTAAAATCACTCCCTTCCAGTCTTGGAATCTGCTTTGTGAGATGCAGCTCCTCTGGCAAGTGAAGAGGTAGAAAGATGAACCAGGAAGAGGAAGGATGTGAGTGGCTGTGGCCTTTCTGAGCCGTTTGTTACTTTCTCACCTTGGAATTCCTGTATCATCCAAGACTGTTTCACCATTCTGCACCTCTTGCAGAGGCCAGTATCTCTCCCAGGAACACAATTACACTCCATCCCTTCTTTCCATGGTGAACTCTAGTTCGTCCTTCAAAACAGCCCAGGGGTTTTCTGACCTCTCCAAGGCTGGGTTCGATGCCCCTTTGTTTTCCCTTGCACTCACCAACTTCCCTAGTCTTACCATACCTTATTGATCTTATTCCTGTGTCTCCTCCTACACTTTAAGTTTCTCAAAGGCAGCTGGAATCAATCCATTCAAGTTTTAATTCCAGCTCCACCATATCCAGTACGACTTGGCAAGCCACTAAAACTCAGTTATCTCATCTGTAACATGGAGATAATCATTCCTGCCTTATTGGCTTGGCTTAGTGATTCAAATTTGTAAAATAGGCCGGGAGCAGTGGCTTATACCTGTAATCCCAGCCCTTTGGGAGGCCAAGGCGGATGGTTCACTTGAGGTCAGGAGTTCGAGACCAGCCTGACCAACATGGTAAAACCCTGTCTCTACTAAAAATACAAAATTAGCCAGGCCTGGTGGTGCACACCTGTATTCCCAGCTACTTGGGAGGCTGAGGCAGGAGAATTGCTTGAACCCGGGAAGTGGAGGTTGCAGTGAGCTGAGATTGCACCATTGCACTCCAGCCTGGGCAGCAAGAACGAAACTCCATCTCAAAAAAAAAAAAATGTAAAATATTTGGCCAGGCACAGTGGCTCTCACCTGTAATCCCAGCACTTTTAGAGGCCAAGGCTTGAGCCCAGGAGTTTGAGACCAGCCTGGGCAACATGGCAAGACTCTTTCTCTACAAAATAAAGAAAATAAAAAATGAAATAAAATTTGTAAGATACTTCAAACCATGCCTGGGAGATAAATGCTCAATAAATATGAGCTATAATAAAAATAAAAATAATTATTGTTGAAATTACTATTATTCATCTCTTTAATCTCAACGTCTAGCACAAAAGTTGGTATGAAGTAAGCAGTCAGTGTTAAATAGAACTGTGGTTAATGCATTAACTGTGGTGAACCTAGAACTGTGCTGTTCTATATAGTAGCCACCAGCTACATGTGTCTGTTGAGCACTTGAAATGAAGTATGTTGTAAGTGCAAAAACACACAGTGTTGAAGACTTAGCATGTAAAACAGAAAGTAAGATAACTCATAAATAATTTTTTATTTTTATTTTTTTGAGACAGGATCTCAGGCTGGAGTGCAGTGGCACAATCTTGGCTTACTGCAGCCTCAACCTCCCAGGCTCAAGCAATCCTCCCATATCAGCCTCCTGAGTAGCTGGGACTACAGGTGTTCACCACCACACCCAGCTAATTTTGTTTATTTTTTATAGAGATGACGTCTCACTATGTTGCCCAGGCTGGTCTTGAACACCTGGGCTTGAGCAATCCTCCTGCCTTGGCCTCTCATAGTACTGGGATTTACAGGCATGAGTCACCATGCCCAGCATAATTTTTTTTAATATTAATTACATGTTGAAGTAATAAGATTTTGAATGTTTTAGGTTAAGTGAGATATATTCTTGTTTGTTTGTTTGAGATGGAGTTTCTCTCTTGTCGCCCAGGCTGGAGTGCAATGGCACAATCTCAGTTCACTGCAACCTCCCCTCCCGGGTTCAAGCAATTCTCTTGCCTCAGCCTCCTAAGTAGCTGGGATTACAGGCACCCGCCACCGCACTCAGCTAATTTTGGTATTTTTAGTAGAGAGGGGGTTTCACCATGTTGGCCAGGCTGGTCTCGAACTCCTGACCTCAGGTGATCTGCCAGCCTCGGCCTCCCAAAGTGCTGGGATTACAGGCGTAAGCCACCGTGCCTGGCCAAGTGAAATATATTCTTAAAAATAATCTTACCTGCTTGCTTTTACTTTTTAAAATGAGATGCCAGGAAGTTTAAAGTTACAAATGTGGTGGCTGCATTATCTTTCTATTGGACAGCACACACCTATTCATTCTTAACCTACTATTACTATAGCAAATCTTCACACAACCTCATTTATGCTCAAATATGATGTAAGCTCTAGGAGTGTCAATAATTCATTTAGGACGATGATTCATTGAGAATCAAAAGTACATCCAACTGGTTTGTAAAGGATTTTCCATGCAGGGTTAATAAGCTAGTGTACAGAAGTGTGTCGAAAAGGGACTAAAGTTTTACTGGGATTTTCCAGGTTCGCTGTGATCCTGAGATTCAAGAACTGCGTCAGTGGCAGAAGAAACTTCGCGAGGCCAAGCACATTCACCAGCAAGTCAAAATTTTCTGGGCCAAGCAAGAACAAAAAGGTAAGTTGCTGGATTCACTGTCCTTAGTTCATTCAAGAAAAGCCTGATTCTTATTCCAGGCTCAAGAAGGAGGCCCTCTGAGCTTTTGTAAGGTCCTTGTCTGCATGGAACTCAGCTTGTGCATGGGGGAAGTGGCTGCATATTAAGATTCTGCTATGGAATGACAGAGGTGATGTGATATAATTTACAGGGCCATTTCTCTCCCACAGGGACAAATTCAGTGTCTCCCTGTGTCTGCAGTTTCTATTTTTGAAGCTACAAGACATCAAGAATAACCCATTATTTTGGAAACACAGTGTCTATCAGTATGATGGATAGTTATAGTTATTCTTCTAAGTTGTTGATTGTGTGTCTGAACTCAGATGGTATTTTATGCTTGTCTTCTCCCCTTTTGCGATGGCTAATTTTATGTGTCAACTTGACCGGGCTGTGAGATGCCCAGATTAAACATTATTTCTAGATCTGTCTGTCAAGGTGTTTCCAGAGAGATTAGCATTTGAATTGATTGACCAAATAAAGCAGATGGACCTCCCTAATGGGCTTCATCCAATCTGTTAAGGGCCTGAATAGAACAAAATGGTGGAGGAAGGTTGCATGGACTCTGCCTGGCCATGTGAGCTGGGGGCCTTGATCTTCTGCCCTTGGTGCTCCTGGCTCGCAGGCCTTCAAACCCAGACTAGAATCTACACTATTGGTTCTCTGGACTTCCTAGGTCTCTAGCTTGCAAATGGCAGATTGTGGGACTTCTCAGTCACCATAATTTCATGAGCCGATATCTTCTTTTTTTTTTTTGAGACAGAGTCTCACTCTGTTCGCCCAGGCTGGAGTGCAGCGGTGTGACCTTGGTTCACTGCAACCTCCGCCTTCTGGGTTCAAGTGATTCTCCAGCCTCAGCCTCCTGAGTAGCTGGGATTACAGGCTTGCTCCACCACGCCTGGGTAATTTTTGTATTTTTAGTAGACACAGGGTTTCACCATGTTGGCCAGGCTAGTCTTGAACTCCTGACCTCAAGTGATCTGCTGCCTCGGCCTCCCAAAGTGCTGGGATTACAGGCATGAGCCAGCGCGCCTGGCTGATACGTTTTCTTTCTTTTCTTTTTTTTTTTTTTTTTTTTGAGATGGAGTCTCGCTCTGTCGCTTAGGCTGGAGTGCAGTGGCCGGATCTCAGCTCACTGCAACCTCCGCCTCCTGGAGTCAAGCAATTCTCCTGCCTCAGCCTCCCGAGTAGCTGGGATTACAGGTGCCTGCCACCATGCCCGGCTAATTTTTGTATTTTTAGTAGAGACAGGGTGTCACCATACATATCGGCCAGGCTAGTCTCAAACTCCTGACCTCAGGTGATCTGCCCGCCTTGGCCTCCCAAAGTGCTGGGATTACAGGCATGAGCCACCGTGCCCAACCTGATATGTTTTCAAATGGGGAAAATTAAATTGCAGAACTATAAGTTTTTATTCATATAAAAAAATATGCATGGCCTGTAATGTAATCCTAGGACTTCGGGGGCCTGAGGCGGGTGGATCACCTGAAGTCAGAAGTTCAAGACCAGCCTGGCCAACATGGTGAAACCCTGTCTCTACTAAAAATACAAAAATTAGCCGGGCATGGTGGCGGGCACCTGTAATCCCAGCTACTTGAACCCAGAAGGCAGAGGTTGCAGTGAGCCGAGATCGTGCTACTGCACTTCAGCCTAGGCAACACAGCCAGACACCGTCTCAAAAAAAATATATATATATATAAATATATATATAAAATATATATTATATATATTTTTATATATTTTTATATATATAATTAAATATATTTTAATTATTTAATTATTTAAATTATATATAAATATATAATTATATATATAATTAAATATATATAAATATATATTATATATATGCATGGAAACACAGAGATGCTAAACAGTCTGGAAAGAAAATTATTGGTAGTTACCTTTGAGAATTTGGACCAGAGGGGTGGAACCACACTGTTGGAATCTTTTAGATAAGCATATAGTACTTTATAATTATGAGAAACTACAAAAAATAGTCATACATCCCTCAGCAGGCCACAGGCCATCATGCCTTGGGTCGTCTAACCTCCCCATCCTACCCTGTCCCCATCCTCCCTCAGTGGGCTGCAGCCCCTCTAGTCTCTTTTCTGCTCTTACAATGTGCCAATGCCTTCTTCACCGTGAGACTCTGTACTTCCTATTCCTTTTTTTTTTTTTTCTGAGACAGAGTCTCGCTCTGTCACCCAGGCTGGAGTGCAGTGGCGCAATCTCAGCTCACTGCAACCTCCACCTCTGGGGTTCAAGCGATTCTCATGCCTCAGCCTCCCAAGTAGCTGGGATTACAGGCGTTTGCCACCATGCCCAGCTAATTTTCGTTTTTTTCGTAGAGACGGGGTTTCACCATGTTGGCCAGGCTGGTCCTGACCTCCTGACCTCAAGTGATCCTCCTTCCTCGGCCTCCCAAAGTGCTGGGATTACAGGCATCAGCCACCATGCCTATTGCTCAGCCAGGATGGAGAACCTAAGGAGATGTGAGATGCCCAGTTGTTTTGTGCTTTCTTTAAAATGTGGAGTCCTTTAGGCCTGTGCTCTCGGCTCTGGGCAACAAGTCCCGCTGATGCTTGACTGTACAGCTGCTATTAGGTTGGTGCAAGAATAATTGCAGTTTTTGCCATTAAAAATAATGACATTAAATGCAATTACTTTTGCCCCAACCTAAATTTATTTACTGGACAATTGTCTTCCCCACTAGCATGTAACCTGCATGAAATAATAGGACACATTGACATCATGGTACCTCCTGATGTGATGTGTCTGCCTGGCTTAACTCCTAGTACAGTGCCTGGCACAAAGTGAGCACCAGATAAATATCAGTTGAACGAATGAATGAATGAATGAATGAATGAATGAATGAATGGAGCTGTGAGGTTTAAATGAGTCAATAAACAAAGTTCCTGGTGCAGAGTAGGAGCACATCAAATTGGTGATCTAAGCTGCCCTTGTAAAGAAGCAGCTTGAGCTATCACTGTTTGGCTGGCTCAGCACAGGCCTCTGTTCCATGCACAACTGCAGTTTCATTTGGCTTCAAAACTGGAAGGCAATCAGGGCTGTAATCAGTTTAAAGGTCGAGGAAAGTGCAGCATGCCTATTTCTTTCTGTTGGTCTGTATTCTTTGGATTTGATTTGCAGTTGGTTGATTGACTGATTGGGCTCGCTTCGGAGCAGGGAGAATAGACTGGAGTTCATGCTTTTATCCAGCCTGCAGCAGAGGGGCTGGAGGGGCTGGTGGAAGCAGTTCCATTTCCACCATCTGCTGCTGGCTTCCCGTGCCACCTTCCAAGGGCTCCAGAAGGAGTGAGCCGTGCTTTCCAAACAAGAAACACCTCTTCAGTAAATACCCCAGTGTGAACCCATGGATAGGTTCCCATATACGCTGAGACCGTGAAATGGCCTTTGGGCAAACAAGCCAATTCTGAAGTCTGTCCCCAGGTCTGTGATCAGTTAAGAAGGAAGTCAGGACAGCAGAAAGGACAGGTAAAGGACCGGGCTTTGGAGTTGGCCAGACCTGCCTTTGGAATCCTAACTACCACTTCTATCCATGTGACCCTGATCTACTGAACTTCATGAAGCTTTAGTTTTCCCTTGTGCAAAATGGGACTAGTAATAATAGTGTCTATCTCGTACAAGTGTTATTACAAGATTATAAGAGATGATGATCTTTAGAACAAGTCCTGGCACATAGTTCCCATAAATGTTAGTTATTGTCATGATAGTATTATTAAAATATTTGTGTTGATTTCTTCCAATAGACTCCAAGCTCCATGGGCTTTCATGTAGGACCGTGTTTGTCTTATTCATCATGAGCCTGGCACAGAGCAGATGGTCTGAACATATTTAGGGGATGAAGCTCTGGGCTTCATTTTACATATGAAGAAATGAAGTTCCAGCAAGATTGAATGACTTGCCCAAGGTCACACAGCAGAGGAGAGCCTGGGGCTGGGCCCAGGACTTCCCTTTCTCTGTCCAGTGTTCTAACATATCCTGGAGGACAGATGCAGAGAGCTAAGACATTCTCTTAGATTCTGCTCTCAGACCCAGCTTCTCAGGAATCTTCTGGAACATGACATATGACCTGTTCAGTTTCCTCTCTGGGCTTCAGGGTTCTTGCTGTTTATGTTTTCATGGACTGAAGCCTCCAGCTAGGGGCTGAATTACGAGAAGC
Organism: Homo sapiens; assembly: GCF_000001405.40. Classification (NCBI taxonomy): domain Eukaryota; kingdom Metazoa; phylum Chordata; class Mammalia; order Primates; family Hominidae; genus Homo; species Homo sapiens. The sequence goes on from NC_000016.10 coordinate 19,831,357, forward strand.
AGAGTACAACCTGCTGCACACCAGGTGAAGCAGAACTTCTTGTTCCCTTTAACTGTCGCCGAGTTGAATCACTTTGTTAAGCTCATGCGCTAGAGTTACTTCCTATTTTAAACCTTATGAATCTGGGTAGTGTGGGGGGTTACAAAATAAATCTCCCCAGCCAAGGTGACACCTCAATTAGACCTCAAAGGCTTGCAGTGAAGCAGTTTGAAAATGGATGTTAAGCACATGCTAGTTCTCCTTTAGACTTGCAATAAAAAATAGTGGAGTGATTGCAAATGAAAATGGTTTTTCAACTTCATTAAAAAAAAAAAAAGCTCATCTATGTACAAATCCAGGAGACAGGCATATCTTTTTAAGTTGTTGCCATTTTATCCACATTGTGCTCCGGCATTTACAGTACAAAGAGATTTTACCAAGTTCATAGCTTAGAGCAACCTTGGGCAGTCAGGAGGTCTGAGGGAGAGTCACATCAGCTGTCGGGGTGGAATTGTGGTCATATATAGCCTGTCTCACATTACAGTGAGTCAGAGACTGACTGTCCCAAACAGTATTTTCTTCTAGGATGGAAGCGGTGTGAAGTTATCTTCAAGTCTCTATCCATCAGGACAGATGCAGGAATTATTTTAAAACGTGTATGGTAAGAATTTCAGCCAATGTAGTTTAAAATAAGATGCCCAAGTCATTTTTGAGATGTAGTAAAAAATATCGTGTCTCGATTAATAGCATATTTTTAGCCTCACATAGTCAGTAATTGTTTTCAAATGTGCTTTGTAATTGAATATCCATATTTTATTTAGAAATCTAGTATGAGCAGGGAGAAAGAAACCATAGAAATTGTTCCCATAACATCAGATTACATTACCTATGTGTGTGTATATATATATGCACACACATATATATACATCATATATATCATCAGATAAATTTATCATGTATGTGTTTGTGTGTATATTCTTTATATATGCACAAATAATCTCTAAATAACTATCACTTCTTAACGTTTTGAAGAAAAGGCAGAGACTTGGAGAGATTGATCTGTCAAAGGAAATGAATTGTCTACTTTTTGTTTGCTTAACTGTTTTATTTCCTACTTCATTCCAAGAGTGGTTTTTAGTAGTTACGGAAATACACACAATATGATATTTTTAGGTAAAGGTGGTAATTAAGGAATAATTAAGATTAGGGAAAAAAATAAAGCCACTCAGTTCTGTAAGTAAAATACTTAACTTCAAGGCCTAGGCTGACAAATACAAATTATATATATTCAAGGTGTGCAACATGATGATTTAATATTCGTATACTGTATTAGTCCATTTTCACACTGCTATAAAGAATACCTGAGACTGGGTAATTTATAAAGAAAAGAGGTTTAATTGACTTACAGTTCTGCATGGCTGGGAGGTCTCAGGAAACTTAAAATCATGGCGGAAGGCAAAAGGGAAGCAAGGCACGTCTTATATGGCGGCAGGAGAGAGAGAGAGTGAGGGGGGAACTGTCAAACATAAACCATCAGATCTCATGAGAACTCACTCACTATCATAAGAACAGTATGGGGGAAACCTCCCCCATGATCCAGTCACCTCCCACCAGATCCCTCCTTCCACACATGGGGATTACAATTCAAGATGAAATTTGGGTGGGGACACAGAGCCAAGCCGTATCATACATACTGTGTAATGATTACTATGATCAAATTAATGAACACATCTATCACCCTTAGTTACGATTTGTGTGTGTGTATGTGTGTGGTGAGGACACTTAAAATCTGCTCTCTTACCAATTTTTAAATAAACAATTCAGTATTATTAACTGTAGTTACCATACTTTACATTAGATCCCCAGAACTTATTCATCTTATAACTGAAAGTTTGTACCCTTTGACCAACATAGAAGTTTCTTAGGAAAACCTGCCAAAGTAAGATGGAAATAGAATCTATTACATAAATTCACAGTGTCCATAAGAAAAAAGACAAAGGGCCATTTGTTCGGGAAATACTCAGCGCTTCCCTAATACATTATGCAATGTGAATCATGGCCTCAAAAATGTTCCTATAGTGAATAGAAATATGGCTCTGAGCTTCCAGGAAGCCACAACAATAAAGGAAATACGATTATTAATGATTTATTGTGTCCTCAAGATTAAGTGAGTTTCTTGGAAGCACACCTTCCTGGAGCTGAGACTTGATTTTTCTTTCATAAAGAGGACACTATAACATACTGAACACCATTTTATTCCCAAATATAGTAAGTTTCTTAGAGCAGTGTTTCCTTCTAGAGGGAAAACATGAAAGCCCAGAGTAGAGGGTGGAGACCAGAGAAAGTTCTTTTCCCTAATTTTAATTTAGACCACAATGACAAATCCTAGCGATTAGGATTTCCCTGTGGTTTAAAGGCTATTCTTAAGATGAACACCTCATCTTACCGCCCCACCTGCTTGTGACCTTAGGATTTGCTGGAGGCTGTGGTCACAGCTGTAATCCCAGTGCTTTGGGAGGCCAAGGTGGGAGAATTGCTTGAGCCTAGGAGTTCGAGACCAGCCTGGGCAACACAATGAGACCCCGTCTCTACAAAAAATAAAATTAGCCAGGCGTGCTAGCACACTCCTGTAGTCCCAGCTACTCAGGAAGCTGAGGTGGGAGGATTGCTTGAGCCTAGGAACCCGAGGCTGCACTGAGCGGTGACTGCACCACTGCACACCAGCCTGGGTAATGAGCAAGACCTCATCTCAGAATAAATAAATACATAAGATATGCTGGAACTTAGTTCTTTCCTTCCTAGCCCATGTAATTGGGTGCATTGCCGAGAGCAAAGAAGGATGTCTGCAACTAAGGAGTAGCTACGAGCGATGGAGCTTATGCCATGTGCCAGACACTACACTAAGCACCTTATGTTTCCACGTAGTCCTCACACATGGTATCTCAGAGAGGTGAGATCATCTCCATCGTACAGATGAGGAAACCGGGGCTGGGAGGATACATGGCTTGCACAAGTCCACGCAGCCAGTCAGGCCAGAGACCAGGGATTTGAACCCGGATCTACCTGATGCCAAAGAGGCTAGAGCCATCCCAGGCCATGCTGTTCTGTAACCCAAGTGCCCAATAGGCCACAGTGGTCCAGTGCAAAGCTTCTCAGCATGGTAACTAAGGACCCACAGGCTGGACAGCAGGCAGTGTCTGGCTATGCCTCCCAGCCTGCACCCTGACACTGGAGTGACCACAGACCACTAGTATAGGGGAGGCTTGGCAGTAGAGGAGGCTGAGAGCCCCATTCAAAGGCTGCAGGATCTACATGAGTGTTTTGGGGAGATATTTTCACTAAAGCAAGAAACCAGGGTTAAGTGAATAAGGATAAGAATATTCTTTTCTCCCTCTTTCCAAATCCTCTGTCCATCTACATTTGAGGAGCAGAGAAAGGTTTGGCCACCAGAGAGGGAACCTGGGTACCAGGAACACTCTAGCCTGTGGCTCAGGAAGTGAGTTCTACCATTAGTTGAGAACCTTTGTGACCAACAGTCTATCATCTAACAAAAAAGGTCAAGTTTTAGTGATGTATTTTCCAAAGACAATCACTGTTGAGTATATCAGCCCATAGTTTTCCCATTCATCTATCAACATACAAATATAAGCCAGGTGCGGTGGCTCATGCCTATAGCTCCAGCACTTTGGGAGGCCGAGGCAGGCGGATCACTTGAGGCCGGGAGTTTGAGATCAGCCTGGCCAACATGGTGAAACCCCGTCTCTACTAAAAATACAAAAAAATTAGCCAGGCATGGTGGCACATGCTTGTAGTCCCAGCTACTTGGAAGGCTGAGGCATGAGAATTGTGTGAACCAGGAGGTGGAGGTTGCAGTGAGGTGGAGGTTGCAGTGAGCCGAGATCACACTACTGCACTCTAGCCTGGGTGACAGAGCAAGACTCTGTCTCAAAAAAATAAAAAACGTAAATATATATATTTATAAACATGTAACCATATTATATATGCTGTACTGTAACTGGCTTGTTTTTTCTTCACTTGGCAATATATCATTGCCATCTGCTTCATGCCAGCACACACAGATCTATCCCATTATTTTTAGTGGCTCCATAAAAATGATAGCGCTGTACCATACTTTTGTAAAACCAATTCCTATGAATGGATAGTTGGCTTGTATTATGAACAATGCTCCATAAACATTGTTGTAACTATATTCTAGCTTGCTTGTAGAAGTATTTCTTTTTCTTTTCTTTTCTTTTTTTTTTTTTTTGAGACAGAGTCTTGCTCTGTCGCCCAGACTGAAGTGCAGTGGCACAGTCTTGGGTCACTGCAACATCCACCTCCCGGGTTCAAGTGATTCTCCTGCCTCAGCCTCTTGAGTAGCTGGGATTATAGGCGAGTGCCACCACACCCAGTTAATTTTTGTATTTTTAGTAGAGACGGGGTTTCACCATGTTGGCTAGGCTGGTCTCGAACTCCTGACCTCAGGTGATCCACCTGCCTCGGCCTCTTAAAGTGCTGGAATTACAGGCGTGAGCCATCATGCCCAGCCTTGTAGAAGTACCTCTATAGGATTAATTCCTAGAAGTGGAATTGCTGGGTCAAAGGACACCCACATATTAAATTTAGACAGTGATCACCATACTGTCATCCAAAAATGTTATATTAATTTATACTTAATGCTACCAACCCACTGTGGGACTTTTGATGGATGATGTCATCTTTGTGCTACATTTTCTCTACTTGTAAAATGAGAATTCTTATGCCTTAGTAATAATTCTAAATGAGGTCATTGTTTTGATAGGACCATGGCTCCTTCAGAAGAAATATATCTGTAAATCTAAGGTGTCATTTTCATTTTCATTTTTTTCTTTCATAGTTCCTCAAAACTTAGTTCCTTCTCCATTTTAACCTGAAAAATAAATAATTTGATTAAGAGACATCTAGTGACTTCATGCCTTGGCACTGCCTTCACCAATTCTATTTTTAGGACTCACCAGTGTCTGGGGATGTTTGGATGACATCAACTTTTACACATATCTTTTCATTTAAAATTTGCAAAAGTCTGCACAGCTATGACATGACAGAAGCCTCCCACTGCAATGCCTGAAGATCCCTACTGTTCTGAGATTAAAAAATAAAAGATGATTTCCTTTCTTAATGATTTGCCCTAAAAGTTCAAGATCCTGTATTGAAGTTTATGCGAATGACCACTTCCAACTTCATGAGCTTCATCTCTGATGTGATCTCGGCTCACTGCAACCTCCGCCTCCCGGGTTCAAGTGATTCTCCTGCCTCAGCCTCCCGAGTAGCTGGGACTACAGGCGCACGCCACCACGCCTGGCTAATTTTTGTATTTTTAGTAGAGATGGGGTTTCACCATGTTGGCCAGGATGCTCTTGATCTCTTGACTTTGTGATCCGCCCGCCCTGGCCTCCCAAAGTGCTGAGATTACAGGCGTTAGCCACCGTGCCTGGCTGATGCGGAATGCTTTTGAAGGATATAGATAAATCTACAAACCCCTAGACGGCTCATGACCAGATTGGGCTAAGTTTCCCATTTCTCACTGTGCAACCTCGAGCAGGTTGCTTAACCTCTCTGTGACTCAGTTTGTCTGGCAATACAATGGCAATACTAATACTAGTAACCAAGCCATAGAGTTTTTGTGAGGATTAAATGAACTGGAATAGTGCCTGGCCCATAATAAGTGATCAATAAATGATAATTATTATTAATTAAGCAAAGCATTCAACATATCATTAATACATATTGTTAAGAATATTGGCAGCCAGGTGCAGTCACTCATGCCTGTAATACCAACACTTTGGGAGGCCAAGATGGGAGGATCACTCGAGAGCCCAGGAGTTCGAGACCAGCCCGGGCAACACAGAGAGACTATCTCTACAAAAAATATGAAAACTAGCTGGGTATGGTGGTCTGTGCATGTGGTCCCAGCTACTTGGGAGGCTGAGGCAGGAGGATCTCTTGGTCTTGGGAGGTCGAGGCTTCAGAAAGCCATGATCACGCTGCTGTACTCCAGCATGGGCAACAGAATAAGACCCTGTCTCAAAAAAATAAAAATAAAAAGATTGGCTTTGGAGGGTCTGACAGAACCGAGCTCCTGCCTTTTACCATCAGGATGGTTCCTGGGCAAGTTGTTAATCCTCTCCAGGCTGTTTTCTCCTCTGTTGTGTGGGGACAATTAGGATCTGTCACAAAGGGCTACTGTGAGGATTAAGTAAAACAGCCGTGTATGGAATTAAATAGATCTCTGGCACAAAGTGAATGGTCAGTAACTGGTGGCTGGTTTTAGTAATATTTTTTAAAGCTGTCAGCAAAAATAAAGTTTTTATTCCAGGTAATTTATGTACAGCAGTGGTTCTCAATGCTGGCTGCAGATTAGAATCTCCTGGGGGAAATTTATAAGCTGTGTCAGGCTAGAGGCCAGAAAAAGTGATTACATGGGTTTATTCTTGGTAGAGAATGTGTTGTAACCACATCAGCAAAGCCCTAATACTATGGATTAGCTACAAGATCCCAGTAATAGCTTTGGATTCAAAATCTTCCTTTGCGAGGCTCTTCTCACTAATGCAGTTTCATTTGGTCTAAAATTCAGGGGATCTGAGTTCCTGTTCGACTGTGCAATTTACCAGCTACATGGACCTTGTTTTCTGCTTTGAAAAATTGAATGGTTGAATCAGGAAATCTCTATAACAGCAAAACAGAATATCCCATAGGTGTTTGCTGTAGAATATCCTGCCTCCCAGGCAAGAGGCCTGCTGTCTGGGCGAATCTAAACCTTGAAAACCTGTTGATGCCGTTTTGGTGGCTGTTGCCGGGTTTGGGAGTTTGGTCTCAACGTTGAAGGCAAGAACAATAGATGGTGAATGTTCTGCCCACTACTGGGCTTTTGTTGGGGAAAGCGAGGTGGGATCACTGGGGGAGGCAGAGAGTAAATCCGGAAGTTTAGAGGGTGAGGCAGAGAAGAGGGAGGCATGAATTCGGTATTTGGCAATTTGGGAAAGTTTGGAGGAAAAGAGTAGGGAGGTTTAAAGGAGATTTTTGTGAAGTTTGATCACATGTTTGAGAAGGTAGGAAGCACATATTCTGGAAGGAGGCTCCTCCTGTCACTACATTTGAACCTGTCACACCCAGAATGACTCTTTCTGAATGCAAGTTGGAGCTAACCGGGAGGGCAATGGGAAATTCTGTCTGCCTTGTCAAGCTGGGGCCCGGCCTACAGGACAGCATTGCCTACCTGTGGCTGCCAAACGTTGCGTGTCTGCAAAGATCCGCAATCCTCATAGCAGCTCTGATTTAGAGTGCCAACTACACGCCAGGCACTTTGCATATATTATTTCTAATCTTCACAGCAAACAGAATGAGTAGAAATTATTATTGCCCAGCCGGGCACAGTGGTTCATGCCTGTAATCCCAGCTCTTTGGGAGGCCGAGGTGGGCAGATCATTTGAGGTTAGGAGTTCGAGACCAGCCTGGCCAACATGGTGAAACCCTGTCTCTACTAAAAATACAATAATTAGCCAGGCATGATGGCAGGTGCCTGTAATCCCAGCTACTCGGGAGGCTGGGACTGCAGAATTGCTCGAACCTAGGAGGCAGAGGTTGCAGTGAGGCAAGATCACGCCACTGCACTCCAGCCTGGGCCACAGAGTGAGACTCCATAGCAAAAAAAAAAAAAAAAAAAAAAAAGGAAGCTATTATTGCCTCTATCTTTCAGGGGAGGAAACTGTGTCTCAGAGGTTAAATCATTCACCTTTGGTCACACAGCTTTGAAGTGGCAGAACTGAGAAAATTTATTTATTTATTTATTTATTTATTTATTTTGGAGATAGGGTCTCACTCTGTCACCCAGGATGGAGTGCAATGGCATGATCTTGGCTCACTGCAACCTCCACCTCCAGGGTTCAAGGGTTCCTCCTGCCTCAGCCTCCCGAGTAGCTGGGATTACAGGCGCACGCCATCACACCCTGCTAATTTTTGTATTTTTAATAGCAATGAGGTTTTACTATGTTGGCCAGGCTGGTCTCGAACTCCTGACCACAAGTGATCCACCCTCCTCGGCTTCCCAAAGTGCTGGGATTACAGGTGTGAGCCACCACACCCGGCCAGTCACCCAGGATTTTAATGATTTATTTTGTTTATTGTCTATGTGACTGCACTAGAATGTAAGTTCTCTGACAGCAGGGACCTTTCTTTCCTATTTTGTTCATTGCTCTGTCCTCAGCATCTAGAACAGTGCCCAGCACATGGTAGACAGTCAAGGAATACTTGTTGGTTGAATGAATGGATCTGTGTTACATAACCTCCTTCCCAGATCAGCCAGCTTGCCAAACGCTCTATGGGCAAGTAAACAGAACTGAGGCTGGACACAGTGGCTCACACCTGTAATCCCAGCACTTTGGGAGGCCAAGTTGGGAGGATCACTTGAAAAGTTCGAGACTAGCCTGGGCAGTGTTAAGAGACCCTGTATCCACTAAAAAAATAAAAAATAAATAACTGGGTAGCGTGGTGCATGCCTGTAGACCCAGCTGCTCAGGAGGCTGAAGCAGGAGGACCTCTTAAAGCTCAGGAGGTTGAGGCTGCCGTGAGCTATGGTTGTGCCACTGCACTCCAGCCTGGGAGACAGAGCAAGACCCTGTCTCCAAAAAAAGAAAAATAAAGCAAACAGAACTGTTTCCAAAAAAAAAAAAAATTAAGGGAAGATATATGCTTACATATAATATATAAATGGATAAAGACCGCCTGTAATCTCAGGACTTTGGGAGGCCAAGGCTGGTGGATCACCTGAGATCAGGAGTTCAAGACCAGCCTGGGCAACATGGTGAAACCCTGTCTCTACTAAAAATACAAAAATTAGCTAGGTGTGGTGGCAGGCACCTGTAATCTCAGCTACTTAGAAGGCTGAAGCAGGAGAATCGCTTAAACCCGGGAGGTGGAGGTTGCAGTGAGCCAAGATCGCACCATTGCACTCCAGCCTGGGCGACAGAGCGAGACTCCGTTTCAAAAAATAATAATAAAGAAAGAAAGACAAAAAGTCCATTAAAATATAATCCCCAGATGCTAATAGTGATTATCTCTGGGTGGTTGTAATGCAGGCGATTGATGAGTTGATTGATTTTTGCCTTTTTTTCTAAAACAGAAATGCAAGTGATTATTTTTCTTTTTCGATTATCCATAATTTCTAAAAATAATAAAAAGGAGTGTTTGTTTACATTCATTGTGCACTTACTATGAGGCAAGCATTTTCCCAAGCACTTTACTAGTAGCAACTCAATTATTCTTTACACCTTTGAAGTAGTTACTGCTATGGTCTCCATTTTATAGATGAAGAAACTGAGGCAGAGAGAGGTCAAACAGTATATCTGGGGCCACACAGCAAAAACATAGCAGAACCAAGCAGCTTGACTCCAGAGTCCTCCCTCTCTCTCTCCTCATTAGGCTGCAATGCACAGATGTTATTTATGGAGTTCAAACACTCAAGAGAAATCTGTTGGTGTTCAGTTTCCTGCAAAGTCCATTAGGACTTCTGGTTGCATTGCCAAGGGCATGAAGCACATGCTTCTTTATGCCTGTGAGCCTGCCTTAAAGAGTAACGATCCCGCCCACCAAATTGTCCCTGCTTCTCTCTGTGAGCACCAGTCCAAGGCTGTTGACACATGGTGTTCACCCTTAGGATCTAAATTTAGGATGTGAACAGCTAAAGCGTCTTGCCAGTTTTCATATTCAACTCTCATTATCTCTTTTAAATTATCTTTTTAAAAATAATTTAAAACCTGTCCCCATATCAAAGCAATACATTCTCATTATGAAAAACACAGAATAGTAGCAAGAGATCTAAAAAAGGTACCCACCTCACTGTCACTGGTAATACTTTGGTGGCTACGAAACCTTTTCAAAAATGCCTTACTTTGCCAGATCTGAGTAGGAGGGAGATGGGGGAGACTAAGGAATCTTTTGCATGAGCCCTACTGTTGCCACGTGCATTGGAATTGCCCTCATTTTCTTCTCGTGGCATCCAGAGACTTGTCACTTAAGAGGTTTCAAAGTGACATTTGAAGCTGTTCAGGATGAGCAGCTAATAATAGTAGAAAGAGTCCTAGGCTTAGAGTCCCAAGACCTGCATTGGAACCCTGGCTGGCAACTTCCTAGCTGTGTGTCCTTGAGCAAGGCACTTAACCTTCCTGATCACTCATCTTTTAGATGCAGAATGAAATTAACACTCTCCCTGAAAACCCAACTGAGAGACAAGTTTATTTGTGTTAAAACAACAACAACTTGAGCTAATTTCACCTACAAATTCTTACTGGCTATGTGACCTTGAACAAGTTACTTAACTCTTCTAGCTTTCGGTTTTTTCACCTGTACAATGGAAATAAAAGCATCCCTCTCGCTGGATTCCAAAATGAGATAATGCTTGTAATGAATATGCTTAGTCCAATGCCTCATAAACATTAGGTGATCAATAATGATCAGTGTCTACCATTGTAAGCCATCTTTTTTTTTTTTTTTGAGACGCAGTTTTGTTCTTGTCACCCAAGCTGGAGTTCAGTGGTGCGATCTCAGCTCACTGCAACCTCCACCTCCTGGGTTCAGGCAATTCTCCTGCCTCAGCCTCCTGAGTAGCTGGGATTACAGGTGCCCACCACCACGCCTAGCACATTTTTGTATTTTTAGTAGAGACAGGGTTTCACCATGTTGGCCAGGCTGGTCTCGAACTCCTGACCTCAGGTGATCTGCCCACCTCAGTATCCCAAAATGCTGGGATTACAGGTGTGAACCACCACACCCGGCCCCATATCATTTTTGAATCATTTTAGAGCAGTGTCTTTTCCCACTGAGTGGTGAAATCAATTAATGGGTTGCCAAAAACATTTTGAAAAATGAAGTACAATATAGAGAACATATCAACATGCTTTGCTTATTGTAAGGGAAATACTTTTTGGAGAAATATTTGTTTGAGATGTGTTTGTGCATTGTAAAAGCAATGTAAAACATATTTTTTAAGTTGAAGGTGGCAGTTTAAATATATGAAAACCACTAAGTTAGATTATAAATTTGGTTCCCATGGTTTTAGATTTTCCCTGAATTTGCCAAGGTGGTGTGTCTTTGGCTTACAAACCAAGGTACCTTGGGAAATAACCATATTAATGTACTTTAACATCTTCTGTAAAATTTTTTCTTTGGGTCAAAATCCATTAAATCCTTTTCAAAAATAAATCCGTATGTGAAATGTCATCCAGCAAATGGTGCCAGGAAAAATGTTGCTTCCCTTGAAAATGGTTTGCTTCTTCCCTGACTTTCCCTTTGTGCCTTGTTGGCCAGGATGCTCAGAGTTCAATGTGAAACTCATTTATAGCAACGTCTTAAACGCTATAGTTAGCATATCTAAATTCTCCATTTCTCTTCACGCTTGGTTTTCTTTTTCTGTTTTGATTTACCATCTTTTATTATAAATTATCTCAAATCTTTTAAGGAAGGAAGCAGGATGTAAATACATTCAGGAGGAAAACAGTTGTTTTCCTTGCTTATAACACAGACAGCTTGTGAATCTCAGATGAGATAATGTATGGGGAAGAACATTAAACACTGGGAAGCCTGGCCCGGGGGAGTTGTCATTAGAGCATATCTGACTCTTGCAAAGGTGTAAGTTTTATCAGCTTTGTTGACAAGGAGAATAGGGCTGGCATTTGTTTTAACAGAATTGTTAAAAATAACTTTCTTCTTAACTGATTGTAGAAGTAATACTTGCTCTTTGTAGAAAACTAAACAAAAAAGTGGGTGATTCTGTCTCACCGCCTAGAGATGACCATTATTGAAATGTCATCTTTCTTTTTTTAAAAGTTTTATTGAGATATAATTCATATATCATGCAATTCAAAGTGTACAACTCAATGGCTTTTAGTATATCACAGATACTACAGATGTCACAGAATTTGCAACCATCACTAAATGAATTTTAGCACATTTTCATCACCCCCAGAAGAAACCCTACACCCTTTAGCCATTATCTCCCAAGACTTCCAATCCTCCCAGCCCCAGACAACCACTAATCTACTCTGTCTCTTTATGGATTTGCCTGGTCTGGACAGTTCATATAAATGGAATCATTCAATATGTAATCCTTTGTGACTGACTTCTTTCACTCAGCACAATGTTTGCAAAGTTTATCCATGCTGTAGCATGTGTCAGTACTTTACTCCTTTTTACAGCTTGTATTAGTCAGCTCAGGCTGCCATAATAAAATACCACAGACTTGACAGTTTAAACAACAGACATTTCTTCTCTCATAGTTCTGGAGACTGTAAGTCTGAGATCAAGGAACCAGCATGGTCAGGTTCTAGTGAGGGCTCTCTTCCCGGCTTGCAGACAGCCACCTTCTTGCTGGGTCATCACATGGGAGAGGGAGCTCTCTGGTGTCTCTACTTCTTCTTCTTGTAAGGGTACCAGTTCTACCAGATCAGGTATATACCCTTAACCTTAATCACCTCCTTAAAGGTCCTATCTCCAATACAGTTAGATGGTGGGAGTTAAGGCTTCATCATATGAATTCTGAGGGACATAACTCAGTCTGTAGCATGGCTGAGTAATATTCCATTGTATGAAGGTATCACATCTCACTTATCCATTAATCAATTGATGGGCATTTGAATTGTTTCCACTTTTTGGCTATTATGAATAATGCTGCTATGAATATTCATGTACAAGGTTTTGTGTACTCATATGCTTGCTTTTTTTTTTTTTTTTGAGACAGGGTCTGGCTCTGTCACCCAGGCTGGAGTGCAGTGGCACGACCTCGGCTCACTGCAAGCTCCACCTCCCAGGCTCAAGGGATTCTCCCACTTCAGCCTCCCAAGTAGCTAGGATTACAGGCACCTGCCACCACGCCCGGCTAATTTTTGTATTTTTAGTAGTGACAGGGTTTCACTATGTTGGCCCGGCGGTGTTGAACTCCTGACCTCAGGTGATCCGCCCGCCTTGGCCTCCCAAAGTGCTGGGATTACAGATGTGAGCCACTGTGTCTGGCCGGCCTTGTTGAAGACTTCAGAGTTGAACCCAATTTCAGCTGGGCCACACAGCATCAGGAGGGCTTTATAGGAAAGAAGAGTATGGGGCACATTGGAGATGGGTCGGATGACCCGGTGGCAGTAAGAACAGACAAAAGTGGACAGATTTAGGAGACATTTAAGGGGCAAAAATGACATAGATGAGATCAGTGATCTTTTCTAAAAATGTAGCTTTGTTTGTAGATAAATGTATTTCTCATCGTAGTAAGTGGTTGAAAACGTTCGTGTTTTCTTTTCAGTGGACCGGGGGCTTCCTGTTAGAAAGAACGCCGGTTGAAACTCAAAGGATGTTAATTCCCATCCTCTTTCTTCATGTTTGGTAAAAACAATAACAACAACAACAACAAACACCTTACCAAACATGAAGAAAGGGGATGGGAAGTTTTTTGTTTTGTTTTGTTTTGTTTTTGAGACAGGGTCTTGCTGTGTCCCCCAGATTGTAGCACAGTGGCACAATCTTGGCTCACTGCAACCGCTGCCTGCTGGGCTAAAGTGATCCTCCCACCTCAGCCTCCCTAGTAGCTGGGACTACAGGCACACGTCACCATGCCTGACTAATTTTTGTAGTTTTTGTAGAGGTTTCGCCACATTGCCCAGGCTGGTCTCGAACTCCTGGGCTCAAGAGATCAGCCCGCCTCGGCCTCCCAAAGTGCTGGGATTACAAGTGTGAGCCACCACGCCCTGCCAGTTTAGTTTCTTACTCCTTGGAGTTTCTTGATGTTAGCCCTATCTGCCCTGGGTTCTGAGTCAGCCATCAAGATGAGTGAATCTTGTCTCGCAATCCCTAAGTACAGATTGAAATAATTTCTCAATTGTTTATTAATTTGTTACCCTTGTAGAGGAGCTGTTTAAAAATAAACTGGAGGGTTTGTCTCTGTTGTTCTTAAAGGCAGCATATAATATACAGAGCTTCTGCCAGTCTGAACTGGCTAACAGTTTATACCCTAAACTCATTCAGAATGCCTGGGATATTTCTAAAGGTTCAGTTTGGGCAGCGGCAGCTGAGAATGCAGTGATAAATAAAAAAGTCATAAGACACGGCTGATGGGGTTTGTCTGTGTTCATTCACACCCATGACTCACTCGGCTTTTGAAGACACAGAATTTCGAAGGACAACCAGATGGTGGCTGTTTAAACTGCAGCACTAAAACTCCAATCTTAATGTATTTCAGCTAATTGCAAAATGGAGTTACCCTTGTAAATTGAGATATAGAAAGAAAATACGAATAGATCTATAAATACATATGAATAACACATAAACTAAGGCTTACTCAATGATTTAAAGAAAACCTGCTTAAATATTTGTTTTAAAATATTATATTTTCCAGTTTTTCTGCAGTAACTGCATTACTTGTGTGATAACAAATAATTTTATAGCCGGGCATGGTGGCTCATGCCTGTAATCCCAGCAGTTTGGGAGGCTGAGGCGGGCGGATCACTTGAGCTCAGGAGTTCGAGACCAGCCTAAGCAACATGGTGAAACCCCATCTCTACCAAGGACACAAAAAATTAGCCAGGCGTGGTGGTGCATACCTGTGGTCCCAGTTACTTGGGAGGCTGAGGTGGGGGGGATCACCTGAGCCCAGGAGGCAGAGGCTGCAGTGAGCTGAGATCACATCACTGCACTCCAGCCTGGGCAATAGAGCGAGACCCCATCTCAAAAAATAATAATAATTTTATTGAATATTTATTATGTGCCATACAATATGTACCATTTCGTTTCATCCTTGAATTCTACCAAAAGGAAAGTCTTCCTATCCTCCTTTTATGGATGAGAGAGCTGAGGCTTCCAAGATGTTGAGAGACTTGTTCAGGCCACCCAGTTGGTAAATGGTGGTAGGATTCAAAGCCGGAGCTGCCTTCTCCCAAGTGGTGTGCTCTAAGCAGCTAAGCTGTGCTTGGATGGCTCCATTGCTAGGTTTGATTTGGTGGCTTCCTTCCCCTGTCAATACCTCAGTTTTCACCTATTAAAAACAAGCCTTTTATTGAATCTCTCTTTTTCCAGGAATCAAGACCCTTTACGGGGTCAAACCTTGATAATCCCATGGTTCTGTCTCAATATAACCAATGTTGCCACTCCCACGCCAAATGTTTCCATTTAAAATACTGCCTTCAAGGAGACTTTGCTCTGGATTAACTTTAGTAACTGTTTGGAAGTCAACAACAGAAAGCTGCAATTACTGCTCATTCAAGGCTGTCACGTTCTCCCGGAATGCCTTGTGGCTTCCAAGTTGGCTTAATTTTCCCAAAAATAATGCAACACAGCATCTGGTACTGTCAAGAAATGGAGGTAAATTTACCAGGCTACTGACATTTACGCCCTGAATGTCAACATGTATTTCTTTGTAGAAAGGAATCTTCCACAATTTGTTCTTCTAGTTGGGGGCAGAGGGGCATAGATTTTTTTTTTCTTTTTTTCCTGTATTCTTCGAATTTTCTATAATGTATTGCTCTTCATGGAAAAATAAAATCTCGGTAATATATATAATACACTCCCCTGCCTTTCTAACTTTAGGGACCAATTCTTACTCCAAGGTGGTGTCAGATGATGGTTAAGACCATGGGTTTTGGAGTCAAAAGATACCAAGATCAGAATCTTGGTGTGGCCATTTACTTAACTCTGTGACCTTGGGCACGTTGCTTAGTATCTCTGAGCCTCAATTTCTCAGTCAGTAAAATGAAAATGAGGATAGCATCTACCTCCCAGGGTGGTTGGGAGAATTGTATGAGATAATTAAGGTAGGTAAAGCCCTGAGCCTAGTGTCCAGCATCTGGCTAGTGCAAATTTCCTGATTAATTCTATGATATTGTCCATAGGGACCCTCTTGGGTGTGTAAGACTCTTTGAGGATCTGACTAAAAAGGTGGGCACATTTTTGTGTCTGTTCTCTTCCTCCCCATTGTTCCTATTTTATTTTTTGTGATTGAGGTGGCACTCACATACAGTGGGGTACACCGGTCACAGTGCAGTGCTCCGTGAAATTCTGTGCATGAATCCAACCCAACCACCGCCTGGATCCAGATAGTGAACATGGGCGGCCCCCAGCCAGCTCCCTCATGCCCCACGCGGTGTCCCCTTCCCTTGAGGTAAACTCTGTTCTGACTCCTTTCACCATAGAGTAGTTTTGCTTCTTCTCTGCCTAACTGGAAAACACAGAATGAACTCCTTTGTGTCTGGCGTCTGTGTCTTCTGCTGAACATTATGTCTGGGAGATGCAGCTAACTTGTTGAGGGGTAGCACTCAGTTGATCTTGTATTGTCGTGTTGCTGTTGTAGCATTCCTTTGTATGATTATCGTCACAAGCTGTGAATCCAGTCACTTTTTAATGGATTATTGGGTTATATCCACCTTTGGCTATTATGAAAAATGCTGCTACTTTGTTGATTTTATTATTATTTTTAGAGATAGGGTCTCTCACTCTGTTTTCCAAGCTGGAGTGCAGTGGTGCAATCATAGCTCACTGCAGCCTTGAACTCCTGGGCTTGAGCCATCCTCCAGCCTTGGCCTCCCAAAGTGCTGGGATTATAGGCATGCGCCACCACACCTGGCCCAATGCTGCTGCTTTGAACACTCCTGGATCTGTTTTTTGACCGATGTAAATACTCACTTCAGCTGTGGATTTGGAGTTGCTGGGTTATATGTTTAATTCTAAGATATTTCCAACTCGTTTTCCAAAGTGGCTGTACCATTTTACATCCCCATCAGTGATGCACGAGCAGTCTGCATCTTTACCAACAATGAGTGTGATGAGTCTTCTTTTTCATTTTAACCATTCTGGTGGGTGTGTGGTGGCTGTCTCATCGTGGCTTTAATTTCCTTAATGACTAATGACGTTGCACACCTTTTTATGTGCTTATCAGCCATTGGGACCGTATTTCATTCCTAAATTCCTTTCTGCCATTGGGATATCTGATAGGTCAACTTGCCAGAATGATGTTTAAAGAATGAGCACCCATGCTCTGAGTTTGGGGAATACATTCCGGAACATCCACATTGGCTTCTTCTGTTTACTTTCAAGTTCTTGGCTGTGTTTGATACCTGAGTTTGCAAAGATAAGTAACGTTCAGATGAGTGACATCTTATGAATTTTAAAAGATGCTAAATGAACTACTTAGCAGCAATTCAGCTTATATTCCTGCAGTCCACCTGGGGGGAAAGGAAACCACATTTCTTGAGTACCTTCTTCATGTGCCACATACTGGTGCCACCAGTACCACTGGTACAGTGTACCAGGCACTTTGAATGGATCATCTTTAATCTTCATAAGGACTCTGTGAAGTGGAGATTATTATACCTATAGCTCAAATGAGGAAATTGAGGCTGGGGGCAGAGGTGGGGTATCATCCAGCTTTTAAGTGGCAGAGCCAGGATTTGAATACTGCGTCTGCTTGATGCCAAAGTGTACCCTTTTATTAGCAAGCACATTGAGGAGGAAACGTTATTTTCCTAGAAATTTGCTAATCAGAAACTTTTCCTAGCAAACATTTCATAATTATTTCTGTGAATGGTCACCCCTACTAAGGCCACTCCACTTGTGGGTGGATCTCTTGTCACTGTCACCCCACCCTGGATCTGATGATCGGGGAGTTTCCCCTGCAGCTTCTGATTGGCCACTTGACACCATTTCTCATCCTTCCTGCCTTTCTCCCATCTTTGGGCTCTAATTGCAGCAATACTGTTTAGGTGTTGATTACCCTGAGGGTCTTTTTCTTTTGTCTGGTATATTTTCTGGTGATTCTTTTAGAAAGTTTCCCCCAGTTGTATAGCAATACAGGTATACTGTAGAACATTCAGGAAAACAAAAATTCAGCAGTTTCCTTTCAATCATTACATCTATGTTCAGGTTTTTTTTTTTTTTATGTATTTGAGATGCTGGGTTATAACTTAGTTGAGCAATAGATGTAATTTTGGACGTAATGAATGTAATTTTCTACAGGGCAGTTACACTTAAGTGATGTATTATGAAAATCTCACCCAAGAATGAATGTGGAATAGGAG
This sequence comes from Homo sapiens, assembly GCF_000001405.40. Classification (NCBI taxonomy): domain Eukaryota; kingdom Metazoa; phylum Chordata; class Mammalia; order Primates; family Hominidae; genus Homo; species Homo sapiens. Next base: position 19,849,416 of record NC_000016.10, read on the forward strand.
TCACTTGTTCTAAAAAAATAAAAATTTTAAAAAGTAAACTTTTTTTTTTCTTTAGAAAGGCAGGGGCTGGGTGCGGTGGCTCATACCTGTAATCTCAGCGCTTTGGGAGGCCAAGACAGTAGGATCACTTAAGCCCAGCAGTTCGAGACCAGCCTGGACAACATAGTGAGATCCCATCTCTACAAAAAGTAAAAAAAATATTCGGGCATGGTGGTGCACACCTGTAGCCCCAGCCACTTGGGAGGCTGAGGCAGGAGGATCACTTGAGCCCAGGAAGTCAAGACTGCAGTGAGCTGTGATTGCACCATGTACTTCAGCCTGGGCAACAGAATGACACCCTGTCTCTGAAAAAAAAAAAGAAAAAGAAAAGAAAAAGAAGGAATGAAAGAAAAGAAAGGAAGGCAGGGATGATTAAATGAAGGAGCCCAGTTTATATCTGTTAGGCTTCCAGCTCTAACAGACAGAAGCCTCCATGCCCTCGTGCCATCCTTGTACTCCTTGGAGACATGATTAACTTGGTATTGAACAATTTCAAATTTGCATAATGGAAATTTATAGGAAATGTGCTGCACCGTATTTTCCCACTGACATTTCTCCCTGTTTTTACACTTTGCCAAAACATCATGTTTTTATGGCTTCATTATATTACATCACATCAAGGTTATAGGTTGTCAGATACTTAATCATTCCCTGACTTTTGGGCATTTAGGTTGTTCTCAAACTGTTTATGTGGTAGAGGATGCGGAAGTGAACACCTTTGTCTGCGTAACATCATTGTTGCTTCTTTAATCACAGACATTTTTGCTGTCCTGGTGGGAGGCAGTTGTGAGATCTTGACCCTGTAGAGTTTTAAGAGCAGCAGCAGCCAGACAGCTCACAGCGTAACCTTGAGCAAGTTGCATGACCTGTCTCTGCTTCAGTCTCCCTACCTGTAAAACTGGGGAAAATAATAGCACTTAGCTCACTATGACTTCGTATGTGTCAAGGGCTTCATAAGTACCATAGAAGTGTTTGCTTTTATTATTTACCTGGAATCCTAGAAATCGGGAGCTAATTGAGTAAAAGATGAACATTTTAAGGTTTCTCATAGATATTGCTGATTTGGGAGCGTGAGCCAGTCTCCTCCTTGTAACCCCAGGCCCCAGCACGGTTGTGGTCCATAGCTGCGTGGCAGATGGTCATCTATTGAAGCAAGTTCTCCCCGCAGTATGTGAGCATCTCGTGGTTCGTACAATTTCCTGTTGATTTTTTCTGCCTCACCTTCTATACTGTGACCTCTTTGAGGGCAAAGAATATGCCCTAAGCAAAATAATAGCTGGCTGGGTGCTGTGGCTCACACCTGTGACCCTATCATCTTGGGAGGCTGAGGCAGGAGGACTGCTTGAGCCCAGGAGTTAGAGACTAGGCTGGGCAACATAGCAAGACCCTATCTCAACCCAAAATAAAAATATATTAGCCAGGCATGGTGGTGCGTGTGTGTGGTCCCAGCTATTAATACTTAGGAGGCTGAAGTGGAAGGACCATTTGAGCCCAGGAGGTTGAGACTGCAGTGAGCCCTGATTTGCACCACTGCTTTCCAGCCTGGGTAACAGAGCGAGACCTGGTCTCAATAAAAACGCGAATAATAATAGCTGATATTTATCAAGTGCCTAACTCTGGGTCAGAACCAGTGCTGAGCACTTTGCATTTTGCACAGCTTGCCTCTTTTGCTTCTCTCAGCGCCCTTAGGAGGCAGGTGCCATTCTCAACCCTGGCTCACAGTTGACTGAGGCCCTCAGGAAACAGGCACTGTTTCCCAAACTTGCCCAAATCTGCTCTCTTTCCCAAACTTGCCAGATCAAAACACCCACCCACAGCACTGAGGGGGAGGGGATACTGATTCCCAGGCCTCACTCCTGGAGATTCTGTTTCTAAAGGTCTGGGGTGGGGCCCAGGAATCTATATTTTCACCCCAGGTCATCCTTTCATGCTGAGGCCCTGTCTGGACAACATTGTATGAGTGGCCGGATGACCCTGTGGTCCCCAAATTTCCTGTCTTGAGCTTTAGGCATTTTCTTTATCTGTCCTGTGCTGCTGGCTGGGAGGTTTTTCTCTGGGCTGTGAATTGAATTCTCAGTCCTGTCACTCACAGGAACAGGAGAGGATAAGGGCGACCACGAGGAGAAGATGTACTGAGTCTTATTAGTATGCAAGGCCCTTCTTGTCACATTGCCTTTAATTGAAGCTGAAGGGCTGGCGTATCTCTCTCTGGGATTTTCCACTCTCCCAGCCCTTCCGGAACTGGCTGGGCACCAGCCTGCTGAGAGGGACAAGGACAGCATAGGGGTGCCGAGGCATCTGTCTGTTGGTGTTGGAAGCCAACCACGATGATGTCTCCGAGCTAAGGTGGAAGCTGCATTCTACAGCATCCTGGCTTACTTCTTCTCTCCTGCCTCTCACCCCTGCTTCCCTCCCCTTTTCCTCCCTCCGCTGATCAAGTACCTACCTGTGCAAGGCTGTGTTCTGCTAAGACCAGGAGGAGGAAGACCACCAAGTCGAGATTTTATCTCTTGCTTAATTTTTAGCAAAGTAGTGCATCCCCAGAGGCAATGACTTTGAACTTCAGCTGCTCCTCGGGGTGTTACTTCTGTATCTGGAACAGGTCTCTATGGTAATAAGATTTTCAATAGGATCTACTGATTTCCTGCCATGATAGGTGAGGGTTAGCTTAGATTCCATCCCTCCCCTCCTCAAAACAGCTAAATCATTCTTTTCCATGCCTTTATTGGTTGGCTTTGTAATTTCAAGCAATACACGAACATACCTATTTCTTTTTACCTTTTGGGGGGTGAAATATGCGTACAACAGTGGCTATAAAACACATATAACAATAAATAAAAACATTTGTGGAGGATCGCTTGAGCCTCCACAAGCCTCCAGAGGCTGCAGGGAGCTATGATCGCACCACTGCACTCCAGCCTGGGCAACAAAGCGAGACCTCTCTACAACATTTAACAAACAAACAAACAAACAAACAAACAGAACACTGTCAACAGTTTTAAAGCTCTTCCCCCATGAAGCCACTTCTCTGACTATCATGATAGCTGTTCTCTTGCTTTTCTTTGGAGCTCTTTTCACGTTTGTATGCATCTCTCAGCATTTAGATTTGCTATAAATAGAATCACACTATATGTATTATTCCGTGCCTCTCATCTTTCCTTCAACTTTTTTTTTTTTTTTTTTTTTGAGATGGAGTCTCGCCCTGTCGCCCAGGCTGGAGTGCAGTGACGCGATCTTGGCTTACTGCAAGCTCCGCCTCCTGGGTTCACGCCATTCTCCTGCCTCAGCCTCCCGAGTAGCTGGGACTACAGGTGCCCGCCACCATGCCCGGCTAATTTTTTGTGTTTTTAGTAGAGACGGGGTTTCACCGTGTTAGCCAGGATGGTCTTGATCTCCTGATCTCGTGATCTGCCCGCCTCAGCCTCCCAATGTGCTGGGATTACAGGCGTGAGCCACCGCACGCGGCCTCCTTCAACATTTTTGAGCTAATCCAAGTTGATGCGTGTGGCTTCGGCTCACTCATGTTCAGTGTTGTATAATCACTGGTCAAGTAGACCACAATTGGTTTATCCAGTCAACTGCTGATGGACATTTGGGTTGTGTCCAGGTTTTGCTATCACGAGCATCCTCCCAGTACACGTATGGAAGGGTTTCTGCAGTGGGATACGGGAGTGGAATCATTTGTATTCACTGTCAGACTCAGTTCCATTTGGTAACGCCAAGCAGTTTTCCAGTGTAGTTGTGCCTCCAGAGATGGTGACCTAATTGTGTAGGGTGTTCAGAAATCCCCAGGTAATTCCACTGGGAGGCTCCACGTCACACCTTGATTTCCAGCCCGTCAACTCGAGATAACACCTCTCGGTCCTCCCCCATGAACAAGGTCCCTAGCTCATTCCTTTCTGCTCTCCTCTGTCAAGATTTCTGAGTGATGATCTAAAGAGATACTAAGGGGCTTTTTCCCAAGCAAGGTCAACACGTAGGGAGTAGGCAACAAGGTTGTCAAGGTATGGACAGGAATTGGGTAAAATACCAGGACAACAGCTTGCAGGTGAATTCTTCCTTCAGGCAGTTGAAGAAAACTAAAGAAAACCCAAGGGCTGGGGAATTCTCCCAGAAGCCAGTCCTTCCCTCCAGCTATTAATTGCCTCCAGCATCTGTCTGTCTGCCAGCTATCTCTCTCTCTCTTTTTCTTTTTTTGAGACAGTCTTGCTCTGCCACCCAGGCTGGAGTGCAGTAACACGATCTTGGCTCACTGCACCCTCTGCCTCCCTTCAAGCGATTCTCCTGCCTCAGGCTCCCAAGTAGCTGGGATTAACAGGCGCCTGCCACCACGCCCAGCTAATTTTTGTAATTTTAGTAGACAGGGTTTCACCATGTTGGCCAGGCTGGTCTCGAACCCCTGACCTCAAGTGACCCACGTGCCTCGGCCTCCCAGAGTGCTGGGATTATAGGCGTGAGCCACTGTGCCCAGCCTGTCTGCCAACTCTCTCTCTAGCAGCTTAAACTGTGAGACTCACAGGCAGCCAGCATGATGTTAATAAGTTGAGGGGAATTCTAGACTCTTCAGGGTCCTACAGTCACGTTTCTTTAAAGGGATTCTAAGCCCCATCTGTGTCTCAACCCTGGCTGAACCTTAGCAACACACAGGAGCTTTACCTAGCTACTGATGCCCAGGCCCCAGGGTAGTTACATCAGAATTGCTGGAGTGAAACCCAGGCACCAATAAATTTCAGAAGCTGACCATGTGATTCTTACAAGCAGCCAGGGTAGAAAACCAGTAATCAGTGGTTCTCAAACTTTAACTAGCATCCATCAGAATCACCTGGAGGCCTTGTTAAACTGTAGATGGGTGGGCTCCACCCCCAGTGTCTGGTTCTCTCTGCCTGGAAAAGGGCCCTGAATTTGCATTTCTAACAATTTCCCCCTATTGCAAATGTCCCCAACTTGTCCCTAGAGACCCAGCCTGATCCATCAGAATCACCTGGAGGCCTTGTTAAAATGCAGATGGATGGGCTCCACCCCCAGTGTCTGGTTCTGTCTGCCTGGAAAAGGGCCCTGAATTTGCATTTCTAACAATTTCCCCCTATTGCAGATGTCCCCAATTTGTCCCTAGAGAGCCAGCCTGCAGGTCTGAAGTTATGCCTGATGCTGGCTGCACTAGTTGACCTGTGTACCTCCCTGGGGGGATCCAGGGCAGCCCCGCTCCATCTGACTGTGCGCACCTCTTCCCAACTCTGTTACGTTGTCAGGCTGCTGGCTTCCAATAGGCTATGGAAATGGCAAATGATACAACTCGGGACTCTCCCCCAATCCCTGGGGAGCTGTTAATCACAGCTAGTGGGACAGTCTTTAGGGAGGTGTGGCGCATCCTTGACTATGAAGAGTCAATGTCATCGTTAGTAGGGTCTAGAAGCACATAGGGTTTTCACTGTGGTTGCCCATAGAGCTTCCATATAAATGGAATAAAAAAGGTATATACCTTGAAAAAATGTTTTAAAATGTCCTGTGACCACAGGCTCCAAGTATTAAAAATATTTTTTTCTGATTTGTGTTGCTAATACAATGATTAGTAGTACGCAAAACCAAATAAATACATGATACAATTTGATAGTTGTCAAACATAGAAAATAAGGAGACTCTGAGGGCCCTCATTTTGAACTGCCTTCTTGTTTGGCACCTGGGGAGTCTTTACACACTGGGCCAGGAATGACAGGAGGGTGGGAAGCTGATGATCTGGAAATTGATTTCCTTTGAATGAACCATGACCAAGAACCCTTGCCCTCAGTTTGAAGACTGCAGGGCTGGTCTGTGTTGCTGAAGGCCCTCATCCCACCTCCATCAGAAAATAACCACAGGGCCAGGCGCAGTGGCTCACACCTGTAACCCCAGCACTTTGGGAGGCTGAGGCGGGTGGATCACTTGAGGCTGGGAGTTCGAGACCAGCCTGGGCAACATTGGGAAACCCATCTCTACTAAAAATACAAAAAGTAGCAGGGCGTGGTGGTGCACGCCTGTAGCTACTTGGGATGCTGAGGCAGGAGAATCGCTTGAACCTGCGAGGCGGAGGTTGCAGTGTGCCGAGATCTTGCCACTGCACTCCAGCCTGGACAAGAGAGACTCTGTCCCCAAAAAAACAAAAAAGTGCATTTCATGGGATGGTGTACATACCCACCTCTTTGCCGCATCTGGCTGGTGCATGCCCTTAGTTGCTGGGAGGTCAGGACGAGGGCAGGTTCACTTGAAACCTCAGCCCTACATAGTAACAAGCTCAAACACCCTTTTTACCAGAACAATGCTCTCCACAAATCATCAGAACCTGTGGCCTGGCTCAAACCACCTTTCAAGACATTCACATATGGGCAAGCAGCACTTGGACACTCCAGACAAAGATATATTAAAAGAGAGGGTCTTTCCAAAAGGATCCCTACTGCACCCACCAAGGGACTGGGTTTCCATATTTAATTGGGGAGAGGCTTTTATCTGTTGGGATTAATTCCCCTTACACACAGAGCCATACCCTGTATGGAGCTAACTTTCCTGTTTGGCAGACACAGGAAATCACCGAGATCAGGTTCTTGGTCCAGACCATGACATAAGAGAAAAGATTTTCTTCAGACCTTTGCATTGCCCCCAGTGATACCCTGAGTTTTCCATTTTGGGTGGCTGGAGAACAGGGTGTGTGGTGACAGATGGGGTTGAGCGGAGAGCCTGGAATCTGTCATCGTCTTTAGTAAAATTGCCTTCCTTCAGTACCCTGACCGGCAAAGCACACTTCTGACCTCTTTCTGAACTGAATTAAGAATGGCCATGAACAGTCCGGGAAGTGGTTTTGAACTTTCAGGTGCTGTCCTTAGAGCACAATGGGCCTGTGTTCTTCCCCGTGGATCCATGGGGCCGGAACCATGAATAGCAGGCGCACAGTGGGTTTTGGTGCAACTGACCTTGTCCACACATCAGAGTTTCCGGTTTCCCAATGACAAGCCTGTCTACGTATGTAAATTGATCCTGACTTTCCCTTTCTTTTCTTTGCAGTGAAATGCAAAATGGAGGACGATGCAGTACCTGCAGCCAAGATGAAAATTCCATCATCTTAACCATAGCTAAGACGTATCTTTGCCCATTCGAGCACAAGTTACCTTGTGCAAGGAAAATGTCCAAATGATGCTCTCTCTCTTGTGATTTCTTTAACAAGACTTGGAACATGTGCAAATGGAATCTTTTCTGTACAAGATAGGATTCATTGCAAACAAGCTTTAATGCAAATAGTTTAGAAAAGAAAGGACCAGTCTTCACTTTCTGCATTATCCCCACATTTTATTCATTCATCCAGATTACTTCTTCAGTGCCTCAGGAGTATTCTTCTACACCAGCTGCTGTTAAAATGTACAATGAACTCTAGTCCCAAGGAATACAGAAGTGCTCTTATTACCAGTTTTCCCACTTGTGGCCGCCTTTGCAAAGATCCATATTCTAATTTAAGTCCCCAACCTCTGAATTTGGTTTTAAGTTTACCTAGTGACTGACTACTCTCTTTATAAAAAAGACCTTATACTTAATGATCATTTCCAAAGGAGACCACTCCTTAACTTTTACTGCAAACCCAACAAGATGAGACACTTAAACCCAGACAGATGTAACAAAGGATTTTTGTTGTCTAAGTCCCAAAGTATTATATAGAAAGTTCCTGCTTTTATGGGTAAACTTATTACCTTAATATGTTCTGTGGTTTGCTGTTAACCAAGATTCTCCCATTTAAAATGCCACAGACCGACCCTCAAGGCAGATCCGAAAGCCTAGTAGTTAGTTGCACTGGGTTGTTTTGACAAGCTACCACACGTCTTAAGTAAATAGTAAAGCCTTTATTTTTGTGTTAAGAACAGCATTTTGAAAATAAAACCTATCTGCCCATGGTTTACAGCCTTTTAAATTTGTAATATTTATATAGTCGTTTATGGTACATATTGATTGTCTTGAAATTTCTTTAACTTCTTTTTTATAAGTATGCAACAGTCAGCCGGGGGAAGATAAAGGTACATTATAAAACACACATTAATGCATTTAATAAATATATATTATCTATCAAAAGTGAGCCTTAGCTCTTCATCAGTTAATAAAAAGCACCTGCTGAGAACTCCTGTAAGCTGGTATCATCATTGCATCATTGGATTATAAAAGCCACAATGCTCCCTTTCAACTTGGGGTTTGGCCTGAGGCGTTCAACTCAGCCTTGGCCAACCGAGACCACCACCCGAGTTCACCCTTGTTCAGTGGGTCCTGACGGCATCTGGGCTAAAAAAAAAAAAAAAAAAAAGCACTGGGCGCCCAGCTTCCAACAACCAGATCTTCAACTCTGGAATCCCTGGAGATGCACAGAACTTCCCAGTTTGTAAGCTGTCAGAGCTGACTCCCTTCTCTTCCCACCCTCCACCTCCAGTGGGGAGAAATCCAGGCTAGAATGACAATTTTCTATTAAAAGGGGGGACAAGAGTGGCTGTTATAGACCCAAAGCGATTTTAATAACCAGACACGGAACAATTTGTGCTTACAATGAGAGATTTTGATCACAGATGCTCTCCTCCCGGGTCGTTTTCCCCAAACGAGTCTTGTTTACACACGCAGATCTTAAACAGAGGTGCCATTTAATTTTGTCTTTAAACCTTGCTCCACGGGGGGCAGCTGGCTGCTACAGTCTCTTGGCAAAGATGTCTCTTGATACTTTTCAGGTGTAGTCATTAGAAAAAGAACAGCTCTCTCCCTTCTCCTCTCACTCCCGCCTCCGCCCCCATTATGAAGGCGTTCAGCCCACTCTCAACCTTAAAAGCCAAAATAAAACAAAACCCTAAGTGCGATAACATATCAGATTTAAAAGGGGGGAAAAAGGTCTCATTAAATGAGGCTTCCCATGGCTCAAAGATGGCTCTGTTCTTATGCTGGGGAAGCACGACTTTCCATGGCAGCCATTTGTGCTGTGCTCACCTTATATGCTTGGACAATAAAGAACTTAGAAAACGAACGTGTGAATTGCTCCATCGTGTGAATGGTATCAGAAAGCTCCAAAGGACTCCAGAGAGCGGGGGTGAGTAACCATTTCCTGGCACGAGAATGTGTAATGCTGTCGTTTTTTCACCGGACAGGACCGAGGTGTTTGAAGATTTCTTTCTTTTCAGAATACCGGGTCCGCATGCAACCGCCCCCACCCCCACCCCAGGTCCTAGCTTCATTCCCTCCCACCCCTCCCCAGGACTCTTACGTTTTCTGTCCACGCAATGACTGGAACGGGATTCTCTAGAAGCAAGCACATGCTCTGGGCAGAGGCGGGGTGCTTCCGGGGAGGTCAGGTGGGGGTGGCATTCTGGGGCCATGCGTTTTCTTCCCCATGCGTGGTAACACAAGGAAATGTACTAACTGTTAAGGAAAACTCGAAGGCGGGTCACACAGGGAGGGCCAGATTGGCCTTACTTTCCCCAGTGCTTTGCAAGGATGGGGTGGGGAGGGGAGACAGCAGAGACTAGGGCCTTGAGAAATATCAAAAGGTTTATTGAAACATACTCAGCTCAGACGTACTGGCTTATGAAGCGGTCAGTCCTCCCCCGGCCCCCAAACACTAACCTTTTTCATTTTTCTTTAAAGGTTAAAGGCTTATGGGTAGTTTTATAGAAAAAGCAATGTAGTGATTAGAGTATCTGCAGAAGGACCCACCCTCATTTATACATTCCATGCCGTCAGGTTAAAACTCTGCTTTGAATCGATGCTAGAGGTTATGCTGGCCAAACAGTGCAGAGAACATGGGGGCTTTGAATGGCCGAGATGTTCGAAATGCTAAATAACAAAGGAATGACTTGCTCAGGACAGATGGAAACCATGACAGAAACAATGGGCTTGGAAAAGGGCTGTTTTCATGGAACCTGCAGAAAAACCAAAACAAAATATCCCCCACACCCTCCAAAAGCAACAAGAAACCCTCATGTGATCCATTCCATCCAGGAATTTTCACCATAGCAACGGAAAGGACCCGAGGTGTCACTGCTTGTGAGGCAGCGAGAGGTCATCTCTGCATCCTAGTGGGAACCCCTGAAGCCCTGCTAGGTGACATCATCGCGGAAAACCTGCCGTGGTGCCTGCCTTCCAACCTGCCTCCCGGAGGGGCTTTCAGCTGGAGACCCCATTGGAGCTCTTGAAATGAATAAGGGAATAAAATTGGGAGAGGATTTGGAGATACACCCGTAAGTGTAGGAACAGGGCGAGATGATCAAGGGAAGAAGGGACTGCTGCCCCAAGCCAGAATATTTCTATGGCTCTACAAGGGAAGGGGCGGGGCCTGTGTTCTCACCATAGACACTAGAGCAAGAGCCCCATAGAAGGAACAGTGGTTGATCACTTTCCAAATGTGATGGTCACTTCATCACCCAGAGGGCCTCTTCTTTGGCACATGCCAGGGTCCCTCCACCTCTACTGGCTATAAAGCTCACCCCACGATTCAGTTGGGCCTCACCTTGGAATCCCACCCACAACCTCCTTAACTCTCCTGACCCCCCTGAAATGTGCAAACCACCAGGCAAGCCGGTGGCAAAGTCCCCATTTGTCCTCAACGCAACGGTCATCTCCAAGAGGCTACCTGGGGTCCAGCACTTGCTGGGGAGAGGTGATAAGAGTGGGAGCCCCCCACCTCCAACCAACACCAGTCTGGCCCACCAGCTGTGAATTTGGTTCTGTTCTACCCCCAGAGGATGAAACAGTCTTCCCAGCCACATTTTCCAGTGAGCCTAATACTATTTGCAATTAGCTTTGCTTTAGTTTGCGGGGATTGAGGTTGGTCTGGTATTACGTGTCTGTGTGTGTGGCAGGGGAGGGGCGGGCAGTCGGTGTTAGCTTTTCAGTTCGTCAGTGTTCACATTTACACGAAATCCCCTTGGCTAGGATTTCCAAATTTCCTGGCTGTGAGGCGGCCTGGTTCGGCAACTGTTACCGATTTCTCCCTCAAGAAAGACACAGCCAGGGAGGCAAATCGGTAAGAGAAATTCTGATTCTCTGGAACTTAAAGTCTTTCACCAAAGGTGTCTTCCTGTGTGACTTGGCGGAGCAGTTGGGATCTGGAATAACACATAAGGATAACACACTGAGAACTCTGTGCTTTGCAAAGTCAACACTAGAAACCGATGCGTAAACAACGCGGCAAAAATAAGTTACCTTGCTTTTACCTAGATGGGTCGAATAATTCCCAGGAGAGGCAGCAATGACTGTGAGTCATGCTGCTGTGGTTCTTGGGAAGCCCAGCTCCCTTTTCTATAACCATCCACCCGTAAGGAATGTAAGTTCAACTCATTCACTTTCAGTCTTGACTATTTTTTCACACACTGGCCTTGAAGGAACCAGGAGGGCTTAAGAGTGACGGATGGGGGCTTTTCTAAGCATATTTATTATAACACACAGGCCGAATGCTTGTGAATCAGGCTTTTCTTGGCTCGGGACAATAAAACAGCCCAGTCGTTGGCAGGGGGTTTTAAGAATGCAAATCTGTGATTCTGTCTTTGAGCCTGTTCCAAACCAATGCAAACCAATGCCTAGCATACCATTCAAAAGGCCAGGAAAACCTAAATTCCCTCTAGAGATCAAAGACCATCCCTGATTTACATAAAAAAAAAAAAAAAAAGAAGAATGCTCAGGTTGAGTTATGGAGTTGGAACATGATATAAAGAATGGAAACCCAATTTACACATGTAAACTGGCTCAGACCTTGTTTCTGAAAGAAGCATGTAGCTATGTTTGGAAATTAAATGTGGAGATGAGAGTGCATCTTTGGATTGCTGGAGAAACAAAATGGTGTCATTCCAAGGAGGCAAACGTAAACAATGACAATTCTGCTGAAGGTCTGTTTGGCATCAGATAGTAGTAAACCTGCTTCTGTGTTTGAGGGAGAGAAACAGTAACTGCTTCAATTTCTTAAGACATCTCTTAGGGAATGGGAGAACCTGGTACCCAGCTGGGGAGGAGTCAACAGAGGGGTGACCGGGGACCTTAAACTAGGCTGGATGTCAGCAAAATCTGCTAGGGGCGCTCCATCATTCTGGGCTTTTTCCAAAAGTCACCTCCCAGGGACAGAGTGAAAGCCAAATAATTCACTGGGTCCAACAGCCTCAAGGATTACAAACTCTTTCAAACGAATCTACAGATGGTTTTCTAAATAGAGGTGGGTATTCTGTGTGTGGAGAAAAGGGGTAGAAAGGGAAAGAAGAAAAATAAAAGCATTGCATGCGTTTGAGCTGTGGCGGTCCTTGCAGGCCACATGGGCAGCCTCCATGGAGGAGTATGTCCCTGTTGAAGCTGCTCCCCGACACCGTAGACTCCTAGGCTTCCTACCCCCACATCACATCTTGATACTTACGGTCCCACCGTTGAGCACGACGGCCATCTCAGTTGGCTGATACACGTTGCTTCTAAACGGAGCGCTGGGTCTTTTCCCCAAGCTGCCACTGGGTCTTTTTCCCAAGCTGCCGTTGGGAAATCCTGCTGTTCGGAGAGCTGGGGGAGGGAGGGATTGGCAAGACAACATTGCCAAAAAAAAGACACAATTTTGTTTTCTTCCCCTGCAACAACAGCGCGCTCCGGGCACCCCCATCCACCCAACCCAGTGGCTCCTCCCCTTTGTCACAAGCCTGATTCAAAACAAAAGTCACAAAGGGGCTTTGTTCTCAGGCTCTCTAGGAGCCTGACCCATCTCAGTGGGTTTGGGAAAAGCTGCTGTAGAGACCAGGGGAAGGAGGCCCATGGTTGGGCCTCTGGTTCCCCCTCCAAGCCACGCAGCCTCTGCAGGCCGCGGGTGACAGGCGCCTTCTCACTACAGAAAGCCATTCATGTAAAGTTCAGCATCACACTACTCAAAACTGCTTGCTGTTTCTGGACACACACTGAGGAGGAAGCTGCTAAGAGTCTTCACTGGAAAGTGACCAGGGATGAGAACAGGGGGACTCTAACCACATGTGTAGGGTTATTCCAAACAAGAATAAAAGGGAGACCTAAAGCCAAGATGGCATGTCGGCACTTTTTCCCTCTGAAAGATGGGTAAAACCGGTGTTTCTTATTTACTGAACTTTTAGAGATTTGAACTTCCTTTTTGTTAAAGAAAAGCTAACATGAAAAGACATGGAGGAATCTAACAAACAAAAAAAAAGGGTAGAAGCCGGGCGCAGTGGCTCAAGCCTGTAATCCCTAATCCTAGCATTTTGGGAGGCCAAGGCGGGTGGATCACTTGAGGTCAGGAGTTCGAGACCAGCCTGGCCAACATGGCAAAACCCCCTCTACTAATAATACAAAAATTAGCCGGGTATGGTGGTGCACACCTGTAATCCCAGCTACTCGGGAGGCTGCAGCACAAGAATCGCTTGAACCCGGGAGGTTAAGGTTGCAGTGAGCCAAGATTGCACCACTGCACTCCAGCCTGGTGAAATTGTGTCTCACACACAAAAAGTCTTCCCTGAAGGGAGCCACTTTTCTGGCTAAAAAGCAACAAGAGAGCTTGTTTTTGCTTTTGTTTGTTTGTTTTGCAAATTACTTGGGGCAGGGACCAAAATCACCTTAGTTATACAGTTAAGCTTCACAGAGCGCCAACCAGGAGCCAGGCACTGTGCAAAGTACTTTATATATATTAACCATTAACTCATTTAATTTTCTTTCTTTCTTTTCAACTCATTTAATTTTCATCGCACGATAGCTACTTTTTTTTTTTTTGACAAGTTATTGCTGTTGTCCAGGCTAGAATGCAGTGGCACGATCATAGCTCACTGCAGCCTTGAACTCCCAGGCTCAAGTGGTCCTCCTGCCTCAACCTCCAGAGTAGCTGGGACTACAGACACATGCCACCATGCGTGGCTAATTTTTTAATATTTTTTTTTAGAGACGGGGTCTCACTTTGTTGCCCAGGCTGACTATATGTACTTTCATTATGTCCACTTTGCTTGGGGCACTTTGCTTGGGGCCCAAGGTCACACAGCTGGTAAGGGGCACAGTCAGCATTGGGACCCAGGCAAGGAATCTGTGTTCTTTTTTTTTTTTTTTTTTTTTTTGAGACAAGAGTCTCGCTCTGTCGCCCAGGCTGGAGTGCAGTGGTGCAATCTCGGCTCACTGCAACCTCCACCTGCCAGATTCCAGCGATTCTCCTGCCTCAGCCTCCTGAGTAAAGTAGCTAGGACCACAAGCACGTGCCACCATGCCCAGCTAATTTTTGTGTTTTTAGTAGAGACAGGGTTTCACCATGTTGGCCAAGCTGGTGTCAAACTCCTGACCAAGTGATCCACCCACCTCGGCCTCCCAAAGTGCTGGGATTACAGGCATGAGTCACTGTGCCCAGCTGGCATTCGATTCTTATAGGACCTCAAACCCTACTGTGAATTGTGGATGTGAGGGATCTAGGTTGCACGCTTCTTATGAGAATCTAATGCTTGACAATCTAAGGTGGAACAGTTTCATCCTGAAACCGCCCCCCAACCCCCCCGCAACCTTGATCCATGGAAAGATTGTCCGTGGTGCCAAAAAGTTTGGGGACAGCTGCTTTAGCCTACTCACATTGGATTTTTTATTACTTGCAACTTACTTCAAGAAGCCCAACTAACACCCTACCCACACCTGGGCCAGAGACAAAGGCAAGCCAGGCTCACCCACCTTGCTTAGGACCTCTCCTAAGACAAGAGGTCCCCTTAGGAATCAAAGCTCAAATGGCTGGATGCCAGCCTTTTCTTGCATAGACCCTGCATGTGATGCCAGGCTGGCCTTGCCCCCAAAGCCAACTCGGGGCCTTCTAGCAAGAAGCAAAAAGTTGTTTTAAATAGGCCTTGGCCCTAATGAGATCTGACAGCCCAAAGCCCCTAATAGAGGAAAGAACACTTTTCTTTCTTGCTCTGTTGAAAGCCAACATTTCATGTGCCTTGTTAATGCTTTCCAAGATGTGATTCGAGGTGCTACATCTCTCAGTGTATTTTAATCTTTTATCACATACCTTATGCCTTGTTGATACTTACTAATAAGCAGCAGGTGGGTGAAGTTGTATCTATCTGAGGTCTCACTCAGTGGAAGGATATAGGGTGTGGAGGCTTCTGGGGCTTGGCAAAGCCACAGGCCAGCCTGGAGAATGCCCTTCCCACCGCATGAGCATGTCAAGGATGGACTCTCAAAGGAAGAGAGCCCAAAAGGCTAAAATGCAAGAGAAACTGGGCCAACCATAGCTCCTGGGCACCGGCGATTCTGTGAGACCCAAGGGCTCAAGGATAAGGCCTCTGCCTCATGGGGCCTGGTTCCTAAAATACAAGCTGGCTGAGGTCAGCACCAAAGATGCCAACGGCTGCTCCTCCTGTGGCAAGGGAGCATGCCAGATAGTCCCCAGCCAGCAAAGCAAGGGTTTCTAGAACAAAGGCCATCTAGCCAGGACTCCAACTTAGCCTTTCTGTGGGAGCTTTGCCCGGTCTCATTTTTTTTTTTTTTTTTTTGTCAGGGTCTCTGTCTCAGGCTGGGGTACAGTGGTGTGAATACGGCTCATTGCAGCCTCGACCTCCGTAGCTCAAGTCACTCTCTCACCTCAGCCTCCCAAGTAGCAGGGACTACAGGCACACGCCACCATGCCTGGCTTATTTTTAGTTTTTTTTTTTGTAGAGACAGGGTCTCCCTATGCTACTCAGGCTGGTCTCAAAATTCCTGAGCTCAAGTAATCCTCCTGCCTCAGCCTCCCAAAGAGCTGGGATACAGTTGTGAGCCACTGCACCCAGCTTCATGTGAATTTTGGTGGACACACATTTGGGATGATTCAAAAGAAGTCTATTTTTAAAAAGGTCTGACAACACCCAAGGTTGCTGAAGAGGTGGAGAGATGGGGCTTCGATGCGTTTATCAAGGGGAAGGACAGTCCACTGGTCTACCTTTCTGGGGTGCCATCTGGCCATATGTACAGTAATTCCTCACTTGATGCCATCAAAAGGTTCTTGAAAACTCTGACTTTAAGTGAAGGAACATACAAGAGATCCTCAAATAGTGTCATTGTTTTGCTACTGAAATTGATGAGGAAAAAACTGGCTTTATTATACATCATTTCACTTAAAGTCGCAGTTTACAAGAACCTGCTAATAATGTCAAGTGAGGACTTTACTGTATCAAGATTTGAAGTGCAGGCTCTTTAACCCACATTTAGAAAAATTTTTTTGCAAGGAGTGAATTGATCAAAAGCCTGAAGATGAATGCATAAGAATGTTCATTGCAGCACTGTTTATCGTTGAGAGTCAGAAGCAGGCAGAATATTCACCAGCTGAAGATTAAAAAAAGGAGACTGTAGCTCTGCAGTTACCTCTGTAACATTGATTTAAAGCAAGCACGCTGAAGAACGTCACTTAGACCAGCGGTTTCAACCTGGTTACATCTGAGAATCACTTGGAGAGCTTAAAAAATACCTAATACCAAACTCAGACTTAATCACAGTTGAGCAAGCACTGTTTTTGTTTTTTGTTGTTTTTTTTTGAGACGGAGTCCCACTCTGTCGCCCAGGCTGGAGTGCGGTGGCGTGATCTCAGCTCACTGCAACCTCCGCTTCCCGGGTTCAGGCAATTCTGCCTCAGCCTTCCGAGAAGCTGGGATTACAGGCATGCGCCACCACGCCCGGCTAATTTTTTTGTACTTCTAGTAGAGACGGGGTTTTACCATATTGGCCAGGCTGGTCTCAAACTCCTGACCTTGTGATCCGCCTGCCTCGGCCTCCCAAAGTGCTGGGACTGTGCCCGGCCAAGCACTGGTAATTTTTTAAAGCAGCCCCAAGTCATTGTAATGTGTAGCCTGGTTAAGACGCACTCTGCCCCATTGTGTGTGAGTGTGGAAGCAAACCGTTGCCCCTGGGCAAAGGGATTTTAAGAAATTTTTGTTTATTATTGTTTTATTTTATTTTTCATTTGAGATAAGGTCTCCCTTTGTCACCCAGGCTGGGATGCAGTGACGCGATCTCAGCTCACTGTAACCTCTGCCTCCCCGGTTCAAGCGATTCTCCCACCTCAGCCTCCCGAGCGAGTACCTGGGACTACAGGCATGCACCACCATGCCCAGCTATTTATTATTATTTTATTATTTTTTGTATTTTTAGTAGAGACAGGGGTGTCGCCACGTTGCCCAGGTTGGTCTCCAACTTTTGAGCTCAAGCAATCTGCCCGCCTCGGCCTCCCAAAGTGCTGGGATTACAGAGGCGTGAGCCAGCGCACCTGGCTATTATTTTTACTTGTTGAACCTACATGATTCCACTGATTCTATATGATTATTGTTGCTTATTTGCCACCAAGAAGGAGTAATAAATATTTTTGCTTTGGAAAAGAAAGAGGGGAATAGAAAGACAACTTCCTTGGCTTCGGAATGTGTCACTATGAAACAGATGTGAAACACATAAGGTGTGCCGCACCTTATTGATAAGTCTGGACTCTTCATCATCCCCGCGCCAGCCCCAGCTCTGCTGACACCAACCTGGGTCCCAGAGCCCTTGCATCTCTGGATCTTATCTGGCTATAAAGTCTTGGCTGCATTTTTACAAGAAAGGATGTCAGTAGTGGAATTCAGGAAACCAACTTTTTCCCTTCCTGCTCTGCCGTGTATTTATAGCCTATGCTTGAACAAGTTGCCTGACATCCCCGGGCTCAGTTTTCCACTCTGTAAAACGGGTCTTATAGTCCTCATCTTTCCAAATGCACAGAGTGGTCCTGACACCTCAGTGAGATGAGGGGCGCTTAAGCGCTTTATGGAGAGGAGGGTAATTCCATGACACAGGGGTCAGGCATGCGGGCTCTGGAGCTATCCCGCCTGGGTTCAAACTCTTGGCTCTGCCTGGATTTAAACTCTTCCTCTGCCTGGGTTCAAATTCCGGCTCTGCCTCTTGGGCAAACTGCTTAGCCTCTCTGTGCCTCAGTTTCCTATCTGCAAATCAGAACTCATGCAGTTATTGTAGAGATTAAAAGAGATCAGCCACTAAAATGCTCAGAATGATACCGGGCCCCCAGGAAGCCCCCAACAGAGGTTAGTTATCTTACACTGTAAAGGCCATGATACTTGGGTAGCTCTGGCATCGTGGTTTTACTTCAAGAAACGGAATCATCATGTTCAACAACACACTGGTTCTTCACCTTTTGGGGGTCATGGGTGGCTTTGAGAATCTGACAAAGCCATAGAACAATTCCCTAGAGAAACATATGTTAAAACCTCGTCTCCAGTGTGATGATATTAGATGGTAGAGCCTTTGGGAGGTGATTAGGCCATCAGGGTGGAGGCTTCGTGAGTGAGATTCGTGTCCTTATAAAAGAGGCTCCAAGGCCGGGCGTGGTGGCTCACGCCTGTAATCCCAGCACTTTGGGAGGCTGAAGCAGGCAGATCGTGAGGTCAGGAGTTTGAGACCAGCCTGGCCAACATAGTGAAAGCCCATCTCTACTAAAAATACAAAAATTAGCCGGGTGTGATGGCACGCACATCTCAAGTGTCCGTCTCAAGTAGTCCTGCTACTCAGGAGGCTGAGGCAGGAGAATCGCTTGAACCCGGGAGGTGGAGGTTGCAGTGAGCTGAGACCACACCATTGCACTCCAGCTCGGGTGACAGAGTGAGACTCCATCTAGAAAAACAAAACAAAACGAAAAAGGGGGCTGGGTGCGGTGGCTCATGCCTGTAATCCCAACACTTTGGGAGGCCGAGGCGGGTGGATCACCTGAGGTCAGGAGTTTGAGACCAGCCTGACCAACATGGAGAAACCCCATCTCTACTAAAAATACAAAATTAGCCAGGTGTGGTGGCACACGGCTATAATCCCAGCTACCCAGGAGGCAGGGGCAGGAGAATTGCTTGAACCTGGAGGCGGAGGTTGTGGTGAGCTGAGATCATGCCATTGCACTCCAGCCTGGGCAACAAGAGTGAAACTCCATCTCAAGAAAAAAAAAAGAAAGAAAAAAGAAAACATGAATGTATAAAAGTTTGTATCCGTTTCAGGAATTCTTGCTATTTTTGAGTTCCAGAGGGAGTTTGGGCCAGCAGAGAGATGGCCCAACCAGGAACCCAGGAACTGACCAGCTCCCGATCTCTGCTCACGACATTCCCTGAAGGGCCCGTCCTCTGGGTTCCCAGTGCTGATCTCTGTCCTGATCCCTATCTTCTGGCATCCCAGGGAGCCAGCCTCCAAGCTGGGCTGACTCTGCCATCCCTGCCAAATCTCAACAAACACGGGCTTGCCAACCTGGAGCTTCCTGGTAAGAAGAGAGCAGCTGATAAAGCCACACTGGGATTTCCAGCCCTATCTAGCGGAGAGGCCACTGGCGTTCCCTCCTAGAGATCTGGCCAGGGGGAGGGGGCCCATCCACGCGGGACAGAGGGATGTGGATGGCCTTGGATAGGATAAGCAGCTGCTGAGCATGGCCCATGCACCAGCCTCCTGGGTGAATGTCACTGAAGAGGGAATCATGACAATCTGAAGTCCTCGGACAAGTCATTTAATTCTCAGAGCCTCCATTTATTCACCCATAAGATGGGGATAATAACAAGATTTACCTCATTAGGTGGTAGTGAGGACTAATGAGCTAATGCAGGTCAAATATTTATAATAGTGGCCGGGCGCAGTGGCTCATGTCTGTAATCCCAGCACTTTGGGAGGCCAAGGCAGGCGGATCACATGAGGTCAGGAGTTCGAGACCAGCCTGGGCAACATGGTGAAACCCTGTCTCTACTAAAAATACAAAAATTAGCCAGGCGTGATGGCATGCACCTGTAATCCCAGCTACTCGGGAGGCTGAGGCAGGAGAATCACTTGAAGCTGGGAGGTGGAGGCTGCAGTGAGCTGAGATAGAGCCACTGCACTCCAGTCCAGCCTGGGTGACAGAGTGAGACTCTGCCTCAAAAAAAAAAAAAAAAAAAAGACAGATTCACAATAGTGTCTGACACATAGTTAGTGCTCAACAAATGATGACAATACTAGTTATTATTATTATTAATGTTGTAGCCCCTGATGCATCTTCAAAGAACCGAGAAAGGGCAAGTTTATTTAATCTCAAGTGCTGGGACCCTGGCTGACTCCCTTCAAGTAATGATTCTACGAGATACTTTTCAAGTATCAATAGCAGGGGATTTGGGTTCCTGTATCACATCCCCTAGGTAGGTCCTATTGGGTTCCTATGCCACATCCCCTAGATAGGACCTCACTTCTGAAGCCCCCTGCAGCAGTAGCAGATAGTCCTGGGTACCCAGATAACATCCATCTCAAGCGCTCAGCAAGTCTGTTTTTCTGCCTTGGAACTGATGATACTTATCCACCCCAGTCACCAGAATTATAGGGGATGTTAATAACACTGGGGGGCCCAGTGCTATGGCTCATGCCTGTAATCGCAGCACTTTGGGAAGCTGAGGTGGGGGGATCACTTGGGCTCAGGAATTCGAGACCACCCTAGGCAACAGAGTGAGACCCCATGTCTATCAAAAATAAAAAATAAGTTAACTGGGTGTGGTGGTGTGTGCCTGTGGTCCCAGCTACTCGGGAGGCTGAGGTGGGAGGACTGCTTGGGCCCAGGAGGTCAAGGCTGCAGTGAACTGTGATTGTGCCACTGCACTCTAGCCTGGGCAACAGAGCGAGACTCAATCCATAAAAAACCAAAACCAAAACCAAATAACACTGGGAGATGGGAGCCTGTGGACAGATGCCCCAGCCTCCTTTTCTTCCTGGACCAATTCTGAGGCTCATTCAGCATATGTCCTCAGAGGATTCCCAGCACAAATGAGCCCCTGTTGCCCGTGGTAGTAACTAGCTCATTAATGTGCTTGTTTTATCTTCTCTGCCTTCTCAGTCTCATTCTCCCTGTCCTCTCCCTTGCAGGGACCACTTCCCCACGAAACCACCTGCACTGGAGCCCTTGTGTCTCAGATTCTTCTTTCAGTGGAAGCCAAGTCAGATGCACAGAGAACATACCAGGTACCAAGAGGGCTTTGTACTCACTGTGTTCCTTCTCCTAACAGCTCTATGAGGTACAGTCTCTTACTATTTCTAGTTCACAGATGAGAAAAACTGAGGCTCACGAAAGTAATATAATTTCCTCAAAGCCACACATCTAGGAAGTGGCAGAGGCAAAATTTGAACGCAGACATCTGCCTCCAGGGCCCAAATTAGTACATTCCCGGTAACTGAGCTAGGAGAGGGGATGGGAGCAATCCCCGCTGTGGCCCCCTACATCCATCCAGCACATGGGTTGAAGACTCAAATGCTTTGGGGGAGCCAGGGAATTAATGTTACTATCCTATATAGCAGCTGGGTCAGGTGCAATAGAGAGCGGTAGAGAGTGCGGTGAACAGAAAAGTGGATTCCCATCTAAAGGGCAGCCACAAGTCCAGGAGGGGCCAGAGGCAGGGCCCTTCCAGTGCACATGGGCTCAAGTCAGTTTCAGACCATTGCAGCCTGGTGGAAATGTTGGTCCAGTGTTGCCAGATTTGACTTTGCAAAAGAAGCCAGAAACCTGTATTTTTAAAATAAATTGGCTGGCAATTGGTAGGGAAAAAAAAAAAGCTTAATAAAAATCCATATCTGAGGCTGAGCATAGTGGCTCATGCCAGAGTTTTGGGAGGCTGAGGCGGGAGGATCATTTGAGCCCCGGAGTTTGAGACCTGCCTGGGCCACATAATGAGACCCTGTCTCTAAAAAGAATAAAAAAAGTAGCTGGACATGGTGGCGTATGCATGCAGTTCCAGCTACTCAGGAGGCTGAGTTGGGAGGATTGCTTTAGCCAGGAGTTCGAGGCTGCAGTGAGCTATGATCACACTGTTGCACTCAGCCTGGGCAACAGAACAAGACCCTGTCTCAAAAAAAAAAAAAAAAAAAGAAAGAAAGAAAAAAACAAAAAACAAAAAACCCAAACCCTGCTGGGCGTGGTGGCTCACTCCTGTAATCCCAGCACTTTGGGAGGCCGAGGTGGGCATATCAGCTGAGGTCAGGAGTTCAAGACCAAGCTGGCCAATATGGTGAAACCCCATCTCTACTAAAAATACAAAAATTAGCTGGGCGTGGTGGCACACGCCTATAGTCCCAGCTACTTGGGAGGCTGAGACAGCAGAATCACTTGAACCCAGGAGGCGGAGGTTGCAGTGAGCTGAGATTGCACCATTGTGCTCCAGCCTGGGTGACAAGAGCGAAAATCTGTCTCAAACAAACAGACAAACAAACAACCCAAACCCATATCTGGGTCAGTTTCAGCCCAGGAGTCAACATTTGTGGGTTCTGATCTGCTAGGACTGCCCCAGGTACTGGGACCGCCCATCCCCACTGAAGAGGAAGAAGAGTATCTTTTGAGATGAATGGTCCCCCGGCCTGACCCAGCCGGGTGGTGCCCACTTTACCTGCATTGTGTTCATCCATGGAGAAGGCCTTGTTCTCCATATAGGCCCGCGGCAGCTGCACGTCCTCCTCGAAGGCCGTCTCCCGCATCCTGGGCTGCGACGTGTCGAAGTAGTTGGGCGTGTTCTCCTGCAGGGCTGGCAGAAGGGTGCAGTGGATCTCAGGGATGGCGTGGAAGATGACGAAGACCCAGCCGCTGGCCGCCAGCGTGATGGCCAAGGTGGGGTCGTTCCAGGCATCCCCCTGCTGCAGCTTGACATTGCCGAAGAGGTACATGGTCATCCAGGCCACCCAGATGAGCACAGAGAGGAAGGCTGTGATGAGGAGGAAGGCCCCGTTCAGCTTCCACCTCTTGAACTTGCCGCACAGAGTGAAGAGGGCCAGCCCCAGGGTGACCACAAGCAGTACCATGTCGTAGATGAGGGCCATCACAAAGTCCATGGGCTCGTAGGCGCAGGCTGGCCTTGTGTCACGCAGCACGGTGAGCACCAGCCACTCCACAGCGATGATGACTTGCACCAGCATCAGGCACAGCGCCAGGCCCACCAGCTGCCAGCCCGCGGGGCCCGTGCCATGCCGCACCAGCCTCCGCACGCGCCATGCCTGGCTCAGCAGGCAGGAGAAGCAGAGCGCAAAGAGGACGCCCCAGAGGAAGCGGCGGACAGAGCAGATGGTCTCGTCCTCCTGGATGATGAAGGCAAACGTCAGCCCAAAGAGGCCCAGGGTCCCCAGGAGGAACAGAAAGTGGAGGCCCACAGGGCTCTTCTTCTCCTTCTCCTTGATGAAGGGCAGCCGCACCAGGAGGATGAGCATCAGGAGCAGTGTGATCAGGGCGCCCGCCCCGGCCACCGCCTCCACCACAATGCCCCAGATGGCGTCCAGGTCGCACAGGGACACGTACTGAGGGAGGAGGTCCAGCCCACAGCCTCGGGATGTGCTGGCGTTTTCAGAGGCCACCGAGGTGATCACGAAGAGCAGGAGGAAGGTGAGCACCTGGTGAGCTCTCATCTTTCTCTCTGATGCCACGAACATTCTAGAAAAGCCAAGAGGGGAATGGTTGGGGGGAAGGAAAGATGAATTCATTGGAAGACTCCCCCTCTCCTGACTTCTTGAAGAAGACTCGCCTCATTTCAAACCTGCAAGCGCACACGGCACCTTTGCACACATAGGAAAACGTGCTCCTTTCCTCAGGCACGGAGGTTTTGGGACCCATCTGTACCCTTGGCTGGGTGCAGTGAAGAACCGTGAATCATCATCACTGGTGGCTGAAGGACAGGGTAGGAGGGAGGCCAACTTCTCTGTATACCCTTTTGTATTCTTTGAATTGGATACTCTGTGCCACATCTGACCTCTTGAAAAATAAGAGGAAGGCTGGGCGTGGTGGCTCATGCTTGTAATCCCAGCAGTTTGGGAGGCAGAGGCGGGCGGATCACGAGGTCAGGAGTTCAAGACCAGCCTGGCCAACACAGTAAAACACCGTCTCTACTAAAAAATACAAAAATTAGCTGGGCATGGTGGCGGGCGCCTGTAATCCCAGCTACTTGGGAGGCTGAGGCAGCAGAATTGCTTGAACCTGGGAGGCGAAGGTTGCAGTGAGCTGAGCTCGTGCCACTAAACTCCAGCTTGGGCGACAGAGCTAGACTCCGTCTCCAAAAAAAAAAAAAAAAACCAAAGAAAGAAAAATAAGGGGAAAAAAATGAAACTTTAAAGACACAGCCACAGGCCAAGTGCTGCACTGGGAGAATGAGTGGCACACATTACCTGGTCTCAGCCTCTCGAGGCTAACAGCTAACAGCCAGGAATTGGACACATCCAGTCCTCACAATGCCCTGTGAGACAGCTCCTATTAGGACCTCCATCTTACAGGTGACAATACAGAGTCTCCAGGAGGTGACAACCTTTGCACAAGGTCACACAACTCAACTCCTGGGTGCGACCTCACTCCGCGGGCTCCCAGCATTTCTTTCCTTTTTTGTTTTTATTTGAGACGGAGTCTGTCTGTCGCCCAGGCTGGAGTGCAGTGGCGCAATCGGAGGCTCACTACAGCCTCTGATTCCCCAGGTTCAAACGATTCTCCTGCCTCAGCCTCCTGAGTAGCTGGGATTACAGGCGTGCGCCACCACGCCTGGCTAAATTTTTTTGTATTTCTAGTAGAGACTAGGTTTCACCATGTTGGCCAGGCTGGTCTCGAACTCCTGACCTCAGGTGATCCACCCGCCTCGGCCTCCCAAAGTGCTGGAATCCCAGCATTTCAAATGTAGTAAACACAAAAGCAGCTGTCTTCCTTGGTTCCAGGCTGCGTCTCTCCCTCACCTCCCACGCTCGCTCTCTAGAACATCTCTGGAGGATTCCCCAGAGTGCCTCTCTCCCTGGGAAACCTGCAGAATTCTCCCTGCTGCCCTCTCTCTTGCCCATATACGAGCTGGAGTCCACACAGCAGCCTCAGCGATGGGCCTAACCCAAGTCTCCTCTTGCCCCTCTGCTCCCTCTGCCTGGCCACTCCTCCTCCCAGTGCTGAGCTCAGCTCTGATGCCATCAACTCAGACTTGGCCAAGGTCACACCCCAGTCCTCTCCACCACAGCCTCTGGTCTAATCACGTCTGTCATTTTTTGGCTGTTTACTTTGTTTCTGCCTTCCCTTCCTCCTGTCCTCCCATCCTCACTTCCTCCATTGCAAGACGTGGCAGGGCAGGGACATGGTCTCTCTTGTTCACCGGCAGACAAGGCTCCTTCAGTCTTGGCACGACTGACATTTGGGCTGGGTTGTTCTCTGTCATGGGGGACTGTGCGTTGCAGGATGCTTAGCAGCATCGCTGGGTTCTACCCACTGGATACCGGTAGCACGTCCCCTCCTCCAACTGTGACAACCCAAAATGTCTCTAGACAGTGCTAGATGTCCCCTGGGGGAGCAAAATCACCTGGATGAGAACCATGGCTGTAGACTCAAGCTCGACACACAGCACCTGGCACGATGTTTAGTAAATACTGAATGAATGAGAAACATAGTGAGGACTGTCCCCTACCTCACGGCTACCAGCTCCTTCCCTTTTTTTTTTTTTTTCTCTAACGGCCCCTTGCTTTTGAAGGGAGCCTGGTCTTTAGGAAAGCCACAGCCCGCACAGCTGGCTGGATGCTTGTTTCCTGGCCTCTCAAGCCAGACTTACTGCCCCAGCTCAACCCACGTGTGGGGTTGTGACCAGCTGCTCTCCCCGGGCTCCAGTACGTCCCTGGGGCTTCCCTAAGTAAATGCGGTATCGACCACCTCACTGTTACAGAGATCCTGTGAGCATCTCAGATCCTGCCCTGGCTGTGAGGCTTTCCAGTGGCATAAATTATTGATGTTACTGAAGGAAAAGGTGCCTGGGGCTGTCGGGCTCATGTCCTTTGCCTACTGATGAGAGGAGGCAGCCTCAGAATAGAAGGCATCCGGCCAGCATTCCGCCCCAGCATCCTGCTCAGGTACCTTCCGGGGTGAGGATGCACCCCAGGCATCGGTCGGCCTGCAATCCAGCACTTATTCGTGGTCCTGCCACGTCGGTCACTGACGTGCCACCACAGCTACTTATGCTTTGTCCACACACCACCTGGGCGGTTATTTACTTAACTTTTGAATCAACCCACTTACAAGAAAACCAAACACATTCAAGTATTTATCTCCAGACATTTTTAAATTGCTCATTGAGACTGGGTGCAGTGGCTCATAACTGTAATCCCAGCACTTTGGGAGGCTGAGGCAAGAGGATCACTTGAGGACAGGAGTTTGAGACCAGCCTGGCCAGTATGGTGAAACCCTGTCTCTACTAAAAATAAAAAAAATTAGCTGGGCGTGGTGCCACGTGCCTATAGTCCCAGCTACTTGGGAGGCTGAGGCAGAAGAATCGCTTGAACCTGGGAGGTGGAGGTTTCAGTGCGCCAAGATCTTGCCACTGCACTCCAGCCTGGGCAACAGAGCAAGACTCTGTCTCAATAAATAAATAAATAAAAATAAAATAAAATCGCTCGTTGATGTAACCCATGTTGCATACCCACTGGGCGCATTTCAACCTACCACCCTTTGGAGAAACATCATCCTAGCACAATTGCTTGTCACGAGGTACTAAAGCACACGAGGGATCAAAATTTAAGAACTGGAGGTGTCAGAACAAAATGCCAACAGTCCCCGACCCAGTGGAGGGGCCCTGGAATGGATTCCCCTGAGACATCTCATCAATGGCCAGCTCAGTTAAGAGACTTCTCAGCAAGTTTCAGCAAGCAATGCTGCAAGCAGCCTCTCTAATCCCATCCAGCCCCAGGGTGGCTGGGAGGATGACAGGCAGGAATGTGCTTTGCAGTCCTCACTACCACCGATTCCCCAACCCCTCCTCACCCAGTAGGCCAGTGGTTCCGAACCAGTTGCAGTTTTGACCCCAAGGGGACATTTGGCAATGTCTAGAGACATTTTCGGTTGTCACAACTAGGGAGGGAGATGCAATTGGTATCAGGGGGATAGAGACCAGCAATGCTGCCAAACATCCTACAATAGGACAGCTCCCATGAGAAAGGATTATCCAGCCCTACAGGTCAACTGTGCCAAGGTGGAGCAAGCCTGGTTTAGGCACGTAAAGAGAGAATCGATGGGGAAGATGCCACAAAACCAGCCAGGCCCCTCAGCAGCAGGCCTGCACCCTGGGTCTCCTTGCAAGAACTTGGCCTTCTGAAGCTGTTTCCATTCACTCCCTGAGGGGGTTCTCTCTTTTCCAGACCTGGCTGCAAATTGGGACTTTTGTTTCTCCAGCTCCTCCCACTTCCTGCTCAGCCATGCAGTCGCAACAGAAAACCTATGTGGAGGATGCCAACACCAAGATGGCGACCAAGCTTCTGAAATGGTGCAGAGTTCTATGGCCCTGGTCCAGGTTTCCAGCTCCTGACTCCTCTCTGACATGGGAAATAGATACACTCTTGCTTTCTGTTTTCATCCCTGAGGGTGGAACGCTCTGCTCTTCCGGGACAGCTGTTGTTTTCGCTGCTCAGCATCCGCTTCTCCCATTTCTGGAAAGAGCACCTGATTTTCCCTTGGAGAGCTACCTTGCGTCTGAGCTCCCAGCATGGGCATCTGTCCTAGGCCTGGCCAATCAGAGCATTTATGCTACCCTTAGCCACAGTGAGTGGTTCATGGAAAGGCACGTGGCCTGAGCCAGGCCCGTGAGAATCCGCTCTAGGATTGTTCTAGCACTCACTGGAAAGAGGTCTTCTCTTTCTGCTGGGGTTGAAAAACTACAAGGATGGAGGCCTGAAGCTGGAGAACACACAGGGTGAGAACTTGTCTGAGAGTAAAGCTGTCCCAGAGGAAACAGCTATGGGATGGACCACAGTCCTAATACACTGAATGGCTGGATTCATCCATGCCTGAAGCCAGCCTAGTCTATGCAGTTCCGGCAGCCAGTTAACTCCCCCAGCCCCTGCTTTTTTTGGATTAAGCCAGTTTGAGCTGGGTTTCTGTCACTTACCAACAAAGAAGTTCTAATGTTCCTCCCACATCTTATGGCCCCCTTCTTCCAGGAAGTCCTCCGTACCCAATATCTAAGCACACAGATGCAACTGATGGCACCACTTGTCTCAAGTGGGTCATTATCATTGCCATGGCTGCCCATGAGGTGACAGCCACCCACTCCATAGGACAATGTCCAGGATGTTTGGGGGAGGGGTGTGGCACATTGCCTCACAGACTGACACTGAGGCAGCTCATCTAGGATTTCTGGGGGATTCAGAAATGCCCCCCAGAGTTTCCTATTGCAGCCAAAGTGACAACAACAATAACTGGTTAACCCTTACAGTGCTATGTTCTAGGCACTCTGTGTACTTCGCGTATATTAATACCTAATGATCCACATTATAATTCTATAAGGTAAGTACTATTACTATCTCCATTTTACAGGAGACAAAACCTGGCACAGGGAAGACAGCAGGCTTGTCCAAGGTCACGCAGCTACAAAGGGGAGAGGCGAGACACAAACAATTGTCCTATTGCTTTTTACTACACACTAGCTTTTACTACACACTAGAGTCCCAGAAGTGCCACTTGCTGAGCCTTTGACTGGCAAGTCAATCAAAGTAGATTCTCCCTGGCCTGGCACAGTGGCTCACGCCTGTAATCCCAGCACTCTGGGAGGCCGAGGCAGGCAGATCATTTAAGGACAGAAGTTCGAGACCAGTCTAGCCAACATGGTGAAACCCCGTTTCTACTAAAAATACAAAAATGAGCTGGGCGTGGTGGCACGTGCCTGTGATCCCAGCTACTTGGGGGACTGAGGCAGGAGAATGATGTGAACCCAGGAGGCGGAGGTTGCAGTGAGCCGAGGTCACGCCACTGCACTCTAGCCTGGGCAACAGAGTGAGACTCCGTCTTAAAAACAAACAAACAAACAAACAAACAAAAAAACCCAAAGTAGATTCTCCCTGTCCTTGTCAATCTTTTGAGTGATATCTTTGTAGCGTGTACCTCAATTTTCAATTATTTGATTTTACTTTTTTGAGACAGAGTCTCGCTCTGTTGCCCAGGCTAGAGTGCAGTGGCATGATCTCGGCTCACTGCAACCTCTGCCTCCTGGGCTCAAGCCATTATCCTGCCTCAGCCTCCCAGGTAGCTGAGATCACAGGCACCTGGCTAATTTTTGTATTTTAGCAGAGACGGAGGTTTTGCCATGTTGGCCAGGCTGGTCTTGAACTCCTGACCTCAAGTGATCTGCCCGCCTCAGCCTCCCAAAGTTCTGGGATTACAGGCGTGAGCCACCACACTGGGCCAGATTATTTTATTTGTATTACTCTTTTGGTCTGTTCCTCACCATTCCCCTCTTCCCCCAACCCCTACCTCATGCCCGGGACCTTGTCGTCTGCACCATTTCCCCAGTGCCTGGCACTTGGGCAGTGCTCACAATCCAGTTGCCGAGTGAATGGATAAATGTGGTCTCCAAACCTCACACCACCCCGAAAGGCTGTGTGTTCTCATTCCCATTTATAGAGGAGGAAACTGAGGGTCTGAGAGGTTTACATCGAAGTTTGGTTCTCGGGCTGGCAAAAGCAGCAACATCGCCCTGGAGCTCTTTAGAAATGCAGATTCTCAGGGCGTGGGTCCAGCCACCAGTGCTTCCACCAGTGCTGCAGGCGATGTGGGGGTGTACTGAGGCTGGATACACAAGGACACGTATAGCAGCGAGAGCCGGAACTCAGAGCCCTAGCTCCTTCACCTCCCCACCCCAGCCCAAGACAAGGCAGGCAATGCCCACGATCCACTGTGCCCCATGGCAGGTAAGCCCCCATCCTGCTAAATTAGGCACCTGGTGCCTCCCACCCCCGAGAGCTGGGCAGCTCTCCAGGAGCCCCAGAAGGAACAATACCAGATTAGAGGTTTCGAGTCAGCCTCGAGGCAGGATTGATTGGGACAGGATGAATATATGGCAACAAACCCGTGGGATGCAGGCGTGCGCTTCTCAAAAGGAGTAATGAATAAATGTGAACGAATGCACAAGACTCAGCTCACATACTAATTACCTTTGCTGCCAGCCAGGCTCCTAGAAATGTGACTCACTCAGATGCTCTTAAATATACTGCATCTCTCTCTCTCTCACACACACACACACACCACACACACAGACACACACACACGCGCATGCACGCACTCTGCAGAGGGGCCAGAAGCAGCTAGCAGGTGGAGGAACAGCACACTCTATCTCTCCACGTGCTGGGGCCTGCAGAGGGCGAACACAGGCAGGCAGGATTCCTTGTGTGAGAAGGAAAACAAGGCCTGCCCGGAGGCTACACCAAGGCCATACCTTGGTGTGAACTTAGGAATCAGATCTCCCAGTTTCCGATAATGTCCCCACACCACCTGCTAGCACCTTGTGACTCTGGGCAGCTGCCATAAGGTGCCTCATCTGCAAAACAAAGGTGCTAACAGTGTCCACCCCATGGGGTTGCGGTGACGGTTAAAATAATTAGGGTTTAGGACGGTAGTTAATGGGGTAAGCACTTTATATAAGGTGTCTATTAAATACATAAAAAAGGCCAAGCGCCGTAGCTCACACCTGTAATCCCAGCACTTTGGGAGGCCCAAGGCAGGCAAATCGCTTGAGCCCAGGAGTTGGAGACCAGCCTGGGCAACATAGTGAAACCCTGTCTCTATAAAAATACAAAAATTAGCCAGGTGTGGTGGTGTGTGCCTGTAATCCTAGCTACTCAGGAGGCTAAGGTGGGAGGATCGCTTGAGCCCAAGAGTTTGAGCTGCAGTGAGCCGTGACTGAGCCACTTCACTCCAGCCTAGGTGACAGCATAAAGACCCTGCTCAAAATATAATAATAATAAAATAAAATAAATAATAATAAAATAAAATAAAATAAAAAAGATTGGCAAACGCTCCCTTGTCTGAGGTGGTGAGCTCTTCTGAAACTGATTTTTCTAGAAGGGGTGGTTGCCATGGAGATGGTGTTGTAACGAGGTGGCTCGCCTAGGTATTTGTCCACCGCTGGTTTCCAAGCTCATGCCTGTAATCCCAGCACTCTGGAAGGCTGAGGTGGGAGACTGCTTGAGGCCAGGAGTTCAAGACCAGCCTGGGCAACATAGCAAGACTCTGTCTCTGTTATAAATAAAATAAAATAAAATAAAATAAAATAAAATAAGAAAAGAATGTGTTGTAATGAGATTACTGGTTTAGGTTTTTGTCCACTGCTGGCTTCTAGCCTCCCCCATCAAACATCAACGAAAGAGGTCCCTGAGGTGGTGTGAAGGGGAGACCCTCTTGGGGTGGTTGGCCCTGGGGACTCCCACACTCTTCTGCAACCTGCAGCAGGTGCTGTAAGTGAGAGCCTCGCTGTGGAGGTAGAACCTAGGCCAGAGGACCTTGGGGTGCCCTGAAACCAGGCATCTCTCTTGCGGAGTCAGACCCAGGACACCCAGAGAGCAGACACCAGCCATTCTCTTGGGAACCAGCATCCTCATCTTCCCTTTCACTCACGGGAAAGGAGACATGAAATGTACAAAACCATTCTAGAACATTCTTACTGGCCTTGCCCCAGCTGCTACCAGCACGGCTCCACCCTGTGTCCCCTCGACCCCAGCCATGTCCCCTCGACCCCAGCCATGTCCCCTCCGAGTGTCTAGCAGGGCAGTGGCATCTTAACCTACCTTCTCTAAAGATGGCGGTAGGCACTGGAACACAGAAGGGAAAGACAAAATGAGCAGGTGGGGTGGGAGTGGATTTCCGAGCCCTGTGCATATTTAATAGTTCAGTGCCCAGTACCCACATGAATACGGGTACACAGTTCACTCTCCCATCAGGCTGAAAGGCCTCAGTGGGAGGCAGGCCAGAAGAGGGGAGTCAGACAGAGCTATATGACACTGGGCATTACTTAACCTCTCTGAACCTCGGTCTCTTCATCTGTAAAATGGGGATAATGATAGCGCTGCCTTACAAGGCTGGTGTGAGAAGTACGTGAAAAATAGTCTGGGCCAGGCGTGATGGCTCATGCCTGTAATCCCAGCACTATGGGAGGCAGGAGATTGCTTGAGGAAGGGAGTTCAAGACCAGCCTGGGCAACGTAGCAAGACTGTCTCTATTATAAATAAATACAACAAGAAAAGAAAAGTCAGGTTTGGTGCCCGACACAGAGGAAGCAACAGCTTTTTAGTGAATTGCTTGTTAAAAAGTCAATCATGGCCAGGCGCGGTGGCTCATGCCTGTAATCCCAGCACTTTAGGAGGCTGGGGTGGGCAGATCACTTGAGGACAGGAGTTTGAAACCAGCCTGGCCAACATGGTGAAACCCTGTCTCTATTACAAATACAAAAATAAGCCGGGCGTGGTGGTGCACACCTGTAATCCCAGATACTTGGGAGGCTGAGGCAGGAGGATCTCTTGAAACCGGGAGGCGGAGTTAGCAGTGAGCCGAGATTGCGCCACTGCACTCCAGCCTGGGCGACAGAGTTAAACTGTCTCAAAAAAGAAAGACAATCATGATTCCCATTTTCCTGTTGCGAAAATGAAGGCAGAGACGTCAGGAAAATTGGCCAGAGGTTCACTGGAATTTACAGGCTGGCCTGGGACTAGCCCCCATTTCTCCCAGCTCCTGACCTCAAGGCGTTTCTGCTGCATCCCTGTTCTGAATCCCTCACGTGTGGCAGAGGCTCAGGATGGGGCTGCAGAGCCAGATCCCCATGCACCCCAGCATCATAGTCTGTCCCAACTCACTCCTGCTGGAGCCTCTGGTCCATTTCCTGCTCTGCAGGATTAAACTGTTACAAGGTTTCCTGACTTCAGACCCGCTCTTTCCCACACCCCCAATTCTCACCCTCTGATATCTTTTCCGAGTTACAGGATCTCATCATCTTCATTTCCCAATGCTGACTAGACCACTGGCCCATTTGAGGGCTCTCAAATTAAAAAATCCTCATAGGTTAGTAAACAGGGTTGCAAGAACACAAGCTCTGTGATCCATGAATATGCAAAGCAGCTCCAGTCCTGTAAATAAAAGCAATCATTGAAATGCAAATTGCATCCTTGGCTGCCCGATCCACAGTGGTTGGTTCCTCTCAGGCTGTAATTCCGAGAAGAAAATGTGACTAAGCGGAACCCCCAGGAAGCTCTGCGAGAAAGTGCTTACGGGGCCGTGGGCTCCGGGGGGCTCCGTTAGAGTGGATAAAAACTGTATGAAAGCAGGGAGTGGATTTTAAAACCTGAGCTGCTCCTCCAGTTGGCTTGCAGTGGCTGGCTAGGCTCAAAGCGGTCCCCCAAGGCTGGACAGAGCCCCTTGGAGGCTCCCAGCGTCTCTCTATCCCCATGGGCAGAATGGAAAGGGGGGCTATTTTCCATTTCCTTGTCAACGTCAGGGGAGCTTCTACAAATCAGATCCCATGGCCTCCCACTCAAAACCCTCCAAGGGTTCACTGGTCCAAACAGAATAAACCCTAAACTCCTTTCCATGACCCAAAAGATCATGATCTGGCTGGTCCCTACCATTCCCCTATCCCCACCCCCAAATCTGCCTACAGCTCCAGCCACAATGGCCTTTGTTCAGTTCCTCTAAGCTCATTCCCACCTCCAAGCTTTTGCAGGCACAGTGCCTTCCTCCTGGTTCAGTCTTCCTCCAAGACCTCCCAGCGGAGGGCCCCTCTTCTAGCTGGGCTCCACTCAAATGTCACTCCCGGAACAGTCATCTCAGGTACATACACCCCTGTCACCTTCTTTTACATCACCCCATCTTATTTTCCTGGCCGTCCTCACCCCAATCGGATTTCATAGCCATTTGCTATGGGTTTGTTTAATGTTTGTCCACTCACTTCCCCAGCCCCGGGAGAGCAGGGGTTTTGTCCGTTTTATACAAGGCACCCAGTTCTGTCCCTGGCACGTTTCTTGAAATAACATATTAATCCAGTAAAGATTCTGAGTTTATCTTTCTAACAAAACTGCCTGTCTTGCTGCCTGTGCCCCCAAATGGCGGCTCCTTCCTCCTGGAATCTCCTTCCCTTCCCAACTCAGCTGACCCCTTTCCAGGCTTAGAGCAGGGAGCAGATAGCAAACTGTTCACTCCACAGTCTTAGATACCAAACTGGCCGGGAGGGCTTCCAAACGACAGATGCCAATTTGCATTCTATTTACATGTCATTTGCATGCAGTTTAACTCAAAGCCTGGATCCTCCGCAAGCCCGAGTCCCCACCGAAGAAACTTCTGAATTAAGAAGGTTCCTTGGCTGAAGTGCCGGGGTTTTTGTGCCAGATCCCTCCCCCACTTCTCTTGTCTTTGCGGGGTCCCCCAGGGCTTTCTGGGCTCTGTTCAGGTGCCCCCCGGCCTGGTGCAGTTGGGCGGCCAATGTGGCGCGTGGGCTGGGGCCCCAGGCGGGGACGCCGCTGCCCGCCACACTCCAGGGGCCTTTGTCCGCGCTCCAAGGAGCCGCCCCCTTAGCGAACGGGGGACGGAAAGGGAGGACTGGCTAGGCCTGGGTGTGACAGAGCAAGGACGGAGGAGTGAACCCGCTGCACGGGGGAGATTTCTGGGGCAAGGTCGTTGGCCCCTTCCCAGGCTGTTCAACCGGCTGCCCGGGGCCAAGGCGGGTGCGGGCTCCTCCCGCGCGCTCCCTTTTCGGCCTAAGCGCTAGGGACCCCGGGATGTGTGGGGTCCTTGTGGGGCTGGAAGCCTGTGTCCCCCAAGGAGAGGGGACCGAGAACAGGTCTAGTCCTTATCTCCAGCCTAGCCGCCTCTTCCAGAGGTCCAAGTGCCCCCTGTCTGGAAGGGAAACGCCACTGCCCCCCCCGCCATTGTATGCAGCCGCCCCCTCCTCCCCACCCCTCCCCGTCATTCGTCCCCAGCCCAGGTCTCAGCTCTGCCATCTCCCACCGCCGTGTCCCCCCCTCCCCTTGCTGAGTAATGCGCACTCAAGCCGGCTGCGGGCTTGACCCCCAGCCCCCGCGACAGGTGCGGCTGTTCACCCCCAAAGTCCAGCCCTTGTGCCCCCGGCTGCGTCTGCCCTGTCCACAGTCAGCCCCCAACGCGGCCCCAGGACCAGCCCGCAGCTCCTCACACATGACGAGTCACTAGGACACGGCTGGGCTCCTTTACCCTCCCAGCTGCCCTTCACCTGTGGTCGCCCCCACACCCTCCTGGGAGACTTGGATCTCTACCTGGTCCGGGCACAGTCTCCCTCCCCCCGTAAAGGTCCCCAGATCCTCCCCTCCCCCGCCCACCCCTCTACGGCTCTGCTCTCGTCGCACCGTGGTTCCCCTCGCCCAGATTCCACATCTCCCCCAGCAATAAACTCCCTGGCTTGGGTTGGGGGGGCGCTTAGAAAAACACAAGAAGCGGACCCCCCAATTCTCCCAAATCCACGGCGGGAAAAGTTTCTGGGGTCCCCACAGCGTCCTCCACTGCATCGGCGCAGCTCGCACTTACCGACCCCCGCGGCCCCGCAGCGCCGACGCTCCAGCTGGCCTTCGGCCCGAGTCACATCTCTGCGGCGCGGCCGCGGCCCCCGCTCCACGCACGCCCGCCTGCGGGTCCAGCTTCACTGCAGCGCCTGCCAGAGTCGCTGCCGCGCGAGGCGCCCCCTGGCCCGGCCCGCGCTGCTGCAGCGGCCGCGGCCCCGCCCCCGCCCCCGCCCCCGGCCGGCCCCGCCCCCGGGCCTCCGAGCCCCACCCCCGGTCCCGCCGGCGGTTCCGCGCGGGGCTAGGCGCCGTCTGCATGCACCCCCGGAGCCCAAGCTCGTAGCTTCTAGCCCGGATCTCAGAGACGATTCCCCCGACCTCGTGCCCCCAATTCGGGGACATTCCCCCCACAACGTCAGTGCGCCCGTAAGCAGTCCAGACGAGCCGGGCAACTCCCCAGGGTAGATCCATTTGCGGGAACACTCCCCTAGCCAATACACTTACCGAGGGAGGTATCGCGACCCAGGGGTCCCAGCGCGGAAGCCTTCCTGCCCCCAGGCCACGCTCCAAGGGGGGTTCATAAGCAGTAACTTCCCCGAAACACACCAGCACCAGGTCCAGGACGCAGAGAGGATCGATCCCGCCCGGTGCCTCTCGAAGTCACCAACGCCCCGGTATACACCTAGGCGCACACACACCGCTAGGCCTCCTCCAGGCAGGTTCCTCCTGGACACACTCTTCTCTCTCCTCACTGCCCAACTCCCAGATGTCGTTGTCCGTTTACGCACACTGGGACCAACACCCGCTTCCTTGGCCCCTCGAAACACACACGTCCAGTCGGTGCACCCCTCACGTGGGTCCCTACGCAGGATCGCCACCACCCCTACCGCACACATCACCCACGTACGCACATGTCCACTGCCCTTCAGGGCTCACACACTCAGCGGCCCGGGCCACTGGCCGTGCGCTCCGCAGACGGTCAGGGCACAGCCCGGACGCGTGTCCGCTGGGCGGCCGTGGGACCTGCTTGAAGGAGGGGTCCGGGGCAGCCGTCTCTGAGTCCCCCTCACCCCGTCCTAGTCCTCAGGCCTCTCCGAGGTCGCATTGCTTCGACCAGGCCTGGGAGCTGCGCTCCGGCACCCCATATGGGGCTGGTTCCCTGGGTGACCTTCAGACCATCAAACCCTGGCAGTCTCAGGTGGCCCCCCGCCAAAGCCAGAAACAGACCTTTGAGCAGCATCCCTTCCCTGCACTCCAGATTCTCAGGGTGAGATTTCCTTTCTCCCTCCGCGGTGCGCCCCCCAATCTCTACCCCCGTCGCCGCAACCATCCCAGCCACATAAGACCAAAAGGGATAGGACGGACCCCTGCTCCCCTCTCCCGGGGGCTGCAGGAAGGGGAGATGCAGAACACCTCCTTCTGGGAATAGTGGCAGCCCCTGATCTTTGGGGACCGTGGCCCTTCCAGATACTCCCATCCCTCCCTGCCAGCCTCCCAGTTCCGGTCCGGTTAGGCCACATCCCCCTTGGGCACGCATCTCTGGGATACCTTTTATTATATTCAAGGGAAAATGGAAAGGAAGAACCATAATGGCAGTTTTTCGCCCCACTCCTGGTTTATTTGCATGGATCCTCAGAGCCCAGAACAGTTCCAGGCACAGTAGGCGCTCATTAAATGTTTGCGGGACGACCCAAAGTGTGTTCCCGCCAGACTGCGCAATTGGAAAGTGGATGGGCACTGTCACCTGGTGGCAGCTCTTGGAACTGACGCCGAGATCCTTTTGTCAACGTGGGCAAGTTCACTTTCGTGAGCCACATGTCCTCAACGTCTGCAAAATGGAGATCTTTTTCATCGCACATGCCTATTGGGGTTGTTGTGAAGGTCTAACACGTGCTAACATATAAAGTGCTTCACGCAGGGTCTGGCATGTGGAAAATCCTTAATATGAGCTGATTAACATTGCAGTTACGGTTATATTCCCTTTCCCACTTGTTTTACAGAGGACCCTGACTGTGATGGTCAGTTTCACTTTGGGTGATGATACCACAGGGAGCACAGAGTGAAAATGAAGGAGGACATTGAGTGGCAGGTGCATTCCTTCCCTCCAAAAAGTTCAAACACCCATGGATGATAATAATAACAATAATAGCTGAGTACATAGTGCTTTCTGTGTGCCAGGAGCTATTCTAAGTGTTTTAAATTCTTTAATTCATTTAATCCTCCCAGTTACCCTTTAGGCCAGAGACTGTTATTCTCCCTGTTTTACAGATGGAGACACTGAGGCCAAGAGGGGTTAAGTACTGCCCCGGGGTTAGACGGTTGGCAAAGACAAAATCCAATCCAGGCCATCTGGCTCTGCAGGCCATATTATCCACCAATGGTTAGACTGGTGTCATTTGCTGTCAGGTCAGACATTGTCACAGAGGAACCTCACCTCCCAGGAGAGTTCACTGGGTCTCCAGCCTTGGAGAGAATGGCTCCAGGAGGTCCAGGGAGCCATGTCAGGCTCTCAAGTGCCCAGTTCACTTTGTCTAATGAAAACCAGTGGCTTCCCTGGCTCTATTCCTCACCTGAGAAATGGTCAGTGCACTGCCCATGGCTTCCCACTGACAAATGTCATGGTATGTGTATTAATTTCATACTGCTATGAAGAAATACCCAAGACTGGGTAATTTATAAAGAAAAAGAGATTTAATGGACTCAAAGCTCCACATGGCTGGGTAGGCCTCACAATCATGGTAGAAGGCAAAAGAGGAGCAAAGTCACGTCTTATATGGTGGCTATATGGTGGCAGGCAAGAGTGCATGTGCAGGGGAACTGCCCTTTATTAAACCATCAGATCTTGTGAGACTTATTCACTATCATGAGAACAGCATGGGAAAAACCCACCCCCATGATTCAATTACCTCCCTCCAGGTCCCTCCCATGACATGTAGGGATTATGGGAGCTACAATTCAAGATGAGATTTGGGTGGGGACACAGCCAAACCATATCAGTGTGTAATTAGATATTTGCATGGCTCTCTGCTTGGTGTCTGTCTCCCCTACAAGACTGTATCTCAGTGCTGTGCCGTCCAATCTACACTGTCTGATAATGGCAGCCGCTAAACATGTGCCCACTAGGCACTTTATATGTGACTTGTATGACTACAGGATTGAACTTTCAGTTTTTGTTTGTTTGTTTTTTTTTAGATGGAGTCACTGTCACCCAGTCTGGAGTACAATGGCGCTATCTCGGCTCACTGCAATCTCCACCTCCTGGGTTCAAGTGATTCTCCTGCCTCAGCCTCCTGAGTAGCTGGGATTACAGGCGTCCACCACCATGCCTGGCTAATTTTCGTATTTTTAGTAGAGATGGGGTTTCACCATGTTGGTCAGTCTGGTCTCGAATTCCCGACCTCAGGTGACCCACCTGCCCAGGCCTCCCCAAGTGCTGGGATTACAGGCGTGAGCCACCGAGCCCGGCCTCAGTTTTATTTATTTTTAATTGATTTAAATTTAGGCTGGACATGCATGATGACTCATGTCTATAATCCAGCACTTTGGGAAACTGAGGTGGGAGGATTTCTTGAGGCCAGGAGTTTGAGGCTGCAGTGAGCTATAATTGCACCCATGCTCTCCAGCCTGGGTGACAGAGTGAGACTCTGTCTCTTAAAATAAATAAATAAGTAAATAAATAATCAATAACCACATGTGGCTACTGTATGCATAGCATATCCTTAAGCTTGATGAGGACAAGAACTATGTCTATTGTTTATCCTGGCATCCAGTGCGTGGCACAGGGCATGGCTCATCGAATATTTGTTTACTAAAAGAATAGTTAACTTTGGGAGGTCAAGTTAGCAGGATTGCTTGAGGCCAGGGAGTTTGAGACCAGCCTGAGCAGCATAGGGAGACCTGTCTCTACAAAACATTAAAAATTAGCCAGGCATAGTGGCGTGCACCTGTAGTCCTAGCTACTCAGGAGGCTGAGGCGGGAGAATCGCTTAAGCCCGGGAGGTCGAGGCTGCATTGAGCTGTGATCATGCCACTACACTCCAGCCTGGGCAACAGTGCAAGACTCCATCTCAAAAAAAAAAAATTTTTTTTAAGAAAATAAAAAAAAGAATAATTGAATTCCAGCTTTGCTTTCCCCTTTCAAGTATGTCTATTCTGTGTCCAGACCTTTCATGATCATCCTCTTGTCTCTGCTAATAAGCAGAACATCTCCTAAAGGAATGTGGCACTCAGGGCTTTGGAGTTGTCAAAGTCGATTTCCATGAATCATCTTGCCTGAACAACAGAACCTTCTGAGGTTGGTGTCTGTGTCGCATGTGGTAAAATGAGGCTTGGGAAGGTTGAGGGACTTTCCCTTGGTCTCACAGCTGTATGTGTCAGAGGCAGGACTCAAACCCAGTTACCCATGGTCTTCTCACTTTCCACTGTGATCCCAGTGCCTGACCATGGGACCTCAGCAGGGTCTCTTCAGTGCCAGGCTCTGTGCCTGATCCCGTTGGTGGTCCCTAGATGGATATGGTGTGATCTTGCACTCAGGATGCTCCATGTCAATGGAGGAGGTTGACCTTCTCGGTAGAGTGTGAGGGGGGTTAGGACAGGGCACTGTGGAAGGACCTCTGTCTTAGTCCATTTTGTATTGCTATGAAGGAATACCTGAGGCTGGGTAGTTTTTTGTTTGTTTGTTTGTTTGTTTGTTTTTGAGATGGAGTCTTGCTCTGTCTCCCAGGCTGGAGTGCAATGGCATGATCTCGGCTCACTGCAACCTCCATCTCCTGGGTTCCCCAAGCGATTGTCCTGCTTCAGCCTCCCAAATAGCTGGGACTACAAGCTATTGCATACGCCACCATGCCCAGCTAAGTTTTTGTATTTTTAGTAGACATGGGGTTTCACCATGTTGGCCAGGCTAGTCTCGAACTCCTGACCTCAGGTGATCCACCCGCCTCGGCCTCCCAAAGTGCTGGGATTACAGGTGTGAGCCACCACATGTGGCTGGGACTGGGTAATTTATAAAGAAAAGAGATGTATTAGCTCACAGTTCTGCAGGCTGTACACGTTTGACCCCAGCATCTGCTCGGCCTCTGGGGAGGCCTCGGGAAGCTTTTGCTCATGGCAGAAGGCGAATGGGGAGCTGGTGTGTCACATGGCGAGAGAGAGAGAGCCAGAGAGATGCCGGGCTCCTCTAATCAGCCAGCTCTTGTGTGAACTAACAGAGAGAGAACCCACTCACTACTGTGAGCCACTCATGAGGGATACATCCACATGACCCAGACACCTCCAACACCGGGAATCACATTTCAACATGAAATTTAACGTGGACAAATATTCAAACCATATCAACTTCCTACCTACATACTTTGCTTGGCTAGGCTGAGAAGGTTCCCAGGCTCCCCTGAGACTCCAGCACTTGATGTTCTCCTTAGAGCAGCAATGGGGGACACTTCAGGCTGTTGGCATTTCTGGAAGCATCTTTGGGGTGAGCAGCCAGGAGCACTGAGTAAACAAATGTGGAACACACCATTGCCACCATTCCACTATTTTGTGCCCATGACAGGCATCACCAATGGATTGCTGCTTTTAATGCCCTCAGTCTGTAACTGTAACTGCCCATTATGTGTTAGAAAATTCAGGCTGGGTACAGCGGCTCACACCTGCAATCCCAGCACTTTTAGAGGCTGAGGTGGGAGGATCACTTAAGCCATGGAGTTCAAGACCAGCCTGGGCAACAGAGCAAAACTCCCATCTCTACAAAAAATTTGTAACCAGGTGTGGTAGCATGTGCCTGTAGTCCCAGCTACTCTGGAGGCTGAGGTGGGAGGGTTGTTTGAGTCTAGGAGGTTGAGGCTGCAGTGAGCTGTGATCAC
This sequence comes from Homo sapiens, assembly GCF_000001405.40. NCBI lineage: Eukaryota > Metazoa > Chordata > Mammalia > Primates > Hominidae > Homo > Homo sapiens. Next base: position 19,890,557 of record NC_000016.10, read on the forward strand.
ACCACTGCATTCCAGCCTGAGTGACAGAGCAAGACCTTGTCAAAAAAAAAAAAAAAAAAAAAGAAAGAAAGAAAGAAAGAAAAGAAAAGAAAAGAAAAAAGAAAAGAAAATTCATTCACAGTGGCAAAGTGCTCTTCAGTTGTTTCTGGGAGTCCCCAATGGGGTGTCCCCATAGACATCCACAAACCAGTGTGTCAGTTGCAGTCAAAATGTGACTGCCACCCTCTCTTCCTACAGGTTCTTGTCTGTGAGTACGCAAGATTGCTTGGAGTAGCCTCATCATGGCCCCATTGGTCCCCTGCAAGGCTGCCATGGGGACACTCTCCCAAAGCCCCCAAAGCTGTCAGGAAACATTTAAGCAGCAGGACAATTGTTACGGCCTACACAATAGGGATGTTTGTTATCACACAACAATAAGTCGGGATGTGAGTGATCTCACAGTTGGTCCATTGCTCAACAATGTAAACAGGGGCCCAGTGTCTTTCTAGTAGTCTTCTGATCAGCTGTCCTCTGCTTGGGACCTCATGGTCACAAGATAGCTGCCATGGCACCAAACATCACATCTTCACTTGACAATCTCCAGTATGGGAAAGAAGCTGTCCAGGGAAGAGAGCTCTTCTTGTGAGTCTCCCTGTTAATCAGAAAGAAAATCATTCCTAGAACTGCCCTACTTCTCACCCCAGGTGCAGAATTACCCTTATATTTCCTTGGTCAGAACTGAATCACCTCGCTTCCCCTAGTACAAAGGAGGCTGAGAAGTGAGCTCTTGGCACCAAGAGACTCAGTAAAGAAGGAGGGTGAGGGAAAGGTGCTTGAGGCAGGAAACCTCAGTGTCTGCCCCAAGTGACCTTCCTGAGAGTTGAAGGAGCAGGGGCTTGAGCTGGTGGCACACATGTCCACTGCCCTACCCAGCCACCTGTAAGGGTAGCTTCTGAGCTTCTGAGTCACCACTATCTCAGGGGGATCAAACCCAATCCCAGGGCCAGATAGAAAGTGTGTGGCCCCTTTCCCTTCTCCCCTCCCCTCCTTTTCTCCTGACGCAAATCTGTCACAGAAGCAGCTCTCTATCTTCATAGAAGGTTTCTGCTTTACCCTTTGGGAGGCCGAGGTGGGCAGATAGCCTGAGGTCAGGAGTTCGAGACCAGCGTGGCCAACATGGTGAAACCCTGTCTCTACTACAAATACAAAAAAATTAGCTGGGCATGGTGTCACATGCCTGTAATCCCAGCTACAATGGAGGCTGAGGCAGGAGAATCGCTTGAACCTGAGAGGCAGAGGTTGCAGTGAGCCGAGATCACGCCACTGCGCTCCAGCCTCGGCAACAGAGTGAGACTCGGTCTAAAACAACAACAACAAAAAAAGGTTTCTGCTTTGTCATTTCACTACTAGAAGTTCCCTTGCTGTGTCCCCAAAACAAAGGAACTGTCTGTCCCCCCCAAAGACAAACTCAAGCCTCTACCCCTATGTAAAACAAAGAATGATTTGAATGGTTGCAATTCTAGGTTATTTATTTATAGGCGTCTATGAACTTCCTGGTGGAGGTTTAAGAAATGTTGGACCATTTATCTTTACTCGGTTATGAAGCTTAGAGTGATGTGGGATCCACTTTAAGAGAAAGGGTGGAGGCAGGGCCTGGATGTGCCAGCCCCAGAGCCCAGGCTGTAACCACTGCCCCATCCTGCTGTTTTACCCCCGGGCAGGAATCCTCTGATCAGCTTCACTTTCTCTTAGTTTTTCCTTATGACACTGTGATGTACTTCCAAATCACCAGGCTCTTGTCCACATGAACACTCTGGTTCAGAGGGTGGGAGAGGATTCGTACCCCCAAAAGCTCCCAGCTGGGCTGTCAGACCCAGGACCTCACTCTCAGTGGCAAGACCTTGGCCCAGTTCTTCTCAGTCCTGGCTGCTCATGAGAATCACCTGAGTCAAAAAAAAAAAAAAAAAAAAAAAAATTAGGTGCCTGGGTCCTCTCCTGGACCAATTCAATTAAGTGAGAATCACTGGGTCTGGAGGCTGAAGCAGGCTCAGACCATTGCTAAACAGGGTGGGAGGAGATGTCAGAAACACTGAGGATAGAATCTCCGGGTGGCCATGTCATCTTAGAGAAATCACTTAGTTTTTCTGCATCTTGGTTTCTGCATCTGTGAGATGAAGGGCTCTTAATAGTCTCCACCTGTTAGAGCTGAGTGAGACGCAACCAACTGGACTCAGCCAGTGCCCGGGAGGGGTCAGGTGTTGTGGTTTTAATTTAAAAGGGCTTGAAGGAGATTTGGATCAAGAAAGCAAACCTGATCTCCAGTTACTCGTTATTCCTTTGGTGAGTACGAATGCGGTGAAAACATGAAAATATGCCTGTTTCTTTCTACTCTCTTTCCTCAATGTACCAAGTGGTTCTTGAAGTGTTGTCCAGAGAACCTCTCTGGAGGTCTGCAGGATCAAAACTGTTTGCATAATAGCACTAAGACCTTATTTTCCGCTTTTACCGTCATTCTCTCACGAGTGTACAGTGGAGTTTCCCAGTGGCTTTTGGAGATGTGATGTTGCAACAGGCCGATGGCGGGAGCAGGCGTGACAGTCCCGCTGTCCTCTATTAAGTCAGATATTTCGGAGGTTCTCAAAAATGTAAACTATTGCTGTGCTTCTCACTAATTTTCACGCACGTCCATGTGAAAGACCACCAAACAGGCTTTGTGTGAGCAGTAAAACTTTTTAATCACCTGGGTGTAGGCGGGCTGAGTCCGAAAAGAGTCAGTGAAGGGAGATAGGGGTGGGGCCATTTTATAGGGTTTGGGTAGGTAAAGGAAAATTAGTCAAAGGGGGTTGTTCTTTGGCAGGCAGGGGCGGGGGTCACAAGGTGGCCAGGAGAAGGAATTTCACAAGGTTAATCGCTCAGTTAAGGTGGGGCAGGAACAAATCACAATGGTAGAATGTCATCAGTTAAGGCAGGAACCGGCCATTTTCACTTCTTTTGTGATTCTTTACTTGCTTCAGGCCATCTGGACATATAGGTGCAGGTCGCAGGGGATACAGTGGATTAGCTTGGGCTCAGAGGCCTGACACTAATGGCTTTTTCCTTTAGAAAATACAGTTATTCTTCATAAAAAAGCTTTTATGTTAACATGTAATAGGTTTATTGTATGAATATTTTTAAATTTCCTTGGCTTTAATTTGAAATAGGGTGAATATTGGTAGGTATTTACTCGGTACTTACCTACTAATATTACCTCCTCCAAGTCCTTTAATTTTATTTATTTATTTAGTTTTTTGAGATGGACTCTCACTGGGTCACCCAGGCTGGAGGGCAGTGGCGTGATCTCAGCTCACTGCAAACTCCACCTCCTCTCAGGTTCAAGTGATTCTTGTGCCTCAGCCTCCTGAGTAGTTAGGATTACAGGTGTGCACCACCACACCTGGCTAATTTTTTGTATTTTTAGTACAGACTGAGTTTCACCATGTTGGCCAGGTTGGTCTTGAACTTCTGACCTCAAGCAATCCACTGGTCTTGGCCTCCTAAAGTGCTGGGATTACAGGTGTGAGTCACCATGCCTGGCCTCCAAGTCCTTTTAAATAAGAACAATAGCTCTTAATCTCTACTGGGCACTGACTCTGTCTGAAGCGGGATATAAAGTATTGGCATATACCTAAACAGAAGCTCTTTGGGGGTCTTCCACCAATTTATCAGTTTGAAGAGTGTGAAAGTGTCCCAAGACCATGAAGATTGAAAACCACCACTCAAGGAACAATTATTTAGAACCATCTCTCCAAAAGAGTACAAAAGAGTAACAAACAGTTATATAGCATTTACAGTTTGCCAGGCACTGTTCTTTTTTTGTTTTTTTTTGAGATGGAGTCTTGCGTTGTCACCCAGGCTGGAGTGCAGTGGCGCAATCTCAGCTCACTGCAACCTCTGCCTCCCAGGTTCAAGTGATTCTTCTGCCTCAGCCTCCCGAGTAGCTGGGACTACAGGTGCATGCCACTATGCTTGGCTAATTTTTGTGTTTTTAGTAGAGATGTGGTGTCACCATATTGGCCAGGCTGGTCTCGAACTCCTGACCTTGTGATCTGCCCACCTCGGCCTCCCGAAGTGTTGAGATTACAGACATGAGCCACCATGCCCGGCCCAGGCACTGTTCTAAACACTTTGTATACACACACACGCATACAAATAAACTTTCTGATTCTCATGACAATCCTATAATGTGTACTATATCCCCATTTTACAGAAGTGCAAATCGAGGCACAGGGAGTTGCTCAAGTCCCCTGACAGAGGCCATGGGCCTGGGCTTCGTGTGCAGAAGAGCCTCCTCTAGAGGTCCTCCTGCCAGTTGGACCTTGTCTCTGTTCTGTCCCACTGCTGGGAAGGGGAGAGTCCTCTTCCTCCTCCTCCTCCTCCTCCTCTCTCTCTCTGTTTTCACATTTCTTACTGAGGGCTTGGCCCAGCCAACTGTGAAAGATTGTACCAGACAGGGCAGGCTGAGGTGGGAGCTGCGAGGTGGGGAAGGGAGCCTGAGGTGACTCGAGTTACATAAGGGCCCCTGGGACAGGGGACAGTTATATAATGGTGGGGAGAGGAGGGCAGGGATGGCGCAGTGAGTCAGGGCTAGGGAAGACACTGGGAGCTGGAAGAGGAAAGAGGAGGACAGGGCAGAGGAAATTGTCCGTTGCTAGCCAGGGTGGCTGCCATGCAGGAGGAAACCGGGACAGGGGATCGGGGCAGTTCTTCCATCCTGTTGCTGCCCCCAATGCCAGGGCCCCTGCCCTCACAGGCTCCATCCTCCACTCTCCTGGCCCCACTGAGTACAGATGATTCTGGAAGTCCTCTCATATATTTTTACCAAACTCCTTGACTGTTTAATTAACCAGAGCCCATTTCTGTTGCTTGCAAACAAGAACCCAGAGCAATACAGAGCCCTTTCCTGCCCAAATACCTGAATGGATAGGGGTCTGGAAACTTCCAGGCACGTGGTAGGTGCTCAATGTATGCACATCGAATGGATAACGACATAATAGCCGGGTGTGGCTAATGCCTGTAATCCCAGCACTCCGGGAGGTGGAGGTGGGAGGATCACCTGAGCCCAGGAACTTGAGACCAGCCTGGGCAGCAACCCCGTCTCTACCAAAAAAAAAAAAAAACTAAAAAATTAGACAGGCATGGTGGAGCGCACCTGTGGTCCCAGCTACTCAGGAGGGGCTGAGGCAGGAGGATCACTTGAGCCCAGGATTTCGAGGCTGCAGTGAGCTGTGATCACACCACTGCACTCTAGCCTGGGCCACAGGAGACTGTCTCAAAAAAAAAAAAAAATCCTAACCCCAAGGTATCAGAAAGTGGGGCCTTTGGGAAGTAATTAAGTCTTGAGGGTGGCCATTGTGTTCTTATCCATTCGATGTGCACACATTGAGCATCTACCATGTGCCTGGAAGTTTCCAGACCCCTACCCATTCAGGTATTTGGGCAGGAAAGGGCTCTGTATTACTCTGGGTTCTTGTTTGCAAGCAACAGAAATGGGCTCTGGTTAATTAAACATCAAGGAGTTTGGTAAAAATATATGAGAGGACTTCCAGAATCATGAGTGGGATTAGACCTCTTGTAAAGGAGACCCCAGAAAGTTTTTTAGCCCTGTTTTCACCCTGTAGGTGACACAGTGAGAGGACGGCATCTGTGAACCAGCAAGGAGGCCCTCACTAGACATGGAATCTGCCAGCGCCTGGATCTTAGACTCCCCACCCAGAGCTGTGAGCAAGACATCTCTATCATTTCTAAATTACTCAGTCTTGGCTGGGCGCAGTGGCTCACACCTGTAATCCCAGCACTTTGGGAGGCCGGCATGGAAGGATCACTTGAGGTTAGGAGTTGGAGACCAGCCTGGCCAACGTGTGAAATCCCATCTCTGCTAAAAATACAAAATTAGCCTGGTGTGGTGGTGGGTGCCTGTAATCCCAGCTATTCAGGAGGCTGAGGCAGGAGAATCGCTTGAATCCAGGAGGCAGAGGTTGCAGTGAGCCAAGATTGTGCCACTGCACTCCAGTCTGGGCAACAGAGTGAGAATGTTTCAAAAAAATAAAAAAATTACTCAGTCAAATAAAGAATTTTGTTATAGAAGCCCGAACGAATCAGGACAGAGATCAGAACTTCTCTGATGTATTGGAATAATCTTCAGTGAAACTGGAGTCTGAGCTTGTGTCCTGGACTTAGTGTCAGGGCTGGGACTTTTCTTTGTTTTTTTTTTTTTTTTTTTTTTTGAGACAATCTTGCTCTGTCACCCAGGCTGGAGTGCAGTGGTGCAATCTCGGCTCGCTGCAACCTTCACCTCCTGGGTTCAAGCGATCCTCCTGCCTCAGCCTCCCGAGTAGCCGGGATTACAGGCGTGTGCCACCACGGCCAGCTAATTTTTGTATTTTTAGTAGTGGCAAGGTTTCACTATGTTGGCCAGGCTGGTCTCGAACTCCTGGCTTCAGGTGATCTACCCACTTCAGCCTCCCAAAGTGTTGGGATTACATGCATGAGCCACCGCGCCTGGCCAGGGCTGGGATTTTTCTTTAGTGGGAAGATCTCTTCTGACACAGGGGGTGGCTGAGGGTGGGAGGCCCTCTGTACTCAGCCCCTCTGGCTAGGGGAGCAGTGGCTGAGCAGGTGAGTTGACTGTGGTCAGCCCTGGGGCAGTAGGCACAGCAAGGCAGCCCCACCTGCATGGTAATGGTGGGGGTGGTGGTAGAGACGCAAGAGTACCTTTTCAGACCTTCCTGCGGATTTGATGAACTTTCTTTCCTGACTCAAAAAAAAAAAAAAAAAAAAATCCACATTGGCTTTTGTCTTCTTCATCGCCCATAAACTTTGTCCTTCTTAACCCATCCCACTTCCCTCAGTTGTTCGCTAGAGGACGGGGCCCAAACAGGGTAGAGAGAAGTGCCGGGTGAGGGAAGGGCTTGCTCTACCTGAGAGCAGCCTGTGTCTCCGGGGAAGGCAATTTATCTCCCTCTGCCCTCTGTATGGGGGTGAAGAGTGGCTGTAGGGGTAGATGTGGGAGATGGTGGTGACCTCCAGACTTCAGAGATCCTTATGAGGCAGGACAATTGCATGACAAGGTGTCTCAGCCAGCTCTGGCTGCTATAACAAAATACCATAGAATGGGTGGCTTAAACAAGCACATTTATTTCTTGGAGGCTGGAAATTCAAAATCAAGGTGCCAGCATGGGTGGGTTCTGGGAAGGGCTCTCTTCTTGGCTGTAGACGGCTGCCTTCTTGCTGGATAGTGATATGGTGGGGAGATTATATATATATATATATATATATATATCTCCACACACACACACACACACACACACACACACACACACACAGAAGAGAGAGAGAAAGAGAGTGCGAGCGCATGCCAGAGAGCTTTGTTTTGTTTCTTATAAGGGCACTAATCCCATCGTGGGGGCCCTGCTCTCATGAGCTCTTCTAAACCTAATCACCTCTCTAAGGCCCCACCTCCTAATACCATCCCATTGGGGATGAGGGCTTCAACATATGAATTTAGGGGGACACAAACATTCAGTTGATAACAAGAAATATCTGGGGGATCCAGGTGAAGCAAGAGGGGATCGGTGTGTGCCCAGTAAGCGGAATTGGAGTCGGGCATGAGAAAGCCACCTGCCGGAGCTGCTCCCCAGGAATACAGCTGGTGGTGCAGGTGGGCACCTTGGGAAGCAGGCTCTGAGGTGGAGACTGGCACATGGGAAAGGTTTTGGGAGTGCTCTCGGGATCAGCATCCAGGGTGGGAGGAGGCAGCACTGGGCAGAGGGACAGGTTGGGCTGCATTGCCTTCCCAGAAGCTCTGGAGCTGGCCTCGTAGAGTTGCCCCACACTGGGGAAGGGGGGCTGAGCCTTCATGCCTCACATCAAAGCGGCTGCAGACCCTGGCTGAGTCTGCTCACCTGCTTCCTGAAAGGAAGAGGCTGGGAAGGGACTTGGCCACCAGCAGGTATTCATTGTCTCCATTCTCTGTTACTCACTCTTGCTCCCCTTGCCCTTGGCCGTGCCCCCTGCTGACCTCAGTGGTTCACCCAGGGGCTGATCAAGACCTTCGTTGCTGAGGGTCCTGAGCCCCTGGTCATCATCCCCTCCCTTCTCAGGCTGTGGCTGTTGCGTGTGACCACTTCCCATCAAAAGTGAGCCAGAGGCTGGGTGCGGTGGCTCATGTCTGTAATCCCAGCGCTTTGGGAGTCCGGGATGGGAGGATCAGTTAAGGTCTGGAGTTTGAGACCAGCCTGGGTAACATAGTGAGACCTTGTCTCTGTTAAAAAAAAAAAAATTAAAAATTAGCTGGGCAGGGTGGTGTGCACCTGTGGTCCCAGCTACTTGGGAAGCTGAGGCGGGAAGATCACTTGAGCCCAGGAGTGGGAGGCTGTAGTGAGCTATGATGGCACCACTGAACACCACCTATGTAACACAGTGAGATGCTGTCTCTCTCTTTAAAAAAAAAAAAAAAAAAAGACGGGCGACTAGAAATGCCCAGGTGAAATCACCCGAGGGCTAAACATCTTCCCTGACCCCAGACGGCCCTCCCTCCTCCTGAGGGTGGAGCTCATTCCTCCTCCCAGGACAGAGGCTCCTTTCTTTGCCTGCTCATCTTTCCCACCGTGAAGCGTACAAAGAGACCAGGTGGCAGCTGCAGCGTGAGATTTAATGGGATATTTTCTGTGTCCCTGGTGGAAATGTTTTTTCCTCTGGAAGCCAAGACCTCAACATCCTGCAGAGCCCAGAGTTTCAGCTGAGTGGTGGTGGTGGCTGCCGCCAGGTCCCTACACTCCCTGTCCCCACACCCAACCTGCCTCCCAAATGCCCATCCCTGCCTGACCCAGGAGGGCCGAGTGTGCATCCATGACCTAGGTCGTGACATTCCCCCTCCAACTCCGCTTTCAGGTCTCATTCAGTGGTGAATTTGGAGGCTCCCTCTTCTTCTCTTAGACTGCATTTCCCCGGATTTCCACTTGGGGGAGACGTCTGTCTTTGTCCTGACCTTTACATCTGTCTCTGGTCAGACACCTCATTTAAAAAAAAATCTTCACTGTCTTTGGCGTGTCTATGCTTTGGGCTTTGTTATAAATGAGTAGACGGGATTGAGTGGAAGAAGTAATGGTACCCCTGATCATCTTTTTTCTTTTCTTAGAGACAGAGTCTGTCTCTGTTGCCCAGGCTGGAGCGCAGTGGTGCAATCATAGCTCACTACAACCTCAAACTTGGGCTCCAGTGATCCTCCTACCTCAGCCTCCAGAGTAGATGGGACTAAAGGTGTGCGCCATCATGTCCTTCTAATTTTTAAATTTTTTGTAGGGATAGGGTCTCACTAAGTTGCCCAGGCTGGCATCTAACTCCTGGTCTCAAGTGATCCTCTTGCCTCGGCCTCCCAAAGTGCTGAGATTACAGGTGTGAGCCACAGCGCCCAGCCTCCTCTGACAAATTTTTGAATGCACAATCTCTACACTGCCCAGGGCTCCCCAGAGACAGACAGATTCCTGGGTTCTGAGACATGACATGGGGCAAATTCTTAAAGGCGTCTGAGAACATATCTCTTCTAAGGATTAGTAATATTACTTACAGTGTGTATGAACATATATTTGTTTATTAATTCATTCAATTGTTCATTCATTCTTTGCCCTATTCCAAAAAGAATGGAAGCAAGCCCATTCCTTATTAAACAACCTCACAGACAACATTGAAAACAAGCAAATCACAGTATGCTTGTGGCTGAAGTTGCTTGGAGTCCGAAAGGTCTAAATAACAGCTGGTGGCTGTAATCCCAGCATTTTGGGAGGCTGAGGCAGGTGGACCATTTGAGGTCAGGAGTTCAAGACCAGCCTGGCTAACATGGTGAAACCCTGTCTCTACTAAAAATACACAAATTAGCCGGGTATGGTGTTGCTTATCTGTAATCCCAGCTACTCGGGAGGCTGAGGCAGGACAATCACCTGAACCCGGAAGGCGGAGGTTGCAGTGAGCAGCGATCGCACCACTATACTCCAGCCTGGGCAACAAAGTGAGACTCCGTCTCAAAAAAAAAAAAAAAAAAAAAAAAAACATCAGCTGATGATAGAAATTCACAGTAGCACAGATCACTGTTTGAGTTGCCAACGCTGCATCGTAAACTACTCCAAAATGCGGTGGCTTAAAATACAACCACTGATTTGCTCCTGACTGTGTGATTGGCACAGGGCTTATCTGTGGTTCCCATGGCATCCACTAGGGCTGGAATATCCAAGCTCATCTCTCATGCTCTAGGGCCCTCTTTTCAAGTGAACTTCTCTCCAGTAGGGTTGGTGGACTTCTTTAGGCCATGATGGCTGGGTTCCAAGAGAGAGTGGTCCAACAGGCCAATCCTCAGAGCAAATCTGCTGGCCTCCTACGTGCAAACGTCCTATTGGCTGAAGCAAATCCCATGGCCAAGCCACGTCAGTGTGGGAGGGGACCACACAAGGGGGCCCATTTGGGGGCCGCCAATGTCATTGTCCACAACCGTCACTTGAATCTCTCTTGCAGTCATGTCATAGTAGACAGAGCTGGGCTTGAATCCTACCTCTGCCACATACCAGCTTGTTAGGGGTTGAATGGTAACCCTTCTGCTGTGGTTTGGATATTTACCCCACCTCCGAAACTCATGTTGAAACTTAATCCCCAATGTGATGGTATTGAGAGGTGGGGCCTTTAAGAGGTGATGAGATCACGAAGGCTCTGCCTTCATGAATGGGTTAATCCACTTATGGATTAATGGGTTAATGGGTTAACGGATTATCATGGGAGTGGAACTAGTGGCTTTATAAGAAGAGGAAGAGAGACCTGAATTAGCAAGTGAGCAGCTCAGCCCGCTCACCACGGGATGCCCTGTGCTGCCTGGGGACTCTGCAAAGGGTCCCCCACCAGCAGGAAGGCCCTCACCACGTGTGCTCCCTTGACCTATGGACTCCCAGACTCCGTAACTGTAAAAAAAAAAAAAATTCTTTTTCTTTATAAATTACCCAGTTTCAGGTCTTCTGTTATAAGCAACAGAAAATGGATGGAGACACATTCTTCCCAAATGTATATGTTGACATTCTAACCCCTGGTACCTCAGAATGTGACCTTATTTGGAGAGAGGGTCTTTACAGAGGTCATCAAGATGAAGAGAGGTCATGAGGGTGGCCCTAATCCAATACAACTGGAAGTTCATATTCCGGGCGCTTGGCCTGGAAGTTTGGGTTTCATTCCGAGTGAGGGGAAGGCCTTGGAGGGTCACTGGCGTCCTTACGATAAGGGGAAATTTGGACACAGACAGACACAGAGGGAAGATGAGGTCGAGAGAGAGAGAGAGAGAGACAGAGAGAGAGAAGATGACAATCTACAGTCCAAGGAGAGAGGCCTTGAATGCGATTTTCCTTTACAGCCCGCAGAAGGAACCAACCCTGCCAATACCTTGATTTTGGACATCTGGCCTCCTGCACTGTAAGCCGATAAATGTCTGTTGTTTAAGCCCCACAGTCTGTGGTACTTGGTTATAGCAGCTCTGAATGCTAATCCATAGCTATAGGAGGTGAACAAGTCATAGAATTTCTTTGCATCCCAGTTTTCTCCTCTGTAACACAGGGCTAATAATAACACCTATATGACTTGATACAGCAACTTACAAGCACTTGTTACTTAGCAGGCACTGTCCCAGGCCCTTGGTATACAGGAGACAGATGACATTTCTGGTCTCATGGAGCTTACCTTCATGACAGACAGAAAATAAGCAAGTAAATACAATAATTGAGATAATTTGAGATAGCGATAAATGCTAGGAAGAAAATAAAATGGGCTGGATGTAGTGGCTCGTGCTTGTAATCCCAGTACTTTGGGAGGCTGAGGCAGGAGTATCACTTGAGGCCAGGAGCTTGAGACCAGACTGGGCAACATAGCAAGACCCTGTCTTTACTAAAAAAAAATTAGCCAGGTGTGGTGGTGCACGCCTGTAGTCCCAGTTACTCGGGAGGCTGAGGCAGGAGGATCACTTGAATCCAGGAATTTGGGGCTGCAGTGAACTGTGATTGCACCACTGTATTCCAGCCTGTGTGACAGAGCAAGACCCTGTCTAAAATAAAGTAAAATAAAATAAATAAAATAATGTGATGTGCTAGAATGTAACAGGTATAAAAGGAACTCCTTTGGATAAGGCGATCTGGGCAGGGCTCTGTGAGCAGGGACCCGCAGTATGAGAAGTTACTACAGGTGGAAGATGAGCGGGAGGAGTGGTTCAGACAGCAGAAAAGGCAGGTGCAAAGGGCCTGGGGTGGGAAGGAGTATTGCATGTTGGAGGAACAGGAAGAAAGACGGAGTGGCTGGAGCATGGTGAACAAGAGGGAGGGTGTTGGGCCATGGGGTCATGGGAGTTGATGCTGAACAACCTTGTAGTTGGAAGTTTTTTGTTTGTTTGTTTGTTTGTTTGTTTTTTGAGATGGAGTCTTGCTCTGTTGCCCAGGCTGGAGGTGCAGTGGCAAAATCTCTGCTTACTGCAACCTCCGCCTCTTGGGTTCAAGCGATTCTCCTGCCTCAGCCTCCCTAGTAGCTGAGATTACAGGCGTGTGACACCATGTCCGGCTTATTTTTTTTTTTTGTATTTTTTAGTAGAGATGGGGTTTCACCATGTTGGTCAGGCTGGTCTCAAACTCCTGACTTCAAATGATCTGCCCACCTCAGCCTCCCAAAGTGCTGGGATTACAGGCGTGAGCCACCACGCCCGGCCTGGAAGTTGGGGTTTTATTCTGAGCCAGGGGAAGGCCTTGGAGGGTGGACAGCAGAGCAGCAGCAAGATCTGATCTTTGGATTAAGAAAACCACTCCAGCTGCTGGGTGGAGAATGGTCCGGGAGCACCAAAGCAGAAACTGGAGATCAGGTGGGAGGCTATGCAGATATCAGAGGACTTCCACCCAACCTGAGCTGCTGGCTGACCTTGACTTTCTCTGTCCCTTCCCTTTGATAGGCAGAAGAATGTACTTCCCTTCTCCCACCTCCAAGGATGTCCATCTCCTGGTCCCCACATCCTGTGACTATGTCACAGGGCAAAAGGGACTTTGCAGATGTGATTAAGTTGGGATGGGGAGATGACTCGGGCTGATCTGGGTGGCCCAATATAATCACCAGTATCCTTATGAGGGGCAAGAGAGGAGACAGGAGAGTCTAGGTCAGAGAAGGAGATGTGAGGATGGAAGCAGAGACTTTCTAGCACCTCGCATTATTTTATTTTATTTTAGACAGGGTCTTGCTCTGTCACGCAGGCTGGAGTGCAGCAGTGCAATCATAGTTCACTGCAGCCTCAAATTCCTGGATTCAAGTGATTCTCCTGCGTCAGCCTCCTGAGTAGCTGGGATTACAGACACCTGTCACCACGCCCGGCCAATTTTTTGTATTTTCAGTAGAGATGGGGTTTCACTATGTGGGCCGGGCTGGAGTTGAACTCCTGACCTCAAGTGATACACCTGCCTTGGCCTCCCAAAGTGCTGGGTTTACAGGCGTGAGCCATCACGCCCGGCCTATTGTTCCCTTTTTTATGTCATGTGTACCCAATGTTTAGTTTCCACTTATAAGTAAGAGTGTGCAGTATTTGGTTTTCTGTTTCTGACTGGTTTGCTTAGGATAATGGCCTCCAGCTCCATCCATGTTGCTGCAAAGGACATGGCTTCGTCCTTCTTTTGGGCCATGTAGTATTCCATGGTGTATCTGTACCACATTTTCTTTATCCAATCCGCCATTGACGGGCACCTAGGTTAATTCGATGTCTTTGCTACTGTGCATAGGAAACCTGCATGTTTTTCTGATAAATTTGATGAAGAGTGTACCATTGTGAGGAAGTATGATTAGACACAAGGGGCATGATCTAACGGTAGTAAACTGGGGGAAATTTAGCAAGGCCTGTTTGTTTAGATTCTTAGCATCTCTTTGTCTTTGGGGATAAGGATGTCAGCCTGGGCAACATGGCAAGACCCCATCTCTACCAAAAAAAAAAAAAAACCTTAGGTATTGTGCATGCCTCTGGTCTAAGCTATTACTAGGGAGGCTGAGGCAAGAGAATTGCTTGAGCCCAGGAGTTTGAGGCTGCAATGAGCTATGATCGCACCACTGCACTCCAGCTGGGCAATGGAGCAAGACCCTGTCTCAAAACCAAACAAAAGAAAGGATAAGATATTCCTTTCCTCTGGGTGGCCACCCCTCAAATGAAGGTTTTATGACCGGCTTCAGGGGAGCAGGGTGAAGGGAAGGTGAGAGTGGCCTTCCTGCTTCTGCTGTTTTCTCGAATACAAGGTGCCATATTTTGAGGTAGTATGTCCTGAACCCCATAAGTTCCCCTCCAGTGAGCAGGTTCAAGGAACGCTTGAACCTGGGAGACAAAGGTTATAGTGAACTGAAATCATGCCATTGCACTCCAGCCTGGGTGACAGGGTGAGATTCATCTCAAAAAAAAAAAAAAAAAAAGGGAACAATAAACACTGAGAAATACAAGAGTACAAGAGGGAGGAAGGAGAGAGGGAGGCAGCAAGGATTGAAAAACTACCTACTTGGTACAGTGTTCACTACGTGGGTGACGGGTTCAATCGTAATCACACCCCAAACCTCAGCATCACACAATATACCTTTGTAGCAAACCTGCGCTTGTATCCTCAAATCTAAAATACAAGTAGAAAAAATAAAAATAAAATAAGTTACAAACTGCTTAAACACACACACACACACACACTTCCCCGTTTCCTTGAGTTTTCATTCTAAACGTTCCCATGTCACATAAAACTTGTGTTAAATAAATGGCTATGCTCTTCTCTGATTCATCAGTCTTTTATTAAGGGTGCCTCTGCCATGAACCTAAGATGGGTGGGGAAATAAATCTTTCCTCCCCTGCAGGACCATGAGCCAAGGTGTGCGGCAGCCTCTAGAATCTGGAGAAGACAAGGAAAGAGATTCTCCCCTGGAGCTCCCAGAGGGAACCAGCCCTACCGACACACTGACTTTCAGTCCAGTATAACCTGTTGCATAATTTTGACCTCCAGAACTATACAATAATACATACGTATTGTTTTAAGTCCTGACGTTTTTGTTAATTTTTTAAAGTCCCAGCAAGAAACGAATACAAGTATCTCCTTAAAAGAGCCTAGACCAGCTGGGAGACCTTGACTTCACCACCCGGCAGGCCTGGCCTCCTCACTGCCATGCCTCTGATCCTCCGTTATGGGTCAAAATTGTCCACCAAACCCAAGGGAATCAGGAGAAAGAGAGGTGGGCTCAGTGAACCACACCCATTGGCTGAGAGTGGAGCGTGCCTGCTGATACCCACACAGTCCTTCGATGCCGGTGCAATAGTGTCCAGCACGGGGTGAAGCATTTATTTTTACAAAACATTTCAGAGAAAAATAGCATTAGAAAGAATCTCTGCTGACCGGGACTGCGTTTAACAAGATATGTAAATTTTTTTTTTTTTTTTTGAGACACAGTCTCGCTCTGTCACCCAGGCTGGAGTACAGGGGTGCAATCATAGTTCACTGCAGCCTCAACCTTCCGGGCTCAAGAGATCCTTCCACCTCAGCCTCCTGAGTAGCTGAGACTCCAGGCACCACCACACCTAGCTTATTAAACAAAAACAAGGGGACATCATGTTGCCCAAGCTGGTCTCGAACTCCTGGGCTCAAGTAATCCTCTTGCCTCAGCCTCCCAAAGTCCTGGGATTACATGCGTGAGCCATTGCACCTGGCCGTATGTGTATCATTCAACCACAAATACCTGCTTCATGCTTTCCAATGTGTTAAGTAGGCACCTGTATTAGTTTTGTGGGGCTGCCACAACCAACTACCACAAACCAGGTGGCTTAAAACAATGGAGATGTATTCTCTCACAGTTCTGGAGGCCGGAAGTCCACAATCAAGGTGTCTCCAGGGCTGTGCTCTCTTCGAAGGCTCTGGGTGAGAATCCCTCTTTGCCTCTTCCAGCTTCTGGGGGCCCCAGGTGTTCCTTGACTTGTGGCTGCGTGGGTCCTCTCTTCATCTTTTTTTTTTGAGACAGAGATTTGCTCTTTTTGCCCAGGCTGGAGTGCAATGGCGTGATCTTGGCTCATTGCAACCTCTGCCTCCCGGGTTCAAGTGATTCTCCTACCTCAGCCTCCCAAGTAGCTGGGATTACAGGCATCCGCCACTATGCCCAGATAATTTTTTGCATTTTTAGTAGAGATGGATTTTCACCATGTTGGCCAGGCTGGTCTCGAACTCCTGACCTCAGATGACCTACCCGCCTTGGCCTCCCAAAGTGCTAGTAAGGGAGGAGACCACCCCTCCTATTGTCTTATAACCAATTTCTGCCTCGAAGAAAAAGTAGGAGTTAAAAGACAGAAGTGAAATCAGTAGTCAGACAGCCCGGCGCTACATTCCAGGCCTGGTAGTTAAAGACTGACCCCGATCTAACTGGTTATGTTATCTATAGATTCCAGACATTGGATGGAAAAGCACTGTGAAAACCTCTGTCCTGTTCTGTTCCATTCTGATTACCAGTGCATGCAGCCCCCAGTCACATATCCACTGCTTGCTCAATGATCACGACCCTCTCACTCGGACCCCCTTAGAGTTGTAAGCCCTTAAAAGGGACAGGAATTGCTCATGTGGGAAGCTTGGTTTTTGGAGACATGAGTCTGCCGATGCTCCCAGCTGAATAAAGCCCTTTCCTTCCACAACTCCGTGTCTGAAGGGTTCTTGTCTGTGGCTCGTCCTGCTACACTAGGATTACAGGCGTGAGCTACCGTGCCCGGCCCTCTCTTCATCTTATATCAGTTACTAGACTTACAGCCTATCCTTACCCAATATGACTTCATCTTTTTTTTTTTTGGAGACAGGGTCTGGCTCGGTTTCCCAAGCTGGCATGCAGTGGCATGATTGCGACTCACTGTAGCCTCTACTTCGTGTGCTCAAGCAATCCTCCCAACTCAGTCTCCCCACCTCCCCCGTGCGCGCCACTTTTGAATCCTGCAACGGGTTTGCCTCTGAGCCCGTGGTGAGCTTCCCGCAGGGCCCTGGAAGTGGCCTGCAGTGAAGCACAGGGGCCACAGGGTGGCAGTGTTTCCTGCGGATGTGGCTCTCACCCAGTTCAGGGGCGCTCAAGGCGTAATTGGTTAATGCAGGTCTGTTTCTCTTTGTCCTTGAAAAGACAGCAACTTTGAGCTCCAAGGAGCAGTCTTCTTTGTGTTTTACGGCTTTTTGAGTCTCTACTTTCCGCCTCCCCGGGATGAGGAATGGTGTGGGAGGAGAGTAGGACTCTCCCGCGGGGGACTGCTGAGATGATCACAGTTTTAGGGTATGGGGTGTGATAAGGCACTTGAGACTCAGAGAGGGGAAGTAAGTAATCCAAAGTCACACAGCTGAGTGGTACCTGAACTGCATCTTCTGATCCTTGCATCAGTTCCTGTCCGCTATGCCACTTGGTCAGCCTTCACAGGCCGGGATGCAAATGGAGACATTGGGGTTGGGATTTTCACTCGCGTCCGTGTGAAGAGACGCGAGTGTGAGAACAAAGCTGTTTATTTCACCTGGGGGCAGGCGCGCTGAGTCCGAAAAGAGAGTCAGCAAAGGCAGACAGATGTGGGGCTGTTTTATAGGATTTGGGTAGGTAGTGGAAAATTACAGTCAAAGGGGGTTGTTCTCTGGCGGGCAGGGGTGGGGATCACAAGGTGCTCAGTGGGAGAGTTTTTGAGCCAGGATGAGCCTGGAGAAGAAATTTCACAAGGTAATGTCATCAGTTAAGGCAGGAACAGGCCATTTTCACTTCTTTTGTGATTCTTCAGTTACTTCGGGCCATCTGGGCCATCTGGATGTATGCGTGCTGGTCACAGGGGATATGATGGCTTAGCATGGGCTCAGAGGCCTGACAGGGATGGAGGATGGGGAAGGGAAAGATGCTGAATGAGCACTGGGTCAAGAGTCCAGAAATATAAGCTTCACTCCCAGCGCATGAGAAGTGGAATTGGGAAGGTGGTCAGTCCTTGCTGCTGGGATAGACCCTGGACTCGGTTTTCTTATCTGTAAAATGGAAATAAAAGGGCCAGGCACGGTGGCTCATGCCCGTAATCCCAGAACTTTGGGAGGCCACGGTGGGCAGATTGCCTGACTCAGGAGTTCAAGACTAGTGTGGCCAACATGGTGAAACCCTGTCTCTATCAAAAAGTAAAAAAAATTAGGCAGGTGTGGTGGCATGTGCCTGTAGTCTCAGCTATTTGGGAGGCTGAGACGTGAGGATGGATTGAGCCCAGGAGATGGAGGTTGCAGTGAGCTATGATCATACCACTGCACTCCAGCCTGGGTGACAGAGTGAGACCCTGTCTCCAAAAAAAATAAAAAAGAAGAAAAAAAAAAGATAAATGAGAGGGTAATAATACATGTGTGTAGATCCTAAATGTTGGCTAGTGTTGTAGGTAAGGCTTTTATTCTCACCTCTCAAGATCTGTGTTGGAGGAAAAAAATGACCTGAACTTTGGGAAATTAGGTACACTTGGTCTCAGAGCCCACTTCATAGCTGTATGATCTTAACCTCTCTGAACCTCAGTTTCTTCCTCTGTAAAATGGGTCTAATAATATCATGGATTAAATGAGATAATCCAGGTAAAGATCCAGCTCAGTTCTTGGCCTATGATGAATATTCACTATATGTTAATACTAGTTGGGATGGGGAGGGGAGGGTAGCTAAGGTCAGAATGGTGGGACGGTTGGGGCTCAGAAATATAGAAATGAGGGCAAACACTCACTTCTCAGGGTGGGCAAGGGAAGGCTGAGAATGTGGCTTTATTATTATTACTGTTATTTATTTATTTTTTTTGAGATGGAGCCTTGCTCTGTCACCCAGGCTGGAGTGGAGTGGTGTGATCTCAGCTCACTGCAACCTCTGCCTCCCGGGTTCAAGTGATTCTCCTGCCTCAGCCTCTCCAGTCGCTGGGATTACAGGCATGTGCCACCACGCCTGGCTAATTTTTTATATTTTTAGTAGAGATAGGGTTTCACCATGTTGGCCAGGCTGGTCTTGAACTCCTGACCTCAAGTGATCCACCCGCCTCAGCCTCCCAAAGTGCTGGGATTATGGGCGTGAGCCACCACGCCTGGCCTGGATTGATTATTTATTTAATTTAGAGACGGAGTCTCCCTGTGTTGGCTAGGGTGGTCTCGAACACCTTACCTCAAACAATCCTCTAAAAGTGCTGGGATTACAGGTGTGAGCCACCACTTCCGGCCAACTCTTGACTTTAAACTAGAAGTAAAGATAAAATAATAACCATAGCAGCTACTATTTCTTAAATACATACATTATTTCCATTATTTCTCACAATTGTCTAAGAGGTGAGAATCTTTATTATCCCCATTTTACAGCAGGGGTGACTGAGGCTCAGAAAGATCAGTCACTTGCCTAAGGTCACATAGCTGATAAGTGGCAGAACCTGAACTTGAACTTTTGGATGCCAAAGCCATCATTCAGTGCTGCTGCTGTGCCATAATGTTCTCTAGTTTTCCTGGGAATCAGTTTCCCTAATCAGCACTAATGAGGGCTCTAGAGATGATGAAATCTACAGGGACTTATTTCGTAATGCAGATTTCTTGTCCTCAACTCTCAGTGATAATCTCCAATTCTTCCAGTTCCCCTGCCTCCAGGGGAGAAGGGAGCCAGTCTTTTTTTTTTTTTTTTTTTTTTTGGAGACAGTGTCTCCCTCTGTGGCCCAGGCTGGAGTGCAGTGGTATGATCTTGGCTCACTGCAACCTCTGCTTCCTGGGTTCAAGGGATTCTCCCACCTCAGCCTCCTGAGTAGCAGGGATTACAGGCATGGGCCACCACAGGCTGGCTAATTTTTGTATTTTTACTAGAGACAGGGTTTCACCATATTTGTCAGGCTGGTCTTGAACTCCGACCTCAGGTGATCTGCCCGCCTCGGCCTCCCAAAGTGCTGGGATTACAGGTGTGAGCCGCCATGCCTAGACTTTGTTTTAAAACAGTTAATCTTTTAAAATTGTTTTTACTTTTTATGATGGTAATTTCCACAATCATATGTAGTATGTGTAGATTCAACATCGCCCAGATTTAGTAGATATCAATCTTTGCAATCTCATTTCATCTATCCCCACAGCCCAGATTCAAAATTTTTTCTTAAGAGGGATTTCTCAAAATTTAACTTAAATATTTTTTAAAGTCAAAATCGACCCCACTCCTCTCTTCACACTTAGTCTGTTTTTTTTTTTCTGAGAATATTCAAAGTAAAATTTTAGGCATTACATCATTTTATGTCCTGGAATTTTTTTTTCTTTTTTTCTTTTTGAGAGGGTCTTGCTCTGTCATCCGGGCTGGAGTACAGTGGCATGATCACAGCCCACTGCAGCCTTGAACTCCTGGGCCCAAGCAATCCTCCCACCTCAGCTTCTCGAGTAGCTGGGACTATGAGCACGTGCCACCACACCCAACTAATTTTGTTTTAATTTTTGTAGAGACAGGGTCTCACTGTGTTACCCAGGCTGGTCTCAAATTCCTAGGCTCAAGAGGTCCTCCTGACCTCCCAAAGTGCTAGTATTATAAGCATGAGCCACCATGCCCAGCCTATCGCAGGGATCTTTTAAAGTTGTTCTATGCACTCATACTGTGTTGGGAATACTTATACCAATAAAAAATGTGTTCCATTGCAAGTAAGAGAAGACTCAAATAATAGGAGCTTAAACAATCAAGGCATTTAGCTAATGGGAAGTTTGGAAGTAGAGGGTCAGAGGTTGGGGCAGTGACTCAGTGACTGCGAGGCACTGGGGTGCTATCTCTGTGAAGCCTTGGTTTTTACCTCATGTTTGTAAGATGGCTGCCAAAGCTCCAAGCTTCACATCACGACACAACAGTGTTCAAAAGAGAAAGGGTGGGAAAAGGGAGCAATAACAAACCTCTTCCCCAAGTGGTTCTTAACAGCATGAAGTCTGGGGGATGCCAGGCCTTATAGCAGGGGTTCTTAAACTTAAGTGTGTGTCAGAATCACCAGGGGAGCCTGACATTGGTGGCTGATGCCTGTAATCCCAGCACTTTGGGATGCCCCGGCCGGGGGGATTGCCTGAGCCCAGGAGTTTGAGACCAGCCTGGGCAACATATGGAGATCCTATCTCTACAAAAAAAAAACCCAAAATTAGCCAGCCATGGTGGTTCGAGCCTGTAGTCCCAGCTACTCAGGAGACTGAGGTGGGAGGATCACTTGAACCCAGGAGGTTGAGGCTGCAGTGAGCTGTGATTGCACCACTGCATTCCAGCCTGGGTGACAGAGCCAGACCTTGTATCCAAAAAAAAAAGAAAAAAAAAAAAACACCAAAAAAATGAATCCCTTTGAAAGCTTTATAAATCAGTGCTAAGTCCCACCCCCAGAGTCTCTGAATCAGCAGGTTGAGGTAGGACAGAGGGAGAATCTGCATTTCAGACACGTTCCCAGTGAGCCTGATGCCGATGTGTGGGTCCCTGCACCACGCTCTGAGAAACACTGGCTGATAGCAGTAGGTCTCAGCCCTGGTTGCACATTAAAATCATCTGGGGGAACTTTAGAAAAAAATCCTGATATCCCAGCCACACAAGGGCCCCAGAACATCAGAATTTCTGCAGTTAGGATCCAGGCATTAAAAAAACTAAACCTCTTCCCCCCCACCTCCCCCACTTCCTTTCCCCGCTTCCCCGTGATCCCAGTGTGTAGGCAGGGCTGAGAACGGCTGTCTGAAAGCCTTAAACCCCGAGGTGGTTACCAAACACGCAGTCTTCAGCTCTACTCTGGAATCAGAATGGCTGGGGGCTTCAGATCTTGTGTTTTAAACAAGCATCCCCAGTGCACTGAAATTTGGGAATCACTCTCCAGCCACATGGTAGCTGCCATCCCATAAACCCCAGTGCGCTGGGGGAAATGACGTGAAAGTGATCCAAGCCATCTAATGATACAATTAGTAACAACAGCTAACATGCGCTGAGCCTTGCTGCAAGCTGGAACATTTAGATATCACATCTTCTAGCTCCCAGTATGAACACGAAAGAGGGGTGGAAGTGATTAGCCCCATTTGACAGATGGGATAACTGAGGCCCAGAGACATGAAATGACCTGCCTAAGGTCACTCTGTTGGTCAGTGGCAGAGCCAGGATTCGACCGAGTCTCTCAAGCTTTGAAGCCCACGTCTTTTGTGCCAGGCATGCTGCCTTTTGCTTCTTCTTTGAGGTCTTCTTTGGGAAAGGATGGGGTGAAAATTGGAGAGACTTGCAGGGGAAGTACAAATAATTCGATATCAATGAAGATGTAGCCTGGGTGGCCAGGCCATGGTGGTTGTCGAATCTACAATGAGCAAGATTCATGAGTGCGAGTCATCTTGCCTCTGCCTTCTGGAGCTGGCTCATTGGTATTAATGGATGAATGGGCCTCATTTGGGCAGTTGTAATTAACACGCTGACTACTGAGATGAGCTCAGCCCGAGTCACTCCTGAATGGCATAAAGCATTGCTCAACACGCGGCTCATCCATTACGTTGTTCTGGGTCCCAGGCTCAGGAGTGAGCCGGCCCCAGGCTCAGGGTGGTCAGCAGAAATGAAGGACTATTGGCATTTTCAAATCATCAGCTTAGTTTGAGCACTTAGCATTTCCCTGTCCGGCTTGGCATCGACGGCAGAAGCTTAATTAGTGGGGACCGAAGGAAGGAAGGCACTTAGGAAGTGAGATGAAGTTTGGGTTCATGTCCACACGAGCTGCTCAGAACTCAGTAATCGGGGCTTTGGATCAGACAGACTTGAGGTCAAATCCCTGTTCTGCCCCTTTTTTGGGGGAAATGACAAATGACCTCATCCCTCTGAGTGTCAGTTTCCTTTCCTGTAAAATGCGGATCATTATGGTGCCAGTTTCATTAGGTCATCATGATGGTGAAATAAAATAACAGGCAAACCCCTCAGCACCATCCCTGGCACCACGCCAAGTGCTTAATAAATGCTAGCTCTTATTAGTATTTACCTACACATTTATTTATTTATGAGAGGAACACAGCCCAAAAATATACACAACACTCACTGGGAAGAGGAATCATAAAAATAGGCTTAGAGGATCGATGGGGATGTAAAAGACGGTGGTTCCTGGAGTCTGAGTGTGAGCTTTATTCGAGTTCAGGGCGGTAAGCGTTTCTGCATCAGAGCCTGAGCTGATTGACTCCGAGAGCCTGAGCAAAGTAGAGAGCGTGTTTGAGGCTCTCGCCTGGCACCCGGGGGGTCTGTTTGCAATTTAGGGTGGCACTTTCCATTCTTAGGGTGGCACTTTCCATTCTGGGACCCTCCTTTCTAGTTTGCAGTTGAGGTTGGTAATCTGAAGACTGAATGTTTCCGTGGTTGCCTGGCACGGTGGGGAGGCCAAGAGAGGCTCTGGAAGAAATTCTGATGAGCCATCTGCTGTCCTCACCAAGAGCCACAATAGTAACACCTATCATTTTAAAAGATGTTTTATTTTGCATTATTATTATTTTACTTCTTATTTTTTTGTGATAGGGTCTTGCTATGTTGCCCAGGATGAACTCAAACTCCTGGGCTCCACCAAGCCTCCAGCTTCAGTCTTCTGAGCAGCTGGGACTACTGGCATGCCCCGTGACACTCAGCTATTGTTTTTTTGTTTTCTGTTTTGTTTTTTTTTTGTTTTGAGATGGAATCTTGCTCTTGCCCAGGCTGGAGTGCAGTGGCGAGATCTTGGTTCACTGCAACCTCTGCCTCCTGGGTTCAAGTGATTCTTGTGCCTCAGCCTCCTGAGTAGCTGGAATTACAGGCATGCATCACCATGCCTGGCTAATTTTTTTTTGTATTTTTAGTAGAGGTGGGGTTTCACCATGCAGGCTGGTCTCGAACTCCTGACCTCAAATGATCCGCCTGCCTCAGCCTCCCAAAGTGCTGGGATTACAGGCTTGAGCCACTGTGCCTGTCCCATACCCAACTTTTACGTTAAGCACTAACTATGACTAACTTTTAAGCACTAAGCCAGTGAATTTGCTCGAGCCTGGAGTTACAACCTTGACTCTTGACTAGGCCACAATCACGTAAGTCTTCATGGTCAATGTGTAGCGAATCAATAATACTGTGTGCTCAATATGTGTTAGGCGCTGTGCTAACCTCCTTATATGCATTATCTCATTTAATTCACATAAGAAATCTATTATTCAAATTCTTATTCAAATAAGAAATCATACAGGTATAATTCTTGTTTTACAGGTAAGGAAGTGGAGGCTCAGGTAAGTTAAAAGACTTACCTGAGGGCTCTCAGTTGTAAAAGGTGATGTTAGAATATGAACATGGGTCTGTTTGATGCCAAGGCTTCGCCCAGAGTGGAAGGCATGCAGCTGGGTTTGCTGATGTGCCTGCGAGCCTGGGTATTTCTCCTTCCCCTGGTTCCTCATCTTCTCCCATTGAATGTGCTCCAACCATGCTGGTCTCCTTTCAGTTCTGAGAACAGACCAACCTCCTTCTTTTTATTTCTTTAATTTATTTTTATTTTTGAATAAAATAAAAATTATTTTTAATTTTATTAAAATATAATTTTTTGAATATTTTAAATATTCAAATTCGAGATGGAATCTCGCTCGTTAAATATATATATATTTATTTATTATTTTATTTTATTTTGAGACGCAGTTTTGCTCTTCTTGCTCAGGATGGAGTGCAGTGGTGCAATCTCGGCTCACTGCAACCTCTGCCTCCCAGGTTCTAGTGATTCTCCTGCCTCAGCCTCCTGAGTAGCTGGGATTACAGGAGTGTGGCACCACACCCAGCTAAGTTTTTGTATTTTTAGTAGAGAGGGGGTTTCATCATGTTGGCCAGGCTGGTCTTGAACTCCTGACTTCAGGTGATCCACCTGCCTCGGCCTCACAAAGTGCAGAGATTACAGGCGTGAGCCACCGCGCCCGGCCCACTATATTTAAAATATTCAAAAATATTTTTAAATTTTATTTTTATTTTTGAATATTTTAAAATTTATTTTATTTTTTAATATTTTTATTTTTATTTTTGAAAAATTAGTCAGCCATGGTGGTATGTGCCTGTAGTCCCAGCTACTCAGGAGGCTGAGATGGGAGGATTACCTGAGCCCAGGAGGTCGAGGCTGCAGTGAGCCATGATTGCACCACTGCCCTCCAGCCTGGGCAACAGAGTATTTTTTAAATTTATTTTTATTTTTATTCACATACCACCGCGGCTGGCTATTATTTATTTATTTATTTTGGTATTTTTTGTAGAGACGGGATCTCTCTATGTTGCCCAGGCTGGTCTCAAACTCCTGGGCGTAAGCGATCCTTCTGCCTTGGCCTCCAAAAGTGCTGGGATTACAGGTGTGAACCGCTGTGCCCCGGCCCAACCTCCTTCTCTTGGATCCTTTGTATTTGCTATTCCCTCTGCCTGGAACCTGCTCCCCACAACACTTTCACTTAATTATCTCCCGTTTATTCTCCCAGTCCATAACAGGGGCTACGTATTACCTCTCAATCATAATTTCCCCTTTTTGGTAATAAAACCCTGGGCAACTCTTTAGAGCTCACATGCCCCAGCCTCTCTTCCAGCGTGCGATATTCACGTAACTAGTTTTGGGCCAATGAGATGGATGTGGAATATTTTGTGAAACTTATGGTCAGCTCCTTAAGTGGACTGGGGAGGCGTCCCTTATGTCTCTAATGTCCTTGTCCCATGTTGTTGTCTGTGAGGCAGATGTAGTGGCTGGAGCTCTGGCAACCATCTTGGACCATGAGACAACCTTGAGGATGAAAACCACATGCTAAGGGGTATGGAGCAGAAAGACAGAAGGAGGCTGGGGTCCTGATAACTGCTGGAACTCCCAAATCAGTCCTGGGCTGCCTACTTTCTGATTTCCTGTGGAACAAGCGAAAAAAGAAGCTCTGTTTCACTAAAGCTACTAAGTCCAGCCTCTGTTACTATCAACTAAATAAAATTCCTGACAAATACCAGGTCTTGGTTTAAATATAACTTTCTGGCTGGGTGTGGTGGCTCACACCTGTAATCCCAGTACTTTGGCAGACCAAGGAGGGTGGATCACTTGAGTCCAGGAGTTCAAGACCAGCCTGATAGACATGGCGAAACCCTGTCTCTACAAAAGACGCAAAAATTAGCCGGGCATGGTGGTGTGTGCCTGTGGTCCCAGCGACTTGAGAGGCTGAGGCAGGATTGCTTGAGCCTGGGAGGTCAATGCTGCAGTTAGCTGTGATCACACCACTGCCCTGGATCCTAGGCAATAGAATGAGACTCTGTATCAAATAAATAAATAAATAAATAAATAAATAAATAAATAAATAAATAAATGTATATAAATATCACTTTCTCTGAATGGCTTATGTGAAACTCAAAATAGATCTGTCTATTTGTTCTCTCTTTTAGCAACATGGTTCTTTTTTTTTAATTGCCCTGATTCCAATGAAAATAAATATATACTGCTTTGTTTAATTTATCTTCCCCGCTGAACTACTGGAAATATGGGCAGGGAAACTGTATATAGTTACCTAGGTTGTGCACTGCACAAATCCAGAGAATACCAGTTAAATAATAGCATATGTGAATGTCACGTTCTGAAATTGTGCAGTGTGCATCCTGTGAGGCTGTACGTGGCAGCCCTGTCTCTATGGTCGGGAGGGACTTTGCCCCTGAGGGTTATCAATGTACTCACAGCACTTAGCATAGTGCCTGGACCATGATCAGTTCTCAACAAATATCAGTTGCAGGATGAGTGCAGGAACAAAAATGACAGAAGTTTAAAGACGTCTTGGGCTGGATACCGAAGGCACAGAGATGGACAAGGCATGAGAATGTTGGCAACAAGACGTGGTCAATGCTCCAACCTGGAGAAGAACAAAGGGCTCTGGGAGCTCAGAGGGAGGGGTCTCCACTGCCATGAGAGCCAGAGGCTTTGTGCACAGAGGGAGCTTTCTCTTATTTGGTCTCAGTTTTCCATCTGTAAAGTGAGGACATTGGTGCGGAAAAGTGGTTTTGTGTAGCCTTTATTTTTTATTTTACATCTTGTTTGTTTTGAGCAAGGCAATGTTTGCATAGTAATAGAATTAAACAGTGGCTAGGCACGGTGGCTCAAGTCTGTAATCCCAGCACTTTGGGAGGCCGAGGCAGGTGGATCACCTGAGGTCAGGAGTTCGACCAGCCTGGCCAACTGAAGGAAACCCCATCTCTGCTAAAATATAAAAAAATTAGCCAGGTGTCAGGATGCGCGCCTGTGGTGCCAGCTGCTTGGGAGGCTGAGGCAGGAGAATAATTTAAACCTGGGAGGCAGAGGTTGCAGTGAGCTGAGATCACGCCACTGTATGCCAGCCTGGGTAACAGACTGAGACTCTGTCTCAAAAAAAAAAAAAAATCAAACAGTATAAAAAGGCATAAAGGCATAAGGAGAAAAGTGAGTTTACTTTTCATTTCTAACTCCCAGAACCTCACTCTCCTAATGCCCCCCAAGGACCAAAACTACTGGTTACCTTTGAAATCAGTTTTTGTGTGTGTGTGTGTGTGTGTGTGTGTGTGTGTGTGTGTGTGTGCATCTTTCCAGAGTTATCTGTAAAATACAAGTATATACCTGCTATATATTGAGTTTGACTATCCCTAAAATGGAAATTTATCCTTATTTATTTATTTATTTATTTATTTATTTATTTATTTTGAGATGGAGTCTCGCTCTGTTGCCCAGGCTGGAGAGCAGTGGCACGATCTCGGCTCACTGCAAGGTCCGCCTCCCGGGTTCAGGCCATTCTCCTACCTCAGCCTCCCAGTAGCTGGGATTACAGGCGCCTGGCACCACGCCCGGCTAATTTTTTGTATTTTTAGTAGAGATGGGGTTTCATCGTGTTAGCCAGGATGGTCTCAATCTCCTGACCTCGTGATCCACCCGCCACAGCCTCCCAAAGTGCTGGGATTACAGGCGTGAGCCACCGATCCCGGTCGGAAATTTATTCTTTAAAATTTTTTAATTATTTATTTTAGATCTGAACTTTGAACCAAGAAAATAATGACAACACTTTGGGAGGCCGAGGCGGGTGGATCACCTGAGGTCAGGAATTTGAGACCAGTCTGGCCAACATGGTGAAACCCCGTCTCTACTAAAAAGACAAAAAATTTAGCCGGGCGTGGTGGGGCGTGCCTGTAATCCTAGCTACTGGGGAAGCTGAGGCAGGAGAATTGCTTGAACCTGGGAGGCGGAGGTTGCAGTGAGCCGAGATCATGCCACTACACTCCAGCCTGGGCAACAGAGCGAGACTCTGCCTCAAGAAAAAACAAAACAAAACAAAACAATGATTATTACCAATTATTAAATGATCATTACTAAAATGACTTTGTCATTAATCATACACACAGTTTCACACTTTATTTTTATTATTATTATTTCATTTAATAAAATGTCTTGGTATTGTTTCATTGATCTGACTACTCCTTTTGTTTAAATGGTTGTCTCGTATTCCGCTGCGTGACTGTACTCTGATTGATTTAACTGGTCTCCTGTTGGGAAGTGGGTTGTTTCTGAATTTTTGCTACATCAGACAATGCTGCAGTGAATATCCTTGTACTTAAATATTTTCACACATGTGCAATCATCTCAGATGGTTAAATTCCTAGGAGTAGAATCGGTGGCTCAAAAATTAAAAGTGCTCGTAATTTATAGATACTGTCTAATTCCTGCATGGAGTCGTACCAATTTACCTTCTTACCAGCCTGTGTCCCCAAACCTTATCAGTGCATTACCAAACTTTCAGATGGGTTGGGTGTGTTGACTCATGCCTGTAATCCCAGTGCTTTGGAAGGCCAGGGCAGGAGGACTTTTGGAACCTAGGAGTTTGAGACGAGGTAGGCCACAGAGAGACGTCCCCGTTTCTACCAAAAAATAAAAAATTACCTGGATGCGTGCCTGTAGTCCCAGTTACTCAGGAAGCTAAGGTAAAAAGATCTCTTGAGCCCAGGAGCTGGGGTTGCAATGAGCTATAATTGTGCTATTACAATCCCTCCTGGGAAACAGAGAAAGACCCTGGCTCTAAAAAAAAAAAAAAAAAAGAAAAAAAAATAAATGATGAATGAAATGATCACCTTTTCCTATGTTTAAGAATCATTTGTACAGTTGGTCCCTTGGTATCTGTAGGGGATTGGTTTTAGGACCCCTTTGGTTACCAAAATCCATGCACGCTGAAGTGTCTTATGTAAAATGGTGCAGTATTTGCATAACTTATGCAACCCTCCTGGATACTTTAAGTCATCTCTAGATTACTTATATTACCTAATACAAAGCAAGTGCTATGTAAATAGTTGTTATACTGTATTGTCTTTTATTTGTATTTTTATTGCTTTTTCCCCTGAATAGTTTTTTCAATTCAAATTTTTAATTTTTGTGGGCACATAGTAGCTGTATGTATTTATGGGGCACATGAGATATTTTGATACAGGCATACAATGTGTAATAAGCACATCAGGGTAAACGGGATATCCATCACCTCAAGCATTTGTCCTTTCTTTGTGTCACAAACAATCCAATTATACTCTTAGTTATTTAAAAATATACAATACATTATTGTTGACTGTAGTCATCTTGTTGTTCTATCAAATGCTAGATCTTATTCAGTCCATTTAACTATATTTTTGTATCCATTAACCACCCCCCTACTCACCTTCCCCGCTTCTGGTAACTATCATTCTATTCTCTATCTCCATGAGTTCAATTGTTTTAATTTTTAGCTCCTACAAATAAGTGAGAACATGTTAAATTTGCCTTTCTGTGCCTGGCTTATTTCACTTAACGTAATGTCCTCCAGTTCCATCCATGTTGCTGCAAACGACAGGATATCGTTCTTTTTTATGGCCTCATAGTACTCCACTATGTATATGTACCACATTTTCTTTATCCATTCATCTGTTAATGGACACTTAGGTTGCTTCCAAATGTTGGCTATTGTGAACAGTGCTGCAATAAACATGGGAGTGCAGATATCTTTTCAATGTACTGATTTTCTTTATTTTGTGTATATACCTAGTGGGATTGCTAGATCATATAGTAGTTTTATTCTTAGTTTTTTGAGGAACCTCCAAACTGTTCACCATAGTGGTTGTACTAATTTACATTTTCACCAACAACAGTATACTAGAGTTATCTTTCCTCCATCTCCTCGTCAGCATTTGTTATTTCCTGTCTTTTGGATAAAAGCCATTTTAATTGGGGTGAGATGATATCTCATTGTAGTTTTGATTTGCATTTCTCTGACGATCAGTGATGTTGAGCACTTTTTCATATATCTATTTGCCATTTGTATATCTTCTTTTGAGAACTGTCTATTTGGATCTTTTGCCCATTTTTAAATTGGATAATTAGATTTTTTTTCTGTAGTTGTTTGAGCTCCTTATGTATTCTGGTTATTAATTCCTTGTCAGATGGATAGTTTGCAAATATTTTCTCCAATTTTGGGGTTGTCTCTTCACTTAGTTAATTGTTTTCTTTGCTGTGCAGAAGATTTTTAAGTTGGTGTGATCCAATTTGTCATCATGTTTTTTAAGCAAGGGCATGGCATTGCCCAATTTAGGTTTTAAAAGGATCACTCTGGCAGGTGTTATGGAGATGCATTACAGAGGGAGAAATGGAAGGAGCAGCAGGGTGAGGGAAACAGTGGGAAGTCTTCACTGTAGTTGAGCAAGTGATGTTATGACGGTGGTTTGTGCTGAGCTATGGCAATGAAGCTGGATTGAAGTGGAGAGACACCAGAGATGTTTAGTAGGTAGATGTATTAGTCTGTTTTCATACTGCTATAAAGAACTGCCCAAGACTGGGTAATTTATAAAGGAAAGAGGTTTAATTGACTCATAGTTCGCATGGCTGGGGAGGCTTCAGGAAACTTACAATCATGGAAGGAGAAAGGGAAGCAAGGCACCTTCTTCACAAGGTGGCAGGAAGGAAAAATCCTGAGCGAAGGGGGAAGAGTCCCTTACAAAACCATAAGGTCTCGTGAGAACTCACTCACTATCATGAGAACAGCATGGGGGAACCACCCCCATGATTCAGTTACCTCCACCTGGTCTCTCCCTTGGCACATGGGGATTATGGGGATTACAATTCAGGATGAGATTTGGGTGGGGACACAAAACTTAACTATATCAGTAGAATAGATAGAACTTGCCGTTGGTGAAGACAGGGAAGGAAGTGTGATGGCCATGAGGGTGACCTCGGGACCTTCGGGGAGTGTAATTGATTCGGGGGCAGACCTCGCCAAACCAGTGGCTTCAATGCTGGCTGTAACTCTGGAATCTTAGGTGAAGGCTTTAAAAAATACAAGTGCTCAGGCCTCACCCCTTGAGAATCTAATATATTTGGCTTGGGTAGGACCTTGATTAGATTGTTTCTAAAGTCTCCCCAGGTAATTGTAATGAGCATCCAAAGTTGAGACCACTTTTTTTTTGTCTTTAGAGACTGGGTCTTGCTCTGTTGCCTAGACTGGAGTGCAGTGGTATGATCATAGCTCATTGCAGCCTCTAACTCCTGGGTTCATGTGATCCCCCTGCCTCAGTCTCCCAAGTAGCTTGGACTACAGTCACATGCCACCATACCTGGCTACATTTTTAAAATTTCTCTTGAGACAGGGTCTTGCTATATTTCCCAGGCTGGTCTTGAACTCCAGCCCTCAAGTAATCATCCCCTCTTGTCCCAAAGTGTTGGGACTACAGTTGTGAGCCACCGCAACCCACCTGAGGACCACTTTTCTAAGTAAACAGGGGCATTGGGGAGCATGTGTTTGGTTCAAACACCATAACTGGAGCAGAAGTTGAGTGACTTGGTGGTACAGCCCAGTGTCTGTCACACATCTCATTGAGAATGATACTTGATTTCTAAGGCCAGGAGTAAAATAAAGTAAAGTAAAATAACCATAAAAGAAAAGTAACAATGTAGCTCAAAGCATCAGTGGGTTGAAGGCTCCAGCTTCCATGGGAGACAGGCCTTGGTGTCAGAAGTTCTAGCACAGCTATCTATGGAACCATCAGTGGAGATATCTTCAATCATAATGGGTTAACAGTTTTGGCATCAGAAGAAGACATTACCACAGCTATTAGGAGCAAGAAAGACAGGAGTAGGAGATGGCCAAACAATGAGGTCATTGTACTTGACATTGTTTTTATCTGCCAGCATTGTTCTCTTGGGAGAACCCCTTTCCCTCTCTTTCTCTTGCAGGTGAAGTTGTCAATTATAGTGTACCACTTTGGCCATTGGCTGGGCCAATCATAATATAGACTTCCCCTGAATCCAGTGATTGGTTCAGAGATGGTTACATACATCAAACAGTACTCATCACAGTCCTTCTGTAAATATTGTATCTGGATGCTGCATGAGATGGCATCATTAAGTTCTTTGTGTATTAGTTATCAATTGCTGCATAACAAATTATCCCAGAACATAGTGGCTTAAATAATGATAATATATTATCTGTCACAGTTTCTGCAGACCAGGACTTCTGACAGGGCACAATGAAATGGATTGTCTCTGTTTTATGATGTCTAGGTCCTCAGCTGGAAGATTTGAAGGCTGGAGATCAGAATCATCCAAAGACTCCTCCACCCATAAGTTAGGTTGTTGATGCTGACTGTCAGCTGACCAAGTGGAGGTGCTATTGTGTCTCCAGTGTCAGTAGGCAATTGAGCCACAGACCAGAATCTAATGACCCTCTCACCACTTGGAAACCAGCCCTCACTGGGCAGCCCTGGGCCAGGTTCACCAGACCACTCCCACAAGGTGACTTTCACATGGACTCCAGAGTCATTGAACACAAAATAGATTGTGTTTTCGATCCCTAAAGAGGCAGGATATCATTCAGCCACTTGGAGAAAAAAGTTCAGTCCAAAGATAATTGGGAACCAAATTTGTCTGCCTTTCATCTAAGACTCAAGGTTGGGGAAAGTTCCGGAAGGTGGGGCTGGTTTATGACCTCAAACAGGTTGTTAATTACTTTGAATGGGTCTCACGTGACGCTTTTAAGCACACAGGTTTTGCCCAGGGAGGATGGAGTGGGCAGTTTGGTTTGTGACTGGAGCAGGACGTGAGTGAGGTTTTATAGATCCATATGCCTGGCTGTTCTGAGCTTATCATCCCTGTGCTGATGAGGCCATTGCGGTCAGTGGGGCAGAGTGGGTGAGTGTGCTGAGACCCAAAGAGTGTGGGATTTCTTGCTTCTGTTTGTTTTTCTATAACTCAAGCATTGAGGTGTGGTGTAGTAGGGGCAGTGATTTCTTCCTCGGGGTGCATTCACCCCAAGTGTCACTTTTTCAACAATTTATTCAAGGTGGGTGGTTGTATAACTTGTCATTCAAACCAGGACACACTGTTAATAGTTATACTGGGACAACAGGTGCAAATAAGGATTTTTTTGGGCAAACAAAATTGTGTAGTCATCCTCGGTAATTGTGGAAACATGGTTGAGAAAAGATGTTAGAGGAAGTTGTAGGAAAGCAAGAAATGAGAGACATACAGAGAGGGGAGTTGGAGGGTGAAGCTGGCTTCTTCCCCAAGCCTGTACTTCCTGATGAACTTGGCCCCCCTCTGCTCTAAGCGGCACCTTGCTCGCCTCTACTTGGCTGAACACTTGGGGAGTGTTGTCTGAAAAGGTATAATCATGATATTCATAATGGCTTTTTTTGAAAATTTTTTTGAGATGGAGTTTTGCTCTGTTGCCTAGGCTGGAGTACAGTGGCACGATCTCAGCTCACTACAACATTTGCCTCCCAGGTTCAAGCAATTCTCTTGCCTTAGCCTCCGGAGTAGCTGGAATTACAGGCATGCATTAGCATGCCCGGCTAATTTAGTATTTTCAGTAGAGATGGGATTTCACCATGTTGGGTAGGTTGGTCACGAACTCCTGACCTTAAGTGATCCACCCACCTCGGCTTCCCAAAGTGCTGGAATTACAGGCTTAAGCCACTATGCCTGGCTCATAATGGCTTTTTTTATTTTTATTTTTATTTTAAATTTTACTTTAAGTGCTGGGATACAAGTGGGGAATGTGCAGGTCTGTTACATGGGTATACATGTGCCATGGTGGTTTGCTGCACCTATCAACCCGTCATCTAGGTTTTAAGCCCCGCATGCATTAGGTTTTTGTCCTAATGCTCTCCCTCCCCTTGCCCCTCACCCCACAACAGGCCCCGGTGTGTGATGTTCCCCTGCCTGTGTCCATGTGTTCTGATTGTTCAACTCCCACTTACGAGTGAGAACATGTGGTGTTTGGTTTTCTGTTCCTGTGTTAGTTTGCTGAGAATGATGGTTTCCAGCTTCATCCATGTCCCTGCAAAAGACATGATCTCATTCTTTTTTATGGCCACATAGTATTCCATGGTGTAATGTGCCACATTTTCTTTAGCCAGTCTATCATTGATGGGCATTTGGGTTGGTTCCAAGTCTTTGCTATTGTAAATAGTGCTGTAATAAACATACATGTGCATGTGTCTTTATAGTAGAATGATTTATAATCCTGTGGATATATACCCAGTAATGGAATTGCTAGGTCAAATGGTATTTCTGGTTCTAGATCCTTGAGGAATCACCACACTGTCTTCCACAATGGTTGAACTAATTTACACTCCCACCAACAGTGTAAAGCGTTCCTATTTCTCAACATCCTCACTGGCACCTATTGTTTCCTGACTTTTTAATAATCGCCATTCTGGCTGAGTCTCGCTCTGTTGCCCAGGCTGGAGTGCAGTGGCACGATCTCCATTTACTGCAACCTCTGTCTCCTGGGTTCAAGTGATTTTCCTGCCTCAGCCTCCCGAGTAGCTGGGACTGCAGGTGTGCACCACCACACCTGGCTAATTTTTGTATTTTTAATAGAGATGGGGTTTCACTATGTTGGCCAGGCTGGTATTGAACTCTTGATCTTAAGTGATCTGCCCGCCTCAGCTTCCCAAAGTGCTGGGATTACAGGCTTGAGCTACCCTGCCCAGCCTATAATGGCTTTTTAACTTTTTAATTGATATGTAATAATACAGCTATAGTAAAGAAAATCTACATATGTGTACACCTGTGTTCACCATAGCTTTTAAGCTTTTAAATTGATATATAATAATACATTTACATATGTATATGCCTGTGTAATCACTAGCTAGATGAAGATTTAGAATGTCTTTCTGGCTGGAATATTTTAACTTTTTTCATCCTTCTGGGAAAAGATTTGTTTTGTTGTGTTTCCTTCAGCCTCCAAATCATGCTGCATTAATTTCCTATGGCTGCTGTGACAATGACCACAAACTCAGTGGGTTAAAACAACACAAATTTGTTATCTGACAGTTCTGGAGGTCAGAAATCTGAAACAGTTCCCCCTGAGCTATAATCCGAGAGTCAGCAGGGCTGTGTTCTTTGTGGAGCATCTAGGAGAGAATCCATTTTCTTGCCTTTCCCGGCTTCTAGAGGCTGCCTGCATTCCTTGGCTTGTGTCTCCTTCCCTCTACAACGCCAGCACTGCCCAGTTGATTCTTTATGATGCTGCATCACTTTGAACTCACTGTTCTGCCTGCCTCTTTCACATTTATGGACCATTGTGATATAGACACTGGATCCTTCCCCTGGGTAGTCCAGAAAAGTTCCTCCCACCTCAAGGTCAGCTGATTAATAACCTTAATTTCCATCTATATTCTTTTGTTTTGTTTTTGAGGTGGAGTTTTGCTCTTGTCGCCCAGGCTGGAGTGCAATGGCACCATCTCGGCTCACTGCAACCTCTACCTCCTGGGTTCAAGTGATTCTCCTGCCTCATCCTCCCAGGTAGCTGGGATTAAAGGTGCCCGCAACCATGCCTGGCTAATTTTTGTGTTTTTAGTAGAGATGGGGTTTCACCATGTTGGCCAGGCTGGTCTCGAACTCCTGACCTCAGGTGATCCACCTGCCTTGGCGTCCCAAACTGCTCGGATTACAAGTGTGAGCCACAGGGCCCGGCCCCATCTGTATTCTTAATTCTCCCTTGCCATGAAACAAAATATATTTATAGATTCTGGGGATTAGGATGTAGACATCTTTGGGGACATAATTCTGGCTGCTACACATGCTACATTATCTGTGCACTAATTAAAAACCCACCTCTACTCATTATGTTTTTGCTGTTGAATAGTCCATATTTTTGTATGGAGAGGGTGTTTGGAGGAGAGAACTTACATGTATTGAACACCTAATGTGTGCCGCTATAGTAAAGCTGCTATGAATGTTCTTGTTCAAGTCTTCTTGTGGTCACGTGTGTTCATTTCCTCTGGGATGCTGGCCTTGGAGTGGAATTGCTGAGTCATAGGCTGGGTGCATATTTGCTTGGTTATGTAGAGTCCAAGGGGGAAAGATCCCCTTGGCTCTTTGAAGTTTTGCTGAAAAATCAACTTGCAAAAGCAGATTAGAAAAAAGGCATGCAAATTTATTTAATGTGTATACACAGGAAACTTCACAATGAAGATCCAAAGGAACAGGGGAATTGTCCATTTTTATGCTTAGGTTCAATAAAATATAGATAGCCATGTAGAAATACAATATGACTTGACAAAAAGGATATGATCGAATTATAATAGACTGAGTGGGGACCCCTAGCAAGGCCCGTCTAGATTCACCTTGGCCTCCCTGAGAATCGTTCCTTCCTTCTGGGTGTGGGGCAGGATCTTCTCTAGAATGGGAGTCTTATGACCTACTGTCAAACAAGGTAGGTCAGAGAATTTCTTTATGCCAGTTTTTACACAGAAAGGTGGAGGGAAAGTTAGATTAACATTTTTAGGGTTATGGCTGGGTTTGGGGAAAAGACCTGCTTGAGGAAGAGGGATTCTAGTTTCTCTGGCTAGCCTTGGCTGAGAATGAGGCTGAGAGACAGAAGGGCAGGAGAAGGTCAGAAAAAACTTTTGCTTCTGAGGCCTTTATTTTGGGATGTTATTTTCTGAGCCCCAATAGTCAGAAACTGCAAATTGCCTCTTGATAATGGTCCTCCTAGAAGGAGGGGAGATGGGGAATGTAGGGAGAGGGGGAGAGGGGCCAACAGGGAGAAGAGCTTCAGGGACTTCAAGCATATAAATTCACCAGGGATCATAGGCATGTGGCATCCGGCAGGTTATGAAAATGCATGAAAAGAGGTGAAATTGAAGCCCGGTTCCTCAGCTCTGGCCACTTTTATCACATGGAATAGGAACCCAGTGTTGTCAGATATTCTAATTTTTTTATATTATTATTTTTTGGGACAGAGTCTTGCTCTGTTACCCAGGTTGGAGTGCAATGGCACCATCTCGGCTCACTGCAGCCTTGACCTCCTGGGCTCATGTGATCCTCCCACCTCAGCCTCTGGAATAGCTGGGACCACAGGTGTGCATCACTACACCAGGCTAATTTTGTTTACTTATTTATTTATTTTTTTGTAGAAGTGAAGGTCTCACTGTGTTTCTCAGGCTTGTCTCAAACTCCTGGGCTCAAGCAATCCTCCTGCCTTAGCCTCCCAAAGTCCTGGGATTACAGGCATGAGCCACCACAGCTGGCCTAGATTTTCTGATTTTAATCTACTGATTTTCTTTCTTTTTTCTTTTTTTTTGAGACGGAGGCTCACTCTGTCGCCTAGGCTGGAGTGCAGTGGTGTGATCTTGGCTCATTGCAACCTCCGCCCCTTGGGTTCAAGCAATTCTCCTGCCTCAGCCTCCCAAGTAGCTGGGATTACAGGTGTCTGCCACTGCGTCTGGCTAATTTTTTTTGGTATTTTTAGTAGAGATGGGGTTTCACCATCTTGGACAGACTGGTCTTGAACTCCTGACCTTGTGATCCACCTGCCTTGGCCTCACAAAGTGCTGGGATTACAGGCGTGAGCCACAGCACCCAGCCTAATCTATTGATTTTCAACTTTGGCCTCCCATTGGAATAACCTGGGAGTTTGAGTTCCAATCTCAGAGATTCTGAATTCAAAGATGGCATGTGAGCTTAGCACCTGGATTTTTCAAAGCTCTTCATGTGATTCTGATATGCACACAGTGGGTGAGAACCACTGCTTTAAAGCAAACCCTTCAAACTTCAATGTTAAAATGCAAATTGTGGTTCAGAACATCTAGGGTGGGCCCCGGGATTCTTGCATTTCTGACAAGCTCCCAGTTGGTGCCAATGCTACTGGTCTGTGGACCTCACTTTGAATAGCAAGATTTAAAGAGAAGACACAAATATGGATTATACAATGGGAAATCTCCTAATTAGGAAGGAAACAAAACACTGTGTCCACTAAACAAGTCTATAGGTTGGACTTCCCTGCAGGTCATTGGTTTAATGGGTGTGTGTGTCTCTTTCTCAATCTCTCTCTCTCTTTTAGATCTCTTTTGTAGGGTTCCTGTTATGGCCAGGATACAGGGGTTTTGTGAGGTCTAAGGCAAGATCCCTCAGTTTCAGAGGCTCAGAACTGGGTTTGTCGGGAGGCGGAGATGGAACAGGAAGGTAGGCAAGCTGTCAGCCTGTTTCGGGACATGATGATCTGGAAAATGCCTCGGAACAGTCTTCCCCACACCACCCCAGGGCAATCTCACCCATAATTGGCATAACTGATTTTCCTGCAGATGAGAAGAGGCTAGACGAGGTCCAGACAGCTCCCCATCACACCCCGGCGTTAGGAGCACGCCTTTCTCCTCTTCCTTTATCGGATCAAAGTCTTCCATCAAGCTGTCTGGTTCTGTCTTATTCAATTAAACTTTTTAATCCAATTTGACCCATGCATTCATCTTCTTTGAAATCTGAGAGACGACAGCATCCGCTACAAATTGAGAGTAAATGGCCGAATTAGCTTTCAGAGAGGATCCAACGAGACTGTTTCTTCCCAGGGACCAACAGGCTCTTTGGAGCAGCTGGATCATAGAGGAACGTGGCTGGGGGCGTGGACGGAGGACAGTGGGGTTGTAATCTCCCTTCACTTTGAGACCCTTGGACAGATGGCATGGCACAGCCACTGACAGCACAGACTCTGGAGCCAGAGAGTCTGGGGTCAGATCCAACTGGGTCATGCCAGGCAAGTGCCTGAAATTCCATGCCTCGGTTTCCCCATATGTAAGATGAGGGTGATAACAACAATACCGACCTCTGAGGGCTATTGACAGGATTAAATTCATCCACACGTCTATGTAAAACACACAGAATAGCACTTGACACGTGATAGCGGCTATATGTAAGTGTTAGTTGGTACCATAATTCCTCTGGAGAGTTAGTTCAGCATTTCTGCATGGTGTGGTGGAGTCACACCACATGCCCATTTAACTTAGTGGGGGTTATACCATGCACGCTTGGGTAATATATCATCACCCAGCCAAGCAATCAAACCAAACAACCCTCCAATAGGTATTTTTTAGGTTGTTTAACTGAAGGATCGACATTCCGTTTTGCTGCTGGAGAAAAAACCTGGCTGGCAGGGGTAGTTACGAAATATTCAGAACCATGCTTACTTTATTGATGAAATAAGGGATTTTTTCAAGGTGAATTTTGGACCGTTTGGCGGGTTTGCCTGAATTATTATTATTATTAGTTTTGAGACAGGGTCTCACTCTTGCCCAGGCTGGAGTGCAGTGGTGCAGTCTCGGCTCACTACCACCTCTGCCTCCTGGGGTTAAGCAATTCACGTGCCTCAGCCTCCCAAATAGCTGGGACTACAGGTGTGTGCCACCATGCCTGGCTAATTTTTGTATTTTTAGTAGAGATGGGGTTTCACCATGTTGCCTAGACTGGTCTCGAACTCCTGAGCTCAGGCAATCCACTCACCTCCACCTCCCAAAGTGCTAGGATTACAGGCATGAGCCACCATGCCCAGCCTGAATTCTTGATTTTGCAATTTTTCTAAAGAATTTGGACTCTACCATGTCCTATTTGATCCTTGTCCAACCTGGTGAGATAGGCGAAGTGTGTTAAAATAACCAGATAGCAGAGCGTGGTAGTTCGGACTGGGAACTTGGGAGTCAGACTGCCTGGGTTCAAATCCCAACTCTGCCACTTACTCTTGGACATTCTATAGACAAATCAACCTCTATGTGTCTTCATTTTCTTATCTGTAAGTAGAGATGATGATTAGCACAATAATAAAATAATAGTACTACCTAGAGCTGTCTCAAGATTAAATGGGTTAGTACACATGAAGTGCTTGGAACAGTACCTAATACATGTTAGTCAAAAGTGATAGCAACAGTCATAAAACAACGACTAGTGCCAAGCCCTGGGCGATGCATTTGGTATGTATTACTGCATTTGAACCTGGTAAGAGCCCTTTTTGAAGAGGTGACAGGATTTGCCGAAGTCCCACAGTCACGACCTCAGCTCCGCAGCTCATGTGTGCCTTTAGCCCTTGGTGGGACCCTGCGAAAGAGTATAAACGGTGCAAACCTTTAAGGTTGTACGCCAGAACTTCAGTTTATTGAGTACCTACTGTGTGCAGGACATTTTGTTAAGTGCATTATCTCATTTAATCTTCACTGTGACTCTATGAGGTAGGTGCTCTCACTAGCCCCATTTTCTTTTCTTTCTTTCTTTCTTTCTTTTTTCTTTTTTTTTTAAGACAGAATCTCGCTCTGTCACCCAGGTTGGAGTGCAGTGGGGCTATCAGAGCTCACTGCAGCCTCTACCTCCTGGGCCCAAGAGCTACTACTGCCTCAGCCTTGTGAGTAGCTAGGAATATAGCAAATGCTACCACACCCAGCTAATTATTATTATTTTTTTTTTTTGTAGAGATGAGGTCTTGCTCTGTTGCCCAGGCTGGTCTCAAACTCCTGGACTCAAGTGGTCCTCCTGCCTCAGCCTCCCAAAGCGCTGGGATTAAAGTGCGAGCCACTGCACTTGGTCCTACTTTCATAGAGAGAAACTGAGGCACAGGGGCCTGTGTCTTTTTCATTTCTGAGGTCTTAGTACCCATGCTGGGTCGGTTGGGTGTAACTGTTTGCTGAATGAGAGGTTGACTTCAGCTTCTGGGATTCACTTGTGGTCTGTTTCATCCATCATAAGAAATGGGGAAGGGAGCAAGAGCTGAGTGGGGTTTTGAGAGGAATGCACAGTGAGCGCCCGGGGCAGAGAGCCCTCTGGAAATGCCAGCTGGGAACACTGAGATGCCTTGCCTTGCTGTCTGTGAGTGTTTATAGGGAGCTGTCTGACAAATCTAGCCCGGTAGCCACTGTGGTGACTTATGAAGCTCAACCAAAGGTGTGTGATCAACTCTGAGCACAGTTGGAGGAGGTCTGGGGTGTCTTCCCTGACCTGGGGAGGTTTGGCTTCATGTAGGGTCATGTGTGCGCATGCATGTGGGGAGGGGTACAGCAGGAGATAGTTTGTGTGGTCACAGATAAAGGTGCTTATGACCTTTGTGTGACTTTCACCTTGGCATAGGGAAGAGATTCTCTGTGAAGCATCTGTTGAGTTTAAATGTCACTCTGGTGTGGGGGGTTACGGAAAAGGCAGAATCTAAACTGGGTACAAATCTGTCCAAGTCACTTTGGGTAAGTTACTCAACCTCTCTCTGCTTCAATTTTCTCATCTACACAAGGGGAATAATATTCTCACTCTCACTATCATAATGCCTAGAACAAGTGGGTGCCCCGTAACTTGCTGCTTCCACCCCTCCGAAGTGGATTATTTCTGCAGGAATCAGGAGAACCCACATATGCCTTGGAGGCAGTCTGGGCTTGCTCATTTTCTTTTTTTTTTTGAGATGGAGTCTCTGTCACCCAGGCTGGAGTGCAGTGGCACTATCTCGGCTCACTGCAACCTCCGCCTCACGGGTACCAGCGATTCTCCTGCCTCAACCTCCTGAGTAGCTGGCATTACAGGTGCCTGCCACCATGTTTGGCTAATTGTTGTTAGTTTTTTTTTTTTTTTTTTTTGAGACGGAGTCTCACTCTCTTGCCCAGACTGGAGTGCAGTGGCATGATCTCGGCTCACTGCAATCTCTCCCTCCTGGATTCAAGCAATCCTCCTGCCTCAGCCTCCTGGGATTACAGGTGTGCACGACCACGCCCGGCTAATTTTTCTATTTTCAGTAGAGATAGGGTTACACCATGTTGGTCAGGCTGGTCTCTAACTCCTGACCTCAAGTGATCCACCCACCTCGGTCTCCCAAAGTGCCACCGTGCCCGCCTGGCTTGCTCATTTTCAAACCCTTTTAGGCCTCAGTTGCATTACCTGTAAAATGGGAATGACAGCAACTAGCCTGGTAGTGTGGTGATCACCAAAGGAAAGAATGAATGTAACATGTTTGGCCATGGTAACCATTCATGTTAGTTTTCTTTTCTTGTTCCTTTTCTCCATTCATTTCTTCGAAGCTGGGTTTCCTGACCCAGGAGAATATGGACAGGATTTGTGGGGGTGGGACTGGGAGATCTCAGAGCTTTCTATGGTACCTTTTGTATCCTTTGATAGGTTTGACTCTTGTAACAGCTCCAGGAGGTAGGGTAGGTGTCATCTCCATGTAATGAATAAGAAAAGCAAGGCCCAAAGGGATCAAGAAACTTACCAAGGAGTGTCCAGCAATGAGGGTGGAGCCGTGCCTAGACCCCAAGCCTCCTACCTCCCACCTATTGTTCTTTATATAGCAGTGGTTCTCGACTGGAAATGTCCACCCAAGGGGACATTTTGGCCATGTCTGGAGACATTTTTGGATGCCACAATTTGGGGTAGGTGTGCTACCAGCATCTAGTGGGTAGAGGACAGAGGTGCTGCTAAATGCCCTACAGTGCACCAAACAGCTCCTAAAACAAAAATTGGTCCAGCCCTAAGTGTCATTGATGCCGTGGTTGAGAGATCCTGTTCTATACTCGCTTCTTAACTTTATACTGATTATTCTAAAATAATAATGCCTGACATTTTTAAATCATTTACCACGTTCCAGCCGCTGTTTGAACATTTACACCTGTACTTGTATAAACCCGTTTCATCCTCAAACAATCTCAGAAGTAGGTCATAGACTATCCCTATTTGATAGTTGAGGAAACTGTGGTACAGAGAAGTTAAGTACCTTGTCTAAGGTCACACAGTTAGTAAGAGTTCGTATCTGAACCCAGGCAGTCTTGCTCCGGAACCCAAACCCTTAATCTCTCTATTTTGCTGATAACAGAGAAGGAAGGGAATTGGTTATGAATGAATTCAGAAATAAGCCCATCTCCTTTCTCAGAGGATCAGAAAATGTAGTGCAGGCAGTATTTGCTGTTTCGTCTGCCCAGTACTCCTCCCTTC
This sequence comes from Homo sapiens, assembly GCF_000001405.40. Taxonomy (NCBI): domain Eukaryota; kingdom Metazoa; phylum Chordata; class Mammalia; order Primates; family Hominidae; genus Homo; species Homo sapiens. The sequence continues at coordinate 19,933,767 of NC_000016.10, forward strand.
TTCTGGGAATGCTTCATTTTTCTCCCACCTCCAGTCGCTGCCAACCTTCCTTTGTTGAACTGCGTTTGCTATTCTTCCCTATTCCATTCCCACCTGAGGATTCTTGTGGGGATTGTCAATTTCAGGTTTCACCCTCGTAGCCATAGTTGATTGGCCCAAGGGTGAGCACATGACCTCCCATTGGACCAATCAGAAGCTTTCTCTGGGATTCTTTTTGAAGGAGAGGTGGGAATGCAGCGGCAGTCTCTTTTTGTGATTGATAGTGCAGAGTGTGTGTTAGAAACAGGCCCAGAGAAGCAGGAATGCGAGAGTTAGGACAGAGACCCCAGAAAGTATTAGAATGTCCAAGTTTGGTTGTCCCCAGATACTACCCTACCTTTCCCAAGATTGATGAAAGCTTCCATTATATCCTATTTTGATACATAGTCTGTAATTTCTTCCTGTTTGATTTCGAGATCTTCTCTGTATTTAGCACGATGTGTCTGGGTGTGAATTTAATTTTTTTTATCCTGCTCAGGACTTGACTGTGACATGTTTTTCAAGGATTAGGAAAGTCTCAGCCATTTTGTCTCCAAAAACTGGTTCTTTTCAACTGTTTTCTCTAGTCTCTCCTCTTTTGTATTCCTGTTAGATTTTGAAGTATCTCATCTACCTACCTACCTACCTACTTACCTATTTATCCATCCACCTGTCACATTTCTATCTCTTTATCTCCCTGAGCAGAAGGCTCTCAAGTGAAGAGATGGATACAGAGATTGGATATAATGTCTCACTTGGCTCATTTTCTTTCACAATATTGTGGCAGCTTCTCTCTTCGTAGCTATGAGTTTTCTATAATGGAAGATTTATTGCCTTCACTTGGTGTCGACCTCAGGGCCTGGTTATGGTGGGTGGTGTGGCAGGTCATCACCTTGTGGAGGGTTTGGGATGATGGAGGACTTGGGATAATGGAGCCTCTCGAAGGCTTTGGTTGGAGATGCCATTATCCAACTTTGCTGAACACTTATACCTCCTGTTTTCTAGTGAATTGCCCCCGTATGGTTTGCTGCCTTATATGTTTGTATATATATATCCTGCCCATAATTACCTTGCAAGGTTTTTGGTTCTTCTTCTCCCTTTGGTTTCCTCCATAGTGCCTGGGTGCTGGGGGGCATTTGGAATATAGCCAGGACATGTCCTTTCCTGATCATGGGGGTTGTGGGGAGGTGGTTGATCCAGCCGGTGTGGGATTTTGAGGGGCCACTCTCCTTTTTGAGAGGCTAACCAGAACACAATTTGCAAGGTTTCCATGACATTTAGCAAACTTGAGGTTATTGGCAATCCTCGCGAAGAGCTGTTTTAGAGACTGCAGCAGGATTGCAGGGACTGAGAAGTGAAAAAGATAGAGAAAGTACAAATACATTAGGCTCCTTTCTCTGAGAAGCTTGGTTGCAAAGGGGCAGTGCATTTTGTGGTTTAAGTTGCATTTCGTTAACCGTGAATGAAGTAAACCCTTTCCACATTTTGTTAGTCATTTGGATATTCCAGATGTTGTAGTTTAAAGTAGAATGTGCAGCGAGAGCCTTACTGAGAAAGGGACATTTGAGCAAAACTTTGAAGGAAGTGAGGGAGATGATTCGGGACAAAGGAAGGATAGAGTGAGGGGAGTCAGGATCTGGGGCACACAGGGGACTCTGTTCTATATGGGAGGAGGCTCTGGGCACAAGATAGGGATCAGCTTGTTAAATTCTCACAAACACTGGACTGAGAGGAACATGGAGCTCAGAGAGTTTAATCGACTTGACTGAAATCACACAGCTAGCAGGTGATGGAGCTGGGATTTGAACCCAGTGCCATGACGATTGAGCCTTGGCTCTTTACTCCAGGAAGTGTGGGGGAGACCACTCAGTCAGTTTCACAAGAGCCCCATTCCTATCAACAGCAATGCTCATGAATGCACTCCAACTGAGAGCTGTGCTGAATGGAATTCTAAGGACAATAAGAGCAGGAGCCCAAAGGACCATTTGTGCCAATAAATTGATTTCTTTATGTCCTCATGCTGCTAGCTTACAAGAAATGAGCCAGGCCTGCTGCTGCCCAGGGAGTCCCTGGGGAGTTTTTTTGGAAGCCCCTGTTGCCAAGGCAACCCAGGATCCCTCTGGAAGTGTGTTGTCCTGCATGTGTTCCTGTCTGTCCCCTCCCAGCTGGTTGTCTGGACCTCAGCCAGCCTTTCCTGGTCACTGTCCAGCAAAAGCAGGAGGTGGGTTGCGGCAGGAGAATTCAGGGGATACCCTGCCCCCGACCCTGTGACAGATGCTCATTTCTTTATTCCAAACCCTGTCTCACCCAGACTTAAGGATGGAGTCCTTGCAGAGCCCCCCAAGGCCTGCACGATCTTATCACCCTTCTGTCACTCCAGCCCAGCCTCCTTGCTGGTCTTCATCACTCCAACCCTACTCCTACCCCAGGGCTTTTGCACTTGCTGTTCCTTCTGCTTGGAAGGCTCTGCTTCCAGATTTTGGCTAGGTGTATGTCATTACATCCTTCTACCATTTGCTGAAATACTACCTTCTCAGTCAGGACTTCACTGACTGTTTTATTCAGAATTATATCCCCATATTCCCTGTCTTTATTTCCTGCTATGTATTTTTCCTTATATATACTATAACACACAATATGGTTTGCTTTTTTTTCTTGCGTACTGTCTTGCTCCCTGTGGCAGGTAGCCTCTATCATGGCCCCTGGTAATTTCCACCTCCCGTTATTCATGCTGTTATGAAATCCCCTTTCACTGAGCAAATTGCTTCTAGCCAACAGAATATGACAACATTGATGGGAGGTCACTTCTGTGGTTAGATTTTGCCTCTGTCTTGCAAGACAACTCTCTCTGTTGCCTTCCTGGCTGGCACACTTTAATGAAGCAAGCAGCCATATGGAGAGACTCATGTGGCAAGGAATTGAGAGAGGCCTCTGGCGCATACCCAGGAAGGGACTTAGGTTCTGAGTTCAACAACCTTTGAGGAACTGAATCCTGCCAATAACCAGTGAGGTTAGAAGTGGAGCCTTCCTTTTTTGTGTGTGTGTGTGAGAAGGAGTCTTGCCCTGTCGCCCAGGCTGGAGTGCAGTGGACCAATCTCGGATCACTGCAACCTCTGCCTCCTGGGTTCAAGCGATTCTCCTGCCTCAGCCTCCTGAGTAGCTGGGATTACAGGCGTGCACCACCATGCCTGGCTAATTTTTGTATTTTTAGTAGAGAAGGGGTTTCGCCATTTTGGCCAGGTTGGTCTTGAACTCCTGACCTCGTGATCCACCCATCTCGGCCTTCCAAAGTGCTGGGATTACAGGCATGAGCCACTGTGCCCGACTGGAGCCTTCATTTTTATGGCTGCATAGGATTCCATGGAATTCATTTGCTTTATCCAGTCTATCATTGATGGGCATTTGGATTGACTCCATGTCTTTGCTATTGTGAATAATGCTGCAGTGAACGTATGTGTGCATATATCTTTATAATATAATTATTTATATTCCTTGGAGTATATACCCAGTGATGGGATTGCTGGATCAAATGGTATTTCTGCTTTTAGATCTTTGAGGAATCACCACACTGTCTTCCACAATGGCTGAACTAATTTACACTCCCACCAACAGTGTGAAAGTATTCCTTTTCTCTACAACCTCACCAGCATCTGTTGTTTCTTGACATGGATGGAGCTGAGAGCTGTTATCCTCAGCAAACTAATGCAGGAACAGAAAACCAAACAGTGCATGTTCTCACTTATGAAATGGGAGCTGAATGGTGGAAACACAAGGACACATGGTGGGAGCAACACACAGTGGGGCCCGTTGGCAGGGTATGGGGAGAAAGAGCATCAGGAAGAATAGCTAATGGATGCTGGACTTAATACCTAGGTGATGGGTTAATCTGTGCAGCAGACCAGCATAGCACATGTTTACCTATGTAACAAACCTGCACATCCTGCACATGTACTCTGGAACTTAAAATAAAAGTTGAAAAACAAAAAAAGAAGTGGTGCCTTCCCTGATCGAGCCTTCAGATGCAACCCCAGGTTCAGTTGGCACCTTGATTGTAGCTTGGGAGAGACCTGTGAGCAGAGCACCTAGCTAAGCCAGGCCCAGATCCCTGAGTCACAGAAACTACAACATAATAACTATGGGATGTTTGAAGCTGCTGAGTTTTGTGGTAATTTGTTGCATGGTGATAGATAACAAATACATTCCCCTCCTAGGATGTAAGCTCCACACTCTTGTTAAGGTTGCCAGTGATCCCAGTTGCTGAAATGCAGCAGACACTTTTCATTCTATAATCTGCTTGATCTTGCATGAAAAACCTGCCGCACCAGCTCTGGGCCCTTGGGTGTCCACCTGCCTGGCTGGCCACCTGCCTTCAGTGAGCAGGGACCTTGCTTCCTGAGAGACCAACTGATTCGTTTGGAGGAAGACTTTGAAGACATTGCTCAGTTGGGCCACTGGGGACTGTCCAAGGGAGGGGGAAAGGGAACCAGAGAAGGAAGGAGAACATGTTACCTTCCTTAAGAAAATAAAGTCCAGACCCCCTCACTGGAGAGAGTGTCTCTGTGCGGAAAGAATCAGCCTTTGCTGTCTCCAGTGCTTGTCCTTAGAGGTTCATCTTCCTCTTGGTGGCTTCTGGAGGCATTGCTGGATTCAAGGGTGACAGCCTCCCTTTAGTCTTAGATTCTATTCTTTTGTTTTGCTTTTTAAAACAATAGCTTTATTGAGGCATCAATTTATATGATTTATATGCCATAAAGTTCACCACTCTAAGTGTACAATTCAGTGATTTTTAATAAATTTACAGACCTGAAAATCATCATCACCGTTCAGTTTTAGATCATTTTCAGCATTCCAAAAAGGTTCCTCATGCCCATTTACAGTTATTCTTAGGATAATAATCCCTGCCTCATGGGGTTATTGTGAGGATTGAGGTGTATGAAAGGAATGTGGCTTGCCAGATGGCTGATAAACTGGACATGTACTCTGGTCTTTGGAGCCAAACAGATTTGGATTTGAATCAAACTCTGCCATTTTCTAGCTCTGTGGCCCTTCCGTAGCCTCTTCGCCTCTCTGTGCTTTTGTTTTCTCATTTATAAAATGAGAATAAGAGGATCTACTAGATCACAAGTAAGATGTGAGGTAAAACAAGATGACACAGTTTGCCCCCAAGTTACCTGGTCAGCGGCATCACTTGGCTCTTTAACCAAATGCAATTTCTCAGCTTCATCTCTGAATTAATAAAACTGAGGTGGGGGTCCAGGAATCGGTAATTTTAATTGGCAAATTTGGGAAATACCAAGATAAATATCCAAACCACTTAGTTCTCTGTATATTTATTTTTACCTTATTAATTATAGTGTGTGACACACAGTATTATCATGGTTGTCATTTATTCATTTATTTAATTAATTTATCAATTTATTCATTTATTTATTTATTTTTGAAATGGAGTCTCGCTGTGTCGCCCAGGCTGGAGTGCAGTGGTGCGATCTCTGCTCACTGCAACCTCTGCCTTCTGGGTTCAAGTGAGTCTCGTGCCTCAGCCTCCCAAGTAGCTGGGATTACAAGCGTGTGCCACCATGCCTGGCTAATTTTTTGTATTTTTTAGTAGCAATGGGGTTTCACCATGTTGATCAGGCTGGTTTCGAACTCCAGACCTCAAATGATCTGCCCGCCTTGGCCTCACAAAGTGCTGGGATTACAGGTGTGAGCCACTGTGCCTGGCCCTATTTATTTATTTATTTATTTATTTATTGCCTTGCACAGAACCTGGCTGTGGTGAGGCCCCCACACCATCACGTGTGGACAGGGTGCCCTTGCCACCAGCTCCTCTCATGTTCCTACCTTCTTTCTGCCTCCTTCCATAGCAGCTGAGCAGAGGAGCGGCCTTCTATGCCAGGCCATCCATCAGCTCAGGTCGAGTGCTGCTGAAAGGTTCACTCTCAAAGCAAAGTGCTTTCTCTGCTAAACGCATTATTTCTTCCAATAGAGCCAGGAAAGGATATCATCTTTAAAACCCACTCAGGCCCAGCCAGCAATGTTTTGCAGCACTGTTGCTTTTGGAGAGCAAAGGCATAATCGCTGCCTCCTGGATCAGCCAGGGTCCAAGAAAATAAAAAGACTCTAAGTTTTAAAAACTGAGGGAATGCAGATACTCAGGGGATAGGTAATGCAGAGGAGGGAAGAGCCAGGGTAGCCAAGCAGGAAGCCATCACCATCGGTAGGGCTGGAAGGGCAAAGGAAGGTAGTAGAAGCAGACCCCAGGGCTTGGTGTCTTCCAAAAGAAGCTGGTATCATGGGGGTTTGTCTGATGGGGACTGGAGGCTCGGAGAAGAAAAATGAACTGCTGGAGAAGCAGCCCAAACCTCCGGTGTGGAAGGAAACGTCCTTGCTTTGTTTTTTCTCCTGTCTGTGATCTGCCAACGATTGCCAGACACACACTGACTCAGGACCCTGGGGAACACAGGCTGCGGGGGTAGCATCCGTGTGAGCAGTGGTAGGGGTAGGAGTCTCTGAGAGCAAACAGGCCTAGAGCCAGCACACCTCATCCCCAAAATATCCTAGCACAGGAGTAGGTAAACTACAGCCCAAAGGCCAAATCCAGCCCACTACCTGTTTTTGTAAATAAAGTTTTATTGGCACCCAGTCAATGTGTATGTATTGTCCATCGTTGGCTGCATGTGCATGCCAACAGCAGAGTTGAGTAGTTGCAATAGATACCATGTGGTCTGCAAAGTCTAAAATATTTACTGTCTGGTTGTATTAGTCCATTCTCCCGCTGCTGTAAGGACATATCCGAGACTGGGTAATTTATAAAGGAAAGAGTTTTAATTGACCCACATTTCCACAGGGCTGAGGAGGCCTCAGGAAACTTACAATCATGTCAGAAGGGGAAGCATGGTGGCAGGGAGGAGAAGAATGAGTGAAGGTGGCGGAAAGCCCCTTGTAAAACCATCAGATCTCATGAGAACTCATTATCAGGAGAACTGCATGGAGGTAACCGCCCCCATGATTCAATTACCTCCCACCGGGTCCCTTCCATGATACGTGGGGATTATGGGAACTACAATTCAAAATGAGATGTGGGTGGGGACACAGCCAAACCACATCACTGGTCCTTTTACAGGAAACGTTCGCCAACCCCTGCTCTAGAAACAGGTATCTATGGGGGAAAAATGCCTCCCATGGAGAGTGTCTTCTAGGAGCTATCAGGTTTTTCTGCCTGGGGTTCTTGGGCGAGGGCAGAGAGGGGATAAATTACACCGTGGGAGTTCTGGGAGAATCTCTCCGTCTTTTGCTGGCCCTGGCCATAGAAATGAGTTGATTGGAAGGAGTTTGATTTTTCTAGCTAGACCGAGATCTCCATGAGGGTAGGAGAATTAGCAGTGGTTGAATTCTCCATTTGTGATCCCAGGGAAGCAGTACGAAATGTTCCCCTCATGAACCATCTGGGAGCTGCTGATTTTAATTATAGGAGGTCCTTGTTATCCAAAGACAATTTATGTTAGGGTCAGCTCACTAAAAGTGAATCTTGTTTAAAAGGGGACCAACATTTCATTGTAGACAGTGGGGGAAAATAAGGAAAAATATAAAAGAGAGAGTTATGAAATTGGAAAAGCTAAGTTTTATATTAAGTTTGATGTACTAAATATAATTTTGGTTATACTAACAACTCTGCACTAAATCTTAGGACAAACAAAAAATGAGCCACTTTTTTTAACACATAGTTTTCTACCAAAGTTAAGTGACAGCATGATGTGACAGCCTTCACTTCATGTTTGACTGACAACACCATCATAAATAACTTTCCTTTGTGTGCTAAGTTTGAGAGCTTCACCAAATTTCCCAAGGCTCTCTCAATCCATAAATATTAAAATCTAAGTTTTGGTGCCCTGGAGCGAGTCTCAATCACCTCATCCAAGTTATAGCTCAGTCTGACACATGCTTGGTACTGAACAGATATTTCAGAACAGAGTCAAATCTAGAAGGAACAGGAGACGCCAAGATTGGTACTAATTGATCAATCTTTTTGGATACTAAGAAGCATGAGTATATAGTTTGGTTGAAAGTAACAAAAAGCCAACTCAAAGTTGCCTAGGTCAATAGGGGATTTATTGGCCCATAGAATTCCAGTAAGGGTTGAACAGCAACATTGCAGGAAGGGCTGTGAGGCAGCTGGACCTGATGAATCATTGGAAGCAGGACCATTCTTCTCTTGTTTTTGCCCCTTTCCAAGTGTTAACTTCTCTCATGATGGATGAGTAACTCCCCATGGTAGAAAACATGGTGGCCATTGGTGTTGACTTTTTCAAATCATGGTCATACCAACCAGATGGAGGCCACCTACTGCTCTCTGTGGCCCAAAATAATAATAATAAAAAATCTTGACCTCTGATTGGCCTGGTTTGGGTCAAGTACCCATCCAAGAACCAATCAATTGTGCCTTGAGGTCAAAGAAGAACTTGGCAGCTCTTAGAGAAATCTTATGGATGTATCTGGGAGAGGATAAATTCCCAGAAGAAGCAGGGAGACACAACATTAGATACCTGTACAATGGGTTTATCAGCTATGCTTTGTCCTGCTCCTCCTACCCAGACGTTGCAACACAGAGAGATGCTTGGACTCTCGTGAGGCACAGATTTTGGTGTAGTTGAACAACAGAGGCAGTTTGTGCTCTACCCAGAACTCACTTTCTCATTTTTCAGCATTTTCTTCTCCAAGAAGCTGTCTCAGTGACCTCTAATCCAGAGAGAATTGTCTGCTCTTTTCTTTGTGCCTCAACATTTATCCTTATGTGCTTACATGTCATTTCCTCTACCCTGTGTACACTTCAGGGGTGAAGGTTATGCCCCCACAGTTGGGGTTGTGCACAGCTTATAGTAAACACTCAGTAATTGTTATCTTTGCTGATTGAAGGGGAGGCTTCCAGAGAGTGATCATCACATGAGGACAGCACTTGGTGTTGCCAGTTGTGTGAGTTTTGGAAAAAGGAGGCAGCATAAAATAGAGGTTAGAAATCCAAACTTTGGAATCAGCAAATGTGGATTCCAGTTTTGGCTCTGTCACTTAGACAGAATGGCTGCATGACCTTGGGCAAGTTACTTAACCTCTCTGAGCCTCAGAAGTTAGAATGGGGGCGTAATAATAGTACATTCTTTTTTTTTTCTTTGAGACGGAGTCTCGCTCTGTCGCCCAGGCTGGAGTGCAGTGACACGATCTCTACCTCCTGGGTTCAAGCGGTTTTCCTGCCTCAGCCTCCTGAGTAGCTGGGATTACAGGTGTGTGTCACCACACCCAGCTAATTTTTGTATTTTTTTAGTAGAGATGTGGTTTCACCATGTTGGCCAGGCTGGTCTCGAACTCCTGAGCTCAACTGTTCGGCCTGCCTCGGCCTCCCAAAGTGCTGGGATTATGGGTGTGAGTCACCGTGCCTGGCCTAATAGTACATTCTTTATGCAACATTTAGCACAATGCCACGCACATAGCAGGCACTCAACGGTAGCTGTAAGATGGTTAGCCTGTCCTCGTTTTTCTCTTCTGTGAAATGGGGGATGCTACTGTCCAGTGAAATTGAGGCAATAAACCAGGAAAGGAAATTTTTCAGAAAAAACATTCTTCATAACCCCAAAGCTTACCTGTTGGGAATCTTAATGTTTTTTGGTACAGCAGCAGTTGAACACTGTTTCAGACAGTGGCTTAGTTGGATTTTACTTTATCCTCTTAGATTATTCTGATCTACATAGCAGGTGTATCTAGGGAGATCCCACTCATCCGATTAGAGCAAATATGCAACACATACTCACTAATCCAGCCCACTAAACAATAGATCCCAGTTCAAACTTCTAAAGCTGAAGCTTCCCTGGTGAATAATTTATTCAATTTTCCTTTCAAGCCCTTATTTGTTATTTCATTATGTTTAAGAGAGGGCAGATGCTTTACATAAAACTCGTGTCATATCCATTTTAAGTTGTATTAATCAATGATCACAAGAGAAAACCATTCCCATCTTTGGAAGTGACAGTAATCATTGAAGTGAATGCTGTGGTTCCAGGGAGATTGGGAGCCTCGACCTACCTGCAGTTAATACTGAGGTTAGAATGTCCGCGCCTTGTCATCCTCTCCTACTTCATAATCCTGGGCTCTACCAGGTGAGTGCACAAGAAGGAAGGTGGTTGTTACCATCTGGCTTAATATTTTCCTTTTTGCACCTGCCTCAGGTAAAGTGCACAGGTAAGAAGGTGGTTGGTACCTGTCTGGCTTGTTACTTTCCTTTTTGCACCTGCGTCCATAGACTTACCATTATGAAAAAAGAAGGAAGAAGCTTTACTATTGATAGAACCCTCTTAGGGCAGCAGTTCCCAACTTACCTAATCTGAGAATCGCCTGAGTCTCTTATAAAAACACAGAGTCCCATGTCCTGCCACAGTAGGTTCTGATTCAGTAGGCGTGAAGTGGGAGCGGAGATGTAAATTTGTTCATGCATCCCAAGTGAGTCTTATAATCAGGGAATCTTGGGAAATGATCTCTTAGATCGCTGCTTGTCCAACTTTAGTGCGCACGGGATTTACCTGGCGATCTTATTCAAATGGAGATTCTAATTCAGCAGGTCTGGGGAGGGACTTTATTTATTTTTATTTTTAAATTTTATTCATTTATTTTTTTTGAGATGGAGTTTCGCTCTCGTTACCCAGGCTGGAGTGCAATGGCGCGATCTCAGCTCACTGCAACCTCCGACCCCTGGGTTCAAGCAATTCTCCTGCCTCAGCCTCCTGAGTAGCTGGGATTACTGGCGCCCCCCACCATGCCTGGCTAATTTTTGTATTTTTAGTAGAGATGGGGTTTCACCATGTTGGCCAGGCTGGTCTAGAATACCTGACCTCAAGTGATCCGCCCACCTCAGCCTCCCAAAGTGCTGGGATTACAGGCATGAGTCACCATGCCCGGCCTGGGGCAGGACTTTAGATTCTGCATATTCCTTCAACTGTCCTCTTAGGGGATGCTGATGCTGTGTCCATGACCACACTTAGGGTACCTCAGCTACTAAACTACTGGATGAATACACTAGTTGGCATAAGTTGGTTTATTGGGGGTTAGAAACTTAAGATACTGGCTTGCATAGGTTGTTTATTGGGGGGTTAGGTAATTAAGAATCACCATAAGGAATATTGTTTTGAAAATGACATCTATTCAGTTTATATTTAGGGGAGCTTCACTGTTTAGAGCAGTGGACTTCTAAGTAGAGACATTCTTTAGGATGTGGGGAGAAAAATTAGACTTTTCTTTCTCTTTATTTGTTATTTCATCCTTAAAAAAATCCGCTCCCGTGCATGTTTTATAATTATCCAATATATAAACACAGTTGGACATGCATCTATTTTGTATATAAGTGTATGTATGTACTGGGGTGCATAGTCAAAATCTTATTAACAGTGTGCAAGTAAGGACATCTGGAGACTATGGCTTTAGGTTCTCATGAAAGGCAGGCATTTTAAGGGGAGCCTCATGTAGTTTCTCAGAGGATAAAGTGATTGTTTCTGAAAGAAGAGAAGGGGCTGAGCAGACAGCGATCAGTGCTTATTTCCATCTGGCCCATAGACCAGAGCAGTAGAGGTCAGACATCCATCCAAAGGGCAGAGGTCAAATAGGAGTGGATTTCCTGGAACTTTATTACAAGGATCTCTCTCTCTCTCTCTCTCTCTCTCTCTCTCTCTCTCTCTCGTTCCTCCAGTTCAGGCCCCTCCCTGGGAAGATGTTTGTGCCCAGGTGACACCAAGACAAAACTTGGCAGGACAAGCTCATAGCCCTTTAGCCCTTTCCTGGAACACAGGAGAAAGAACTCTGTGGACAGACCCTGTAGTTTCATCTTTCCTTGATTCACTGATGTCTCTAGTCCCTATCATCCAGTTTTTCGCCTTTTCTCCTTTCTAACTGAGTGGTACTGAAAGGTTTGACAAACATCAGTGTGATGAATGTACTCAGGAGAGTCAGAGAAGGTGGTGAATTCTGGCCCCTGATTTATGTCTCATGAAAGCTGAGGGTAGAGGTGCAGTGATCAGAACAGCCTAGTAATTCAAAGCCGTGTGATCATTCAGCTGGGTGTGTGATCTTTGGCTACCAGGTCAGTCCCCATTCCCAAGGACACTTTGTCTTCCAGTGGGTCCTTCAGCATCCTCAGGGTAGGGTACTGAGTTAATACAGAGGCCCCTGGCTGTTAGAGCCATAGAATACTTTCCTGGGCCAAAGGCATGTCCCATAGGAGTCAAGCAAAGCCCAGGACAAACTTGAATCATGGCACAGTGTTGACCTGTGCCGTCTAAGGTGGGTGGTATGTAGTATGAACCAAATATATGCTGACTGTGTACCTAAGTGATTTTGGTTTTGTTGCTTTCAGATGTTCTAGTTCTAGATAACTAAATTACCTAGTTCCTTGTACCCTTCAGCCCCATTCATTCATTTGACATTCAGCAAATCATTTCTAAGGGCCAAGTATTATGCTACAGGCTGGAGATATAGCATTGAACAAAGTGGACAAGGTCCCTGCCCTCTTGAAGCTCACATTCTTGGAGTCAAGGTAATAATCAGATAAGCAAATAAATAAAGGACTTCAGATATTGATGAGTTATGAGCAAAATAAAATATAATGGGCTAGAAATTGGCTACAGAAGTGGTTATAGAGATTTTTTTTAATTAAAAAAAATTTTTTTGAGACAAGGTCTCACTCTGTAGCTTAGGCTGGAGTACAGTGGCACAATCACAGCTTACTGCATCCTTGACCTCTCAGGGTCAAGCAGTCCTCCCACCTCGGCCTCCAAGTAGCTGGGACTATAGGTGTGTGCTACTACACAAGGCTAATTTAATTTTTTTTTTTTTTGTAGAGATAGGGGTCTCACTATATTACCCAGGTTGCTTTCAAACTCCTGGCCTCAAGTGATCCTCCTTCCTCAGCCTCCCAAAGTGTTGGGATTACAGGTGTGAGCCACTGCCCTCGGTCCTAGTTTTCCTTTTTAAGGGATCACTCTGGCTGAATATTTGGGGAATAAAGGGCAAGAGTGAAGGCAGAAAGACCAATAATGAAGCTGTGGCATTAGCCCAAGTGAGAGGAGGCAGCAAACTGGACCAGGGAGATGAAGATCTTGGCAGAATTCTCACAGCTAGTATGTGACCCAGGGCTCAAATCAATGGTGATAGAGTAGACAGACTGTTAGCTGAAGGAACAAGCTTCTGCTGAGACCCTGAGTGACTTGGATCTAGACAAAGAGACCGCAAAGCATGACTTGGACACTATAATAAGAATTGATCTTAAGACTGTTCTTCAGTGCTGGAGGCTCCTAATCAATTTCCTGATTAGCGCCACAACTGGACACAAAATGGACATGGTCTGAACCATTTAAATGAGACAAGAAAGCCTTGCCAGGTGAGAGTGGAGATGTGATACAGCAGGCGTCTGGTTGACCCTGATGGTAAATCTCCCTTGGATCTCAACAAAACTCCAGACAGAACCCAAGCACCCAAGCTATGTTAGTCTTGAAGCACCTCAAGACATGGCTGTCTTGAGATAGTCTGATTTATTCTCTCTCTCTTTTTTTTTTCTTTTACACTGGTTCTCACTGTTACCCAGGCTGGAGTGCTGTGGCACAATCAGAGCTTACTGCAGCCTTGACTTCCTGGGCTCAAGCGGTTCTCCTACCTCAGCCTCCACAGTAGCTGGGACTACAGACACCTACCACTACATCCAGCTATTTGTTTTAAATTTATTATTTGCAGAGATGAGGTCTTGCTATGTTACCCAGGCTGGTCTCAAACTCCTGGGCTCAAGTGATCCTCCCACACTGGCCTCCCAAAGTGCTGGGATTACAGGTGTGAGCCACCGTGGATGGCCTCATTTTCTTTCTTACTATCTCCTTTTTCCCTCTGCAAGGGGATTGAGTGCACATGCTGCTCTCCTTGTTCACTGTTTGAACATGCAAATCTTGGTTCTATTTCAGGAATCTCACTGGTGCACACTACATACATGTGCTCCCTTAACTTCCACCCTCTCTTCCATCTCTTACCCAGCTCTTCTCCTTTAGGCAAATCTTTCTCTTCCTTTCCTTTTGTTCTGTTTCACATAAAAGCCTCAGATGTCGGCTGGGCACGGTGGCTCACGACTGTAATCCCAGAACTTTGGGAGGCCGAGGCAGGCAGATCACCTGAGGAGTTCCAGACCAGCCTGGTCCAACATGGTGAAACCCTGCCTCTACTAAATATACAAAAATTAGCCGGGCGTGGTGGCGGGTGCCTGTAATCCCAGCTACTCAGGAGGCTGAGGCAGGAGAATCACTTGAACCCGGGAGCTAGAGGTTGCAGTGAGCCGAGATCGTGCCACTGCACTCCAGCCTGGGTGACAGAGTGAGATCCTGTCTCAAAAAAAAAAAAAAAAAAAAGCCTCAGATGTCATAACAAGGCCTGCCAAGTGGTAGAACAGTTTGGGTGATGTATCTGAATTAAGGTGAAGGAACAACTCTAGTTTCGATCTGGCACACCAATGTCACAGAGAACCATCATGTTAACCCCAAAAGCCATTGAAAGAATCCAGGGTTGCACTCAGAATCCACATGAATGACTCCCTGGGCCTCCCTGTTGTCTTGTTAATTAAACCTGCTTTTTATCCTCCTCAATCGTGCAGATACAAATCCTACTGTGTGAAGGGCATCTGTTTCCAACTTAAGAATGTCTTTTGTTTATTTTATACTTTAGTTGCCAGAACTCATCAGGATTGCTTTTTACCCCTGAAAAAAATTACAAAAATATGGAGGACTTCAGTTGCTTTAGTGCCAAGCTATTGAGAATGACTCTGGGAATTCCATCACCAGATATTCCTACAGGAAGCACTTTGTTTAATTCAAGAGATATTTATGGAGCACTTAGTGAGACACGGTAGAGATGGGGCTTGGTTTCAGCTCACCCCCACTGCAGCATTCTTTCATGCATTCCCGCCCATCACAAAACCCCACCACGACCTCACTACTAAAAATTCCAGGAACTGGCTCTAGGAGAAAACTAAGGTTGTGGAGTGTCCCACCTGGGGAAGGAATGCTGAACAATTTGTTTGCAGCCGTGTTGCTGCAGTCTGGACCACCAGGTGGCCCATGACTCAGGATAACCATTGCAAGGAGATCTGCTGACCTGCATACCCTACCTTCACGTGCTTTGCCCAGCCCAGCCTCCATACTCTACCCCGATGTCAATTCCTGTGCTTTGATTAGTAAAAAAGCCCTACCTGCTCTTTTCAGGGCATCAGTTCAGGGAATTCTCTCTCTTATGCTGCCTCCCTTATGCCCAAGCATAAGTTCCAATGAAGCCTTGTTTGGGAAAACTCTTTTGGAACCATGTCGATTTCTATTGCATTGAGAGCCCAGGAACCTGTGGTTGCTAACATATTCTTTGGGGGCTTGTCTGGGATTACAGGACATGGGGAGTCTTTCTCTCTCTGAGGGGGAGACTTGCAAGCTGATGGGACTGCTGGACAAGATCCCTTTGCGGCTGGCAAACGGCCACCTGAACTTTTGATTCAGTGTCATTGCGATGGGTGAGTCTTTCTCAAGCCTCCCGAACTTCCTCGCCTCCCCACAGCTAGCAATGGTTTTCTCCCTCCCCTTCTTTCTCTTTCTCTCCTTTCCCTTTCCTGTCTTTTCTGTCACTCAGGGTGCTTTACTTCTTGTCTCCTACTTCTTACTGTTTTGGGTAGCCTAAAGCAGTGGTCCCTAACCTTTTTGGCACCAGGGACCAGTTTTGTGGAAGAATATTATTCCATGGACCAGGGTCGGGGGGATGGTTTGGGGATGATTCAAGTGCATTACACTTATTGTGGACTTTATTTCTATTACATTGTAATATATAATGAAATAATTATAAAACTCACAATAACAGAATCAGTGGGAGCCCTGAACTTGTTTTCCTGCAACTAGATGGTCCCATCTGAGAGTAATGGGAGACAGAGACAGATCATCAGGCATTAGAGTCTCATAAGAAGTGCACAACCCAGCCAGGCACGGAGGCTCACACCTGTAATCCCAGCATTTTGGGAGGCCAAGGCAGGTGGATCATGAGGTCAGGAGTTTGAGACCAGCCTGACCAACATGGTGAAACCCTGTCGCTACTAAAAATTCAAAAAAATTAGCTGGGCGTGGTGGCATGCACCTGTAATCCCAGCAACTCAGGAGGCTGAGGCAGGAGAATCGCTTGAACCCAGGAGGTGGAGGTTGCAGTGAGCCGAGATCTGGCCACTGCACTCCAGCCCAGGTGACAGGGCGAGACTCTATCTCAAAAAAAGAAAAAAAAAAGTGCACATCCTAGATCCCTTGCATGTGCAGTTCACAATGGGGTTGTGCTCCTATGAGAATCTGATGCTGTTATTGATCTGATGGTAATGTGAGCAATGGAGCAATGGGGAGCAGCTATAAACACAGGTGAAGCCTCGCTTGCTTGTCCACTGCTCACTTCCGGCTGTGTGGCCCAGTTCCTAACAGGCTATGGACCGGGGTTGGGGACCCCTGGCCTAAAGAGATATCCTTGAGAAACCTTGAAATGGCTTCCCTGTTTTACTTATAGACATCCCTGAGGGATGGATGGAAACAGGTGATATCTGGGTCTGATCAACCCAGCAGGCAGTGAGATGGGCTGCATCCCTCCCCTGGCCTAAGTTGGTTTGGGGTTGAGTCCCAAGAAAATCCCTCTCTCTCTTGTCACTCTCCCTACCTGGCACCTTGGCCCTTGATCCTGTAACTCTATTCAAAACCCCTCATTACTTCACTTTCCTTTGTCACCTCTGATGGAGAAGAGAGGCCTGTCATCTTTCTGGGCATCTGTCTCACGTGTGGTCCTTTAAGTGTGGGGAGAATGCCTGAGACAGGGTGCTGGGGATGCCTGGCTGGTCTTCAGGAAGGCACCAGGGACGCCTAGGGGTGACTGTCAGTATGGGTTTTCTGCACAATAAGAAAAGTTCAGGCTGGCTGTGGTGGCTCACACCTGTAATCCTTGCACTTTGAGAAGCTGAGACAGGTGGATCACCTGAGGTCAGGACTTTAAGACCAGCCTGGCCAACATGGCGAAACCCTGTCTCTACTAAAAATACAAAAATTAGCCATGCATGGTGGTGCATGCCTGTAATCCCAGCTATGTGGGAGGCTGAGGAAGGAGAATTGCTTGAACCCTGGAGGTGGAGGTTGCAGTGAGCCGAGATCGCGCCACTGCACTCCAGCCTGTGCAACGGGAGTGAGACTCCATCTCAAAAAAAAAAAAAAAAAAAAGAAAAGTTCAGAGATCAAATGGTTCACCTGTACCTATAGAGTTCAGTAGAGTAATTTGAAAGGCTCTTGCCTGTGGTTCCATGAAATGGAAATAGATGATTTTCTTTTGTAATGTGACTTGGCCCCCCATAGCTATGGTGCAGTGAGCAAGCTCAGCAAAAGCAGCTCTGCTCTTCCGGAAGCTGCAGAGAAATGGAATCTAAAAGCCTGGCATGACAGCAAGAGAGTAAGAATTTCTTACCCTCCAGGTTCCTGGCTTCTCTCTCTCTGTGCAAACCGGTTGAGTGAATGGTAAAAATCACTGTTTGTTTTCTCTGCAAGATTTTGATTAATGGGAAAAAGGATTTGTCTGTGTTGTTCTGTTGTGGAGAGGGGCACCCCAAGACAGAACCTGGGGATAGAACTCGTGTATGCTCGCTGTTCGAGACAGCCCAGCAGACTGGTCAGTTACAAACTTTGCTGCGGGTCCCTGAAATAAAAACTGGATGAGGTTTCCCCTCATTTTGTTTTATGTCCTTGAGAGCTTGAGTTTGTGACCATGTAGGTCACTTTCTTCTGGTCTTTGCTACCTGGAGGGTGAGAATTTCGAGTTCATGTCAGGCATTTGGTCTGAAAGGAACATCACAATGTCACAACTAGTCTTAAGAATTCTCTTGAGCAGTTAAAAATCTTTTGCAAGTTCAACAATGACTGCTTTAGATACCTTCTGGGAAAAACAGTGGTGACTGCCTCATGCTATAGTTCAGTAGATAAGGGTCTGCCGTTTGATGAAGGTGGCTAGGGTTCCATTCCTGGCTTAGGGAATTTCTTTCTGGTTTGATAACATGTGGGACTTTTGCCATTTATTAATTCTTTTCCCCTCCATGGACAGCTTCTGATTTCCTGTCTTGACTTTTTTTTTTTTTTTTTCTCTGAGCTATCTCTGGGGCGATTCTAGATCTTCTAAAAACTGCTTGCCATCTCTTTGGAAACACTTTGCGCATCCATGATTAAGTCATAATCTTAGTTAAGGCTTATTGTGTCATTTGGAAAATACCTCTGGAGAGAAAAAGCTTAAAAGCCAGAGGTGTTGGCTGTTTGTCCTGGCTAAAGTCTGGTAATAAAATATTTTAAAATATATTTTTTCTTTTCTTTTTTTTTTTTTTTTTTTGAGACGGAGTCTCACTCTTTCGCCCAGGCTGGAGTGCAGTGGCACTATCTCAGCTCACTGCAAGCTCCACCTCCCAGGTTCACGCCATTCGCCTGCCTCAGCCTCCCGAGTAGCTGGGACTCCAGGCACCCGCCACCAAGCCCAGCTAATTTTTTGTATTTTTAGTAGAGACAGGGTTTCACCGTGTTAGCCAGGATGGTCTCGATCTCCTGACCTCGTGATCCGCCTGCCTTGGTCTCCCAAAGTGCTGGGATTACAGGCATGAGCCACTGTTCCCGGCCATACTTTTCTTTTTTAAAAAGAGCTGTATGGTTAAAAGCCAGATTAATTTTAAAAGTCTTTTATGCTTTTCTTCTTCTTGGATCTTGTTTTTTGAAAATTTTTTTTTCTTCTTAGTTGACTAAATTGTTCCTCCATTTACTTCTGTCTGTTTCCTTGCCACCCACAATGCCCACAAGAGAGGACCTAAGGTCATTTCTAACAGCCTAGGACTCCTTGGAAAAACGGAGGCATCACAGACCCTGTTTTGGGAGAAACCTCTGTTTTCCTCATAGAACCCCAAGAATTGTAAGCAGACAGATTCCTCTCACAATCTAATGCTTTGCTTTGTTTTGTGTTATATTACCTAAACATTTTGACTTTTGGGGGCATCACATAATACTTTACATTATGAGAAAACTTTTAGCCTTGATGTGTAAGAGCTAGATGAGAAATACACTTTTAGGGATGGCTAATGATAGTTGCTTACAGTGAATGTTTATTACTACAGGGCGATACTCCTTTCTTTGAACATTTAGATAAGAAAAGTGTGCTCTTGGGTACATAGAAGGTATGGAATTGGGGGGACGGGCTGATTACCGAATGGGCTGATTGGTACTGGGCTGCCCACCAGCATTGGAGAAATGTCTTTGCAGTGAGATGCTCTGTGGAAGCATTGCGCTGTCCTGTCTTGTAATGTTTCCCTCTTTTTGGGGACCCAGGATTCGGGATAAAAATGGGATCCTTAATCCCTGGGAATCTGTTTTGCCATCCAGCTGTGCCTGCCTATTAGGCCTTAGAAACAGACTTTTCTGGCCTTGTTCCTTAAAAGGCTCCACCCCAAAGCCAATAATCCAATTTAAAAATTTACATCTTTGGCCGGGTGCGGTGGCTCACGTCTGTAATCCTAGCACTTTGGGAGACCGAGGCGGGTGGATCACGAGGTCAGGAGATCGAGACTATCCTGGCTAACATGGTGAAACCCCGTCTCTACTAAAAATACAAAAAATTAGCTGGGCGTGGTGGCGGGTGCCTGTAGTCCCAGCTACTTGGGAGGCTGAGGCAGGAGAATGGCGTGAACCCGGGAGGCGGAGCTTGCAGTGAGCCAAGATCGCTCCATCCTGGGCAACAGAGCAAGACTCTGTCTCAAAAAAAAAAAAAAAAAAAAAAAAAATTACACCTTTAAGGAAATCTCCATGAATAAGAGTATCTGCTTTTCCGAACTATCTTTTTTTTTTTTTTTTGAGACGGAGTGGCCCGTTCTGTGGCCTAGGCTGGAGTGCAGTGGCTCAGTCTTCTCGGCTCACTGCAACCTCTGCCTCCCAAGTTCAAGTGATTCTCATGCCTACATCTCCCGAGTAGCTGGGATTACAGGCATGAGCCACCATGCCCAGCTAATTTTTGTAATTTTTAGTACAGACAGGGTTTCAACATGTTGACCAGGCTGGTCTCGAACTCCTGACCTCAAGCAGTCTGCCCGCCTTGGCCTCCCAAAGTGCTGGGATTACAGGCATGAGCCACCGCACCTGGTCCGTTTCGTGGCCATCTTAATTGAACTTTTGCTCACACCATTTGCCCTTGGTTTGAGTAACATATCAGTCTTCTATCTTGTTTCACCTAAGTTGTTCCTTTACAAATACAAATTTAGAGTTGCCTAGCTGACAATTATTTAGGGAGGAAACAGGTAATCAAAAGACTCATGGTCTAAAATGGTCAAGAGAGACAGAAACTGGCAAATAAAAAATTTATTACTGTACCAGAGCAGCTTCTGTCTGTGTATTTATATGTGTTGTGTGTGATGTTTATAAAAAAGAGCTCTAATTAATTGGCTTAAAGAAAAATAAGTGCTTAAATAATATACTTTGTCAAAAAATGAAAACTTTAATGCCTTTTAGTTCACGTGACTTTAGTAATCTTTGGTACTACTAATAATGTTTTAGAGATGAATAAAATAAAAACAACTTCAAAATTTAAGCATTTGGTCTACATTAGACAGCTCAGATACTGTCTTTACTAGATAGCTTCGAAGTCATAAACTGCTTTTATGACTTTTGATAATTATTTGACTTGCTGGCTTTAGAGCTATTATTAGGTTGTTGTGAAAGTAATTGCAGTTTTTATTATTAACAATAATAGATTCAGCTGGCCGCGATGTCGCATGCCTGTAATCCTAGCACTTTGGAGGCTGAGGTGGGCGGATCACTTGAGGCCAGGAGTTCAAGACCAGCCTAGCCAACATGGTGAAACCCCGTTGTCTCTACTAAAAATATAAAAATTAGCCAGGCGTGGTGGCACACGCCTGTTATCCCAGCTATTTGGGAGACTGAGGCACGAGAATTACTTGAACCTGAGAGGCAGAGGTTGCAGTGAGCCGAGATCATGCCACTGCACTCCAGCCTGGGAGACAGAGTGAGACTCTGTCTCAAAAAAAAAAAAAAAAAAGTAATAGATTCTTGGTGAGGTTTGGGTACATATGGTGTTAGCCATGAGCCCTAGCTATGCTAGAAAGAGTTAAGACATTATCTGCAGTTCTGTCCTATGTCCTAGACTCTGCACCTGATACATAATTATACTTGCTTATGCTAAAAATAAAAATTATATGTTTTTGGTAAAAAGGCATGGGAATGTGGATTTTAAGAAAAAGTAATTTGTCTAATTTAAAGGGTTTGTAAAAGGAAAATAAATCTTGGAAATCTTGGGGCCCCAAAATCACTACGCTAAAGGGAAAAGTCAAGCTGGGAACTGCTTAAGGCAAACCTGCTTTCCATTCTATCCAAAGTCATTCCTCTGCTCACTGAGATAAATGCGCATCTGTTTGCCTCCCTTGGAAAGGCTAATCAGAAACTCAAAAGATACCATTCAGGACATAGGCATGGGCAAAGGCTTCATGACTAAAACACCAAAAGCAATGGCAACAGAAGCCAAAATTGACAAATGGGACCTAATTTAATTAAAGAGCTTCTGCACAGCAAAAGAAACTACCATCAGAGTGAACAGGCAACCGACAGAATGGGAGAAAATTTTCACCATCTATCCATCTGACAAAGGGCTAATATCCAGAATCTACAAAGAACTTAAACAAATTTACAAGAAAAAAACAAACAACCCCATCAAAAAGTGGGCAAAGGATATGAACAGACATTTTGCAAAAGAAGATATTTATGCAGCCAACAAACATATGAAAAAAGCTCATCATCACTGGTCGTTAGAGAAATGCAAATCAAAACCACAATGAGATACCATCTCACACCAGTTAGAATGGCAATCATTAAAAAGTCAGGAAACAACAGGTGCTGGAGAGGATGTGGAGAAATAGGAATGCTTTTACACTGTTGGTGGGAATGTAAATTAGTTCAACCATTGTGGAAGACAGTGTGGCAATTCCTCAAGGATCTAGAACCAGAAATACCATTTGACCCAGCAATCCCATTACTATGTATATACCTAAAGGATTATAAATCATGCTGCTATAAAGACACATGCACACGTATGTTTATTGCAGCACTGTTCACAATAGCAAAGACTTGGAACCAACCCAAATGCCCATCAATGACAGGCTGCATAAAGAAAAAGTGGCACATATACACCATGGAATACTATGCAGCCATAAAAAAGGATGAGTTCATGTCCTTTGCAGGGACATGGATGAAGCTGGAAACCATCATTCTCAGCAAACTAACACAAGAACAGAAAACCAAACATCGCATGTTCTCACTCGTAAGTGGGAGTTGAAAAATGAGAACACATGGACAGAGGGAGGGGAACATCACACACTGGGGCCTGTCAGGGGGTGGGGGACTAGGGGAGGGATAGCATTAGCAGAAATAACTAATGTAGATGATGGGTTGATGGGTGCAGCAAACCACCATGGCACGTGTATACCTATGTAATAAACCTGTATGTTCTGCACAGGTATCTCAGAAGTTAAAGTATAATAATAAAACAAATAATAATTTAAAAAAGCAGAAGAAAAAAAAGAATGCAACCCATTTGTCTCTCACCTACCTGTGACCTGGAAGCCCCCTCCCTGCTTGAGTTATCCCATTTTTCCAGAGGGAACCAACGTATAGTACATCTTACATGTATTGATTGATGCCTCATATCTCCCTAAAAGTAAAAAACCAAGCTGTGCCTTGACCACCTTGGGCACATGTTATCAAGACCTCCTGAGGCTGTATCTCGGGCGTCTGTCCTCAACCTTGGCTAAATAAACTTTCTAAATTAACTGAGACCTGTCTGAGATTTTCAGGGTTTGCAGGTTTAAAGCTTGTCTTAGGTTAAAAGAAAGGTAGAATAAAACTGATGGTTTAAGCAAGTTGAAGAAGGTTTGTGACAAATTAATATTATTAAGAAAATTCTGTGTGTGAGCAAGTTGGCTAAAATTAAGATTATTATTTAGTTTTCCCATAAATTACACATTAAAATAAAATCATATTGATGCAGGGCCAGAATTTGGGCCCATGTGTCAGAACAACAGGGTTTTCTTGGAGTATTGATCTGTTCTTTAACAAAAAATTATAAAGGGTTATAAAAGGTTTATAAAATTCTTACCTTATGGTCAAATGGGTTACAATTCGATAGATTTCCTTATAAAATTTTATTAAAATGAACTTTAGCATTAATACACTAATGCAGAGGTAGCATATGGTTTTCCCTTTTAAGCAAGATTTTCATTTGCCTGCAGGAAAAAGGGAGAGAGAAGAGACAGATTCAGCTGGCTTCATGCTGTCTTTTTTGGTTTTTGTTGTTTGGAAAGCTGTCTCCTCTCTATAAAAGACTAATGGAGTTTTGCTTTTTTGAAATATTTGAGTTAATCACTTTGACTAAAATAAACTGTGGTTCTATTTTGTGATGAAAAGTGTTTTAAACCTTTGATATTTGATTAACTTTTCAAAATCATACTCTAATCTTTTTTTGACTTGATTGACCTTTTTAGATATTAGGTTCCCTGAAGTCCAAAAGAGACGTATCTAGCTTATTTGGTACATAAAAACTGCAGGAAACATTGTCAAATATAAAACGGTGTTTAACTTTCTTTGGGTTATATTTATATGTTATTTGTATGTATCACAAAATTATATAAAATTCCTATAATTCTAATATATCTCAGTATTATGTTGTTAATAATTATGATTATTATGTTAAATGACTGTGTGCCACAGAGATGACCAGATTTCCTTGTCAATTGCATCTTTAACTGTGGCTGCCCTAAGACTTTTGTCCTCTACAGACAATCGTCTTGTTTTGATCTCATTCAAAAGACAGTTTATAATCAGCTAGAAGACTCTGACAGGTACTCTTGAATTCAGGTCTCTGATAACTTTGAGGATTGAGTCATTAGAATAGAGGGAAAAATTTCCAAGACTCTCTTGGGGAGGTAATGTGTTCATAAATATTGAGCAGACCAGAAGTTAATTGCACGGACCAAACTAATAAAAGATTTTGCTTGAAATGTTGCTGGTCCTTTTTGTTTTGTTTTTCAGAGTCAAGAACACTTTTTTTTCTTTTGAGCTACTTTATAAGTTTTAACAATTGAGTAAAGTACGCTCCTGTGAACAAATTTTCTCTGCCTGATTTCTCTATTTTCAAATAGAATTTGAAAACTATTTGTGAGTATTCTTAACTTATGGCAACATAGTTATTTGCGTAAGTGCAATAAGAATCTGTTTTCTTTTATAATAGGACACACTTGGAGACAGTGGTTATTTTACCCAGGCTTTCACTGAAATGACATGCTTTCACATATAAGCAGACTGCTTTAGGGAATCAAAGTTGACTTACAGAGCTGATAAATCTCCTTGGGAGAACTGGTCTCATACCTTGTCTACATAGTCCCTGTATAGGGTACCTAACTGTGGTAAGTAAAGAACATCACTTTTTTTTTTTGAGACAGAGTCTCACTGTCACCCAGGCTGGAGTGCAGTGGCATGATCTTGGCTCAGTGCGACCTCTGCCTCCTGGGTTCAAAGGATTCTCCTGCCTCAGCCTCCCGAGTAGCTGAGACTACAGGTGCCTGCCACAACACCTGGCTAATTTTTGTATTTTTAGTAGAGACGACGTTTCACCATGTTGGCCAGGCTGGTCTCAAACTCCTAACCTCAGGTGATTTGCCCGCCTCGGCCTCCCAAAGTGCTGGGATTACAGGGGTGAGCCACCATGCCAGGCAAGAACATCACTTTCTAACGGGCCCAGAAGCCCCCGTTTATCTTGGGACCTCCAGAAGAGAGGAATTCACCCAACTCATATAAGTATTTGCAGGCACAGATAAATATGTGACTGGGCTCGAGGCTTTAAAAAGTGTCAAATCTGATATTCCTTATGGAAAAAGTTCTAGGAAAGCCAATTTAGAAGACGGTCTGTATGGGAAATAATTATTTTTGTTGTACCTTATGCAAATAATCAGGCCAAGTATAATAAGATCAAAACTTGTTTTGCAAATTGGTCCTGCTGTGATTTGCCACTGATAAAAATGAAAGACTGGATAGAGAAAGCTTATAATATACCTGCTGTTAGATTCTGTTCTTGTTCATTGTTTTTGTTCATTGTTTTTGAGTTGAAAAATTATTTGCTGCTATTTGGATTGAATCTTAAGTCCTTTCTGGGCTACAAGTCTCCAAACTAATGTTTTCAAATTTTTCTTCCATTTTCCTAACTTAACAGGATTTCTACTGTCTTTTTCCTGATTCCCTGCAAGCTAAAGCTTATTCTTTATGATACAGGTGAGAACATGTCAGATTGCCACTGCCTTTCTCTGTAACTAAAGATGCTTTGAATCTAACATCTGGATAGATTATGCCCACCATTAATGCTTGTTTTTCTTCTGTTTCCATAGAAATGCCTCTATTAAAAGTCTGTTTGCTTTATATTTCAGACAACAGGAGACTGGTTTTCCAGCCTACCAACTTAAATTTCAAATGGTGTTCAATCCCTTCTTATAAGCATTGTTAAACTGAGCTTAAGCATTTTATTAATTATTACTGTGTGCTATTTGATTTTTAAAATAATTATCTGTTACATTCAACGGCGGTGCAGATGGTTAAAGTTTGTCTTCCAGGCTTCAACAGTTCATGTCAAACTGATAGTGGTGCAAGGATTCCAACCCCTACCATCCCAGGAGGAGCCAAGCTCCTATGAAACACTAAATCAAGACGTTTTTATGACTTCATAAATTAGGGATAAACAATGACCCTGGCCAGCAGGAAGTAGCTCCAAAAGATGAAACCATTGCCCTTTCTCCTTAAGAAGAGGGAGAATAAATTCTCTCAGCGGGGAATAAGACACAGTGGAGATGGGGTTGGTTCAGCTCACATGCTCTAGAGCATTCTTTCATGCATTCTCACTGATCACAAACCCACACCAGTACCTCAATGCTAAAAATTCCAGGAACTGGCTCTAGGAGATAACCAAGGTTGCAGCATTCCCCCTTGGGAAGGAATGCTGAACAATCGATTTATAGACTTGTTGCTGCTGGCCAGACCACCAGGTGACCACGACTCCAAACAGCCATTGCAACCTGAGATACTGAACTGCATACCCTACTCTTCACATGCCTTGCCCAGTACAGCCTGCATACCCTCCCCCGATGTCAATTCCCATGTTTTGCCTAATAAAAAAGCCCTACCCACTCTTTTTGGGGAATCGGTTTAAGGAATTCCCTCTCTCTCTTGCACTGCCTCCCTTATGTCGGAGCATAAGCTCCAATGAAGCCTCATTGGATATCCCGTGATCCCACCATTGCACTCCAGCCCGAGTGACAGATACTGTTTCAAAAGAAAATATCTTGATGGCTCTCCCTGGGGGCATAATCAGAGAAACACAGGAGTTCAAGGGACTTGTGTGGGCTTAGAGTCAGCAAACTATGGCTGCCACTTGTTTGTGTAAATAAAGTTTTATTGCAACGCAGACAAGACCATTTATTTATGGATTTGCCCGTGGCTGCTTTTGCAATACTCAGCAGAACTGAGTAGTTGCAGCAGAGACTGTATGGCCAGCAAAGTTGAAAATATTGACTATCTAACCCTTTACACAAAAACTTTGCTGACTGTCTTGAACAACGTGTATTTCAGCAGAGACTACATGGGGCAAAGCCTATGAGTATTGCCTTGAAAGGATAGGGCTAAGACCTGAGAACTTTTGTTCACCCCTTGTGGGTAGGGGATGGTGCTCAGAAAAGGTGTTCTAATTATCACTGAAGTCTCGTTTTCCACCAGGACAGTGGATGGCTGCCCAGAGTTGGATTGAAGTTGATTTAAAGAAAATAAAGGAACAGGATAACCTTGCACACTGGAGATTTGTATCTGCTTGGGTAAAAATAGCATGATAGTGTTATATTACCCAGTGCATCCCACCACTTCTGGAAATTTCGTATATCATTCTCCCTCCCACCTGAGACTGTGGTATTCCATACTCATCACCATCCAGGGATGGCTGTTATGGCAGGAATGCATAGAGGAAGAAGAAAAAAAAAAAAAAAGCCAACGCTCAGCTTTTGAGTTTCAAAACAGGTTTTTGAAATGCTTGGCACCTGACAATAATTTTGAAAACCAAGGATTTTGCTTTATAAAAGCCAGTTTTTAAAAATGGTTTCAAAAGCTTAAGTCCTAAAGAGCTTAGGGTGCATGGTTTATATCATAATAAAAAACTTGGAAAGAGAAGATGAAGAGGCAATTTTATCACTACAGAAATGATAACATCTCCCTGGGAAGAGACAGAAGCAAGGAGATACACGAGAATTAGGTGTGGATAAGTATGGAATCAGTTATTTATTGCTGCGTGAAAACTACCCCAAAACTTAGTGGCTTAAAACAACAATTCTTATTTATTTTGCTCACTGTTCTGCAATTTGGGCAGGGCCTTCTC
Organism: Homo sapiens; assembly: GCF_000001405.40. Classification (NCBI taxonomy): domain Eukaryota; kingdom Metazoa; phylum Chordata; class Mammalia; order Primates; family Hominidae; genus Homo; species Homo sapiens. The sequence goes on from NC_000016.10 coordinate 19,961,337, forward strand.
TGCTCCAGTGACATCAGCTGGGATGGCTTGATGGGGTGGGGGTTGGCAGGTGGTTCGGAGATTTGTTTTCAGGATGGCTCATTCATATGGCTGGTAAGTTGGTGCTGGCTGTTGGGAAACTCAGCTGGGGCTATGGCCAGGGATCTCAGTCCTCTCCACAAGTCTCTCCATGGCTACTTGGACTTTTCTGCAGCATGGGATTTGGGTTCTAAGAGCAAGTATCCCAAGAGAGGAGGATAGAAATGCATAGCTTTAAAATGATATAACTTTGGAAGTCAGATAGTATCTCTTCCACCGTCCTCTACTGATGGAGGCAGTCATAAAGCTCTGCTCAGGTTCAAGGGAAGGTACTATGGTTTGAATGTTTATCCCCTCCAAAACTTATGTTGAAACTTAAATCCCCAATATGGCAGTATTGAAAAGTGGAGCCTTTAAGAGGTGATTGGACCATGGATGCTCTGCCCTCATGAATAGATTAATCCATTTATGGATTGATGGGTTAATGAATTAATGGGTTATTATGGGAGTGGCATTGCTAACTTTATAAGAGAAGAGACACCTGAGCTAGCATACTCAGCCCCCTTCCAATGTGGTGCCTTCCTCAGAACTCTGCAGAGAGTCCCTACCAGCAAGAAGGCCCTCACCAGGTGCACCCCCCTTGACCTTGGACTTCACAGCCTCCAGAACTGTAAGAAATGAATTTCTTTTCTTTATAAATTTCCCAGTTTAAGGTATTCTGTTATATGCAACAGAAAATGGACTAAAACAGAAGGAGATACAGACTTCACTACTCCATGGATGGAGTATCAAGGTTACATTATAAGAAGAGCAAGTTGGACAAGAGATATTTTTGCCCCCATCTTTGGGAAATCCAATCTGCCACAAGTCTATTTTAGAAAGGGCTTTGGCTCTTGTTCCCTCACCTGACTCTCAAGTTGGGGAGAGGTTGCATAAGTAAACTCTAGAGAGGTGGGGAGGTCAAGAGCATTGGGGACCTGTGTCTCAGCTGTCAGGCCTTTCAGAGAGGCTTCTACTCGGCTCGGCTTGAAATGATAGATAAGAGGCGGCTGTGAGTGTTGTCTGGGCAGACTGGTCAGGGGCAGTCTCACTGCATCATCAACATCCCCAGCGTCTCCTAGGAGAACAGAACATGCTTCTGTGGCCAAGGTTAGCATGGTGGGGGTGGTGAGAGCCTTGTAGGGGAAATGAAGGAAAATAGCCATCACTGACTAGTGAGACCAGAAAGCATTAAGTCCCCATGAAGTCAAGGAGGAGTAACGGCATTGATTGAAGAGAAGCTACTTCTCGGTGGCTACCAAAGGGATAACGAAGGGCCAAAGAGTGCCCCCCACCAATGCCATGATGCTATGAACACCTCCCAGAAATTCGATGCAGCTGGAAGGAGAAGGCAGAAGGAAGTAGACCATGAAATAACCAATGAAACCTTGAATTTGCTGAGTTCTTCCTGAATTGTCTGAGTTTATCCTCAATTGAACAGGATTAGGTTTACTGCAGCCACATAGTGTGGGGGCCCTGGAAAATAACAAAATTCAGTTATAAGGAAGTAAAAGAGATTATATTTTTCTCACCTGGGTTTGCGGCTTTTAAAACGTTATATCTGCTGTAAAGAGATATGCGTTGGCTACAAAAAGCAGCAGAGAACCAAACAATTTTGAAAAAAACATTTAGGAGGTGAGGTCAGGGCTTGGTGCTGAATGAGTCAGTAGGAAATCCAGACGATGATCTTTTGGAATACCTGCATTGTAAGGTGGCTGTCTTCTCTGAATCTTTATGGAACTGAGGGGTAGCCTGGCGACGGACACGGTTTTAATCCTTCTTCTTCTGAAATGCAAGACGGAGCCACAAAATTGAACAGAAAAAAAAATGATAGGCATTTTTGCATCGTTGTCCAATTTGGCCAAGGCTATATCAACTCCACAAGCAAACAAGCACTTGGCATCCCTCGGTAGGTTTTTCCTCGAGTCTCATTAGTTCCCCAAATGGAACAGCTGCTGCCAAAGCAGTTTGCTCCACCAGCCCAGCACTCGCTCCTCTGCCTGCTCAGGCTCCCTCAGCTCTGGAGGAATTAATTTCATCTGTAGCAGAGCTCAGAGGCACTACGGTGACTTCAGTTGGCAGCCAAGGGGCTCCAAGCAGCCAAGCTAAACATGGTGGGGGAAGCAAGCCCTGTTGTCCCAGCTCATTGCCGGCTTGCCAAGACTCCATTAGTTAAGAGCACTTCCTGGTGCAGGCTGGAAAAGGGAGGAGGCTGGAGTGCAATTGCATCCTAAGCATGGAGCACACCTGCAAAGGGGGACCTGTGTTCAGAGCTGCTGCCCCTAGTTTTCTGCATTTATGCTACCTTGTACTCTTCCCTGTAAACGGCCATCCCTATAAGTGCTTCCTTGCACCTGGGCGGCTGGATAGTCTAGTCAGTGGTAATGCTCCTCAAGTGTTAATGTGCACAGGATACCCGAGGATCTTATTATAAAGGCAAGTCTTGGCTGGGTACAGTGGCTCACACTTGTAATCCCAGCACTTTGGGAGGCCAAGGCAGGAGGATCACTTGAGGCCAGGAGTTCAAGACCAGCCTGGGCAACAAAGTGAGGCCTCCATTTCTAAAAAACTAAAAAAATTAGCTGGGCATGGTGGCATGCACCTGTAGTTTTAGCTACTCAGAAGGCTGAGACAGGAGGATCTCTTGAGCCCAGGAGCTTGAGGCTATAGTGAGCAACGATTGTACCATTGCGCTCTATGTACGCTAGCCTGGGCAACAGAGCAAGACCCTGTCTCTAAAAAAAAAAAAAGGAAAAAAAAAAACTTGGCATGTCTTGAGACTCTGACTTTTTAAAATTTATTTATTTATTTATTTATTTATTTATTTATTTTTGAGACAGAGTCTTGCTCTGTCACCCAGGCAGGAGTGCAGTGAGGCAATCTTGTCTCACTGCAATCTCCACCTCCTGAGTTCAAGTGATTCTTGTGCCTCAGCCTCCTGAGTAGCTGGGATTACAGGCGCATGCGACCATGCCTGGCTAACTTTTATATTTTTAGTAGAGATGGGGTTTCACCATGTTGGCCAGGCTGGTCTCGAACTCCTGACCTCAGGCGATTAGCCTGCCTCGGCCTCCCAAAGTGTTGGGATTACAGGCGTGAGCCATCATGCCCGGACTGAAATTATTTTTATTGTGATAAAATATACATAATACAAAGCATACCATTTTAACTGTTTTTAAGTGTACAGTTTTGTGGCATTAAGTATATCACATTGTTGTATGACCAATCTCCAGAACTGTTTTCATCTTCAGCTGAAACTCTACCCGTTAAACAACTCCCCATTCTTCCCTCTCCCCAACTCCCGGCAACCTCCATTCTACTTTTTGTCTCTATGAATTTGACTACTCTAGGGACCTCATATAAGTGGAATTGCACAGTATTTGTCTTTTTGTGGCTGGCTTATTTCACCTAGCACAATGTCCTCAAGGTGCATCCACATTGTTGTATATGTCAGTATTTTCTTCCTTTTTAAGACTGGATAATATACTGTTGTATATACTACATTTTATCCATTCATCAGTCAGCAGACATTTGGGTTGTTTTCATCTTTTGGTTATTGTGAATAACGCTGCTGTGATCATGGATGTACAAATAAGACTTTGCATTTCAAACAAGCTCTCAGGAAAGGCTTGCTGCTGTTGATCCTCGGAACCCACGTTGAGCAGCCAGAGCCCTGTAGTGAAGGGTCTGGGCCCCAGATTCTCACCCTCTGGGTTATATCTTAGGTCTATAATTTATTAGCCATGTGACATTGGGCAAATAATTTTTTTTTTTTGGAGACAGTCTTGCTCTGTCACCAGGCTGGAGTGCAGTGGTGTGATCTCAGCTTACTGCAACCTCTGCCTCCTGGGTTCAAGCGATTCTGCTGTCTCAGCCTCCCAAGTTGCTGGGACTACAGGCATGCACCACCACACCCAGCTAATTTTTTTGTATTTTTAGTAGAGACGGGGTTTCACTATGTTGGCTAGGATGGTCTCGATCTTCTGACCTCATGATCTGCCCATGTTGGCCTTCCAAAGTGTTGGGATTACAGGCATGAGCCACTGCGCCCGGCTGGGCAAATAATTTGTTTTAATTTTTTATTTTTATTTTAGAGGCTGGAATGCTGTGGTGTCATCATGGCTCACTGCAGCCTTGACCTCCTAGGCTCAAGTAATCCTCCTGCCTCAGCCTCCTGAGTAGCTGGGTTTATAGGCATGTGCCACCACACCGAGCTCAGGCAAATAATTTAACCTCAGTCTCCTCCTCTGTTAAATGGAAATAGTAATGGAATCTGCCTTGGAGGGTGATATGGCTTGGCCGTGTCTCCACCCAAATCTCATCTTAAATTGTAGCTCCCACAGTTCCCACGTGTTGTGGGAGGGACCCAGTTGGAGGTAATTGAATCATGGAGGTAGGTCTTTCCTGTGCTATTCTTGTGATAGTGAATAAGTCTCATGAGATCTTATGGTTTTATAAAGGGTAGTTTCCCTGCATAAGTTCTCTTCTCTTATCTGCCACCATGTGAGATGTGCCTTTCACCTTCCACCATGATTGTGAGGCCTCCAGCCATGTGGAACTATGAATTCATTAAATCTCTTTCTTTTGTAAATTTCCCAGTCTCAGGTATGTCTTTATCAGCAGTATGAAAACTAATACAGAGGGCTGGATGGGCATTGAATAAAATGATTATGTGTTAACTGCCTAGCACAATGTCTGGCGTACGTTAGGTTGCCCCCTGTGAAACTGTGCTTTATGAAATTGCCCAGGTCAGAACCTGTCAAATATCAATTCATATGAGCCTGGTCACATGAGAGTTGGTCAAATATCAATTTCATATGAGTCAACCTAATTACAAGCTTTTAAAATATTTTAAATAATAATTATTGAATAATGTTAATATTAACCCTCATTTCCAAACCCTAGTTACTCATCTCCTTCCAGAATATAGTCTGTGTCTTGGGGACTTCCAGAAGGGAAAATCACTACCCCTTTGCTGCTTTCCCATCCCATCTTGACCCCAGCCAGCAGTCACGGCCGCCACCTTGGCCTTCCTTTTGGCAGCATATCCCTTTCCCCCAGCCTGCCAAGGTGAGAAAAAGCCTTCTGAATGTCCAGTGGTGCTGTCTGCATTTTTCTACCTAGAGATAATTTTTTGGTGTGTGTACATCTTGCTTTTGTGTGTGTACAGTTTTACTAGTGACCTGATTTTGCAGAGCTCAGCAACCCGTGAGGACCAATAGGGCCTTGTTGACTAGGACAGTTCAGCGTTTGCTGGTTCATGCATTTAACTGCATAATGCACGATGCCAGTGGACCCAGCCCTGAGTCTTCCCTCATCATCCCTGTAGTCCCATGGGTTTCTCACGTGTCCCCCTGACCAGTCCTCTCAGCTCCCACTCTGCATCCTCTGGTTGACCTTGGCTGTCTGATAAGATATGGGAAGGGAGGACGTTCACTGTGGCTGCTGAGTTGGTGCCTCTGAAAATGCCAAGCCCTTGGTCAGGGGGTTGTGTCCTCCACTCTCCAAAAATGACAATCCCTGGAGATGATGAAAAACACTGCATCTGAGTCCATTTCTTGCTGCATCCTAGTCCCAGGGTGGAGAGAAGGCCTTTCTCGGCTACTCTGGGTCATATTTTATCCTGTGGACCTAGGACCTAAGACGGCCCTTGTTTTTTTTTTTTTTTAGGTGGAGTCTTGCTCTGTCACTCAGGCTAAAGTACAGTGGCACGATCTCGGCTCACTGCAACCTCTGCCTCCTGGATTCAAGCAATTCTCATGCCTCAGCCTCCTGAGTAGCTGGGATTACAGGTGAGTAACACCACACCTGGCTAATGTTCACATGCTGGCCAGGCTGGTCTTGAACTCCTGACCTCAAGTGATCCTCCTGCTGTGGCCTCCCAAAGTGCTGGGATTACAGGCATGAGCCACCGTGCCCAGCCTGTGTTTGGGTTTTATGTTGAAACTAGCTCCTTTGGCTGTGTCTCCCAACCATGATATCCAAGAGGCCAAGTGAAAGGACAAACTCCCAGTCATCCTCTTCATCTTCCCCTATATCTTTGTACCTCAGAGCCCAAACTTTTCCTTGCCGACTCCTCTTACCAAGTGTGAAAAGCATAATCACTAACTTTTACTGAAGGGTATTTTAGATTTTATAATTCCCTCCTAGTTATTTGCCTCCCGATAAGAGGATTATACATCCCTGCTCATTACTGTGTGATTGACATGCCTCCCAGTGAGAGGAGCAACATTCTTGTCCCACTGATACTGGGCTTGGCCCTGTGACTTGCTTTGGCCAGTGGTGTCTGGAGGGATGTGATGGATGTCTGAGCAACTTTAAACTGTTGTCTGTTTCTGCCAGCTCCCTTGTCCCTTTCCTCTGTCACAAGAACAGTACATCTTAGGGCTTATCCTAGAGAGGGGCTGCCCTTCAGCATGAAACCAGGAAGTAAACTTTTGTGGTTGTAAGCCACTGAAATGTTGGAGTTATTTGATATTATAACAAAGCTGATTAATAGAAGAGCTTACCATGTCTAGGCACTGTTCTGTGTTTCATGTATATTTAATAATTCATTTAACTCTTAGAACAATGTTATGAGATATTCGGTTGGTGCAAAAGTAATTGCAAAATGTACTAATTTTGTAATTTTGCGGTTTTTGCAATGAAAAGTAATTGCGAAATGTACTAATTTTGTAATTTTGCGGTTTTTGCAATGAAAAGTAATTGCGAAATGTACTAATTTTGTAATTTTTTGTTACTACAGCAAGCCTACCCCATCCTACATACCAGTCAGGATGGGGTAGGCTTTGCTGCAGTAACAAAAGAAAAAATTCCAAATGCTCTATGGCTTAGCTAGAATAGAGCTTGCTTTTTCCACATGCTGTGTGTCTGCTGAAGGTCAGCAGGGGAATCTTTTCCTCATTGTTCTGAGGAACTCAGGATGATGGAGGCTCCAAATTTTGACATGTGGTCACAGTACAAGAAAGGGCACATAGCACATAGTGCATTGGCTCTTAAAGTTTCTTCCTGGAACAAATACACATCATTGTGCTCATGTTTCACCGGGTCAAAGCAAGCCTTAATTCCACATAGCAACCCTGCAAAGCAGGTGGACTTCTCTCTAGTTCTCAGATGAGGGATCTGAGGTTCAGCAGGTGAAGGACTTGCCCAAGGTCACACAAGGGGGTGGAGCCTGCATTTGAATTCAAATGTGTTTGACTCCAAAGCCTGTTCTCTTAAGCAGCACATCCTTCTGCCTTGGAAAAGCTGGTCTCTCAGGTCAGATGACCTGTGGTTTCCACCAGGAAAGGGTGTTCTTATCTTCAGATTTTTCAGCTTCCTTGAGCTCAGAGATGGCAAACAGAAATCCAAGGGTTGGATTTGACCTCCAGAAGTAATTTGTTTGACTTCTATGTTAAAACATTCTTAAAAATTAATTGCAGGTATTTAAAATGGAAAGATATCAGAAACTCACACACAAATCCCCCTTTCCCAAATTCTTGGAAAATTGAAGATCCTCTCACAATGGGGCTCATTTGCATATGGGCAGGCAACAATGGCCAGTAACCGAGTAGGGCCATCCCTTTTAGGTGATGTCTGTGCTCTCTAGTTTGTCTCGTCCCCTCATCTCCCAGCCCAATTCACTCATTTGTCATGCCCGCCTGGTCCTGGCAGGCACATGAATTTGGACTCCTGCCCTAATTCTCCCCTACTTGGCTTAAGGAGTTGCCAGGTGGAAAACAAGCCTGCACCCAGTCAGTGGAGATGGGAGGGGGTGTGACTTCCTGTACAAAGAAATGAGCAAATGGGTTCACCCATCAATAAAACGGTAACACAATAATCCAGAGTGGTCCCAGCCTCTAGGACAAGCAGGCTACACATGCAGAAGCAGGCTCAGGGACAATCAGATTCAATAAATATAAATTTTATATCATCAAGTTTTGCCACCAGCTCATTAAACTGGAGTAATAAGTATGGGGCTGAGTACCCTGTTAACACACTGCAGCCAGAAGGAGGGCTGATGGAGAACCAGGCAAGGGACTCACTGGGGGAATGGTTACCAGCAATAAGGAAATATTCATCACAGCTGCTGAGGAGGCCTGAGAATGCCCCACGATGCACAAACTGCAGGCCGTGGAGGAAGAGGTGGAGGGAAAACACCGAACAGGAAGCATTTAAGGCAGGGCAATTTGTTCATGGTCCTGGTGAAATTAAGGGACTGTTAACTATCACCCGGTGCCTTGTTCCCTTCTTCAAGAATGCTTTTTCTCCCCAGTGCAGCACAGGGTTGCTGCAGACAGTTGTACAACTGCACAACCCTAGGGGGTGCCATTCCCACCGTGTTCATATGAATGTGTCTGCTGGAGTTGAGCAGTGCCCAGTCTGTACAACTGCACGTGGCAGGCTGGTTCTGGCACTTCCAAGTCCCACACATCTTTCCAAGTCAAGTTCAAATGCCGTGGCCTTCCAGAAGCCTCTTCTAACCTTACTTCCTCTGAACTACCTCTACCTTTTGCTGTCTCAGTTTTCTAGCATTTACCATTTCTCCAGGGAGTTCTTCCCTGACCAGCCCTCTCTCCGACAACCTAAATGAATTTTCTCTTGTTATTCTCTCTCATAGCATCATGTTCTTTCCTTCATGGCATTTATCCACGTTTGTAATTAAATATTTATCTGTGTGATTATTATTTCATGTCCTTTTCGGCAGCTGGGCTGTAACCTCCCTAAGAGCAGAGACCAAGCCTTGATTGGTTCACAGCTTGTAGTCTCATTCGCAGCACATAGTAGGTGCTGGGTAAATATATAATGACGGAAAGAACGTGCATAATTATCATTTCATTTACTATTCTATATGATATAGTTTGGTTCTGTGTCCCTTCCCAAATTTCACTTTGAATCGTAATCCCCATGTGTCGGGGGAGGAACCCGGTCGGAGGTGATTGGATCATGGGGGTGGTTTCCCCCATGCTGTTCTCGTAATAGTGAGTAAGTCTCAAAAGATGCGCTTGTTTGATAAGTGTGGGCCTCTTTCCCCTTCATGCTCTCTCTCTCCCTCTCCTGCTATCTTGTGAAGAAGGTGCCTGCTTTTCCTTTGCCTTCTGCCATGATTGTAAGTTTCCTGAGGCCTCCCCAGCCATTTGGAACTGTGGAGTCAATTAAACCTTTTTCCTTTATAAATTACCCAGTCTCAGGCATTTCTTTATAGCAGTGTGAAAACGGTCTAATACCCTATAGGCTAAGAGAGGGCAGGAACTGGCCTTACTCCTGGTTGGGTCCCCCAAACACTTGGTAAAGTCCTAGCACACAGTAGTTGATCAATCAGTGTTTTATAGAAAAGTAAAGGATATGAGCTCTCATGATGAGATGGACTGTATTTGCTTTGGGCTTTCTCATAGCAAACACCCCTTCCTGGATCTTCACCACTTCTGCTATGCATCTGTCTTCCTCCAGCTTCTTGTCTGAGAGGCTTTAGTACCTAATGGACAAACATGGGTTCCATCTTTCTTAGATGACTGTCTAACTCAGGGTTCACCAAATACAGCCCATGGGTCAAATGCTACCGCTTGCCCATTTTGTACATGAAATCTCATTAGAACACAGCCCGACCCATTTGTTTATGTATTGTCTATGACTGCTTTTGTGCTGCACTGGCAAAGTTGAATAGCTATGACACAGACCATGTGACTCACAAAGCCTAAAAAGTATTTGCTATCTGTCCCTTTACAGAAAAACTTTGCTGACCTCTGTTCTAGCTCAATGGCCTTGAACAAACCATTTAACTTCTCTGAGCCTCAGTTTTCTCACAAAAGGGATTATAGGCGCAGTGGCTCACGTCTGTAATCTTGGCACTTTGGGAGGCCGAGGCGGGTGGATTGCCTGAACTCAGGAGTTCGAGACCAGCCTGGGCAACATGGTGAAACCCCATCTAAAATACAAAATACAAAAAACAAAAAATTAGCTGGGTGTGGCAGCATGCACCTGCAATCCCAGCTACTTGGGAGGCTGAGGCAGGAGAATTGCTTGAACCCAGGAGGCGGAGGTTGCAGTGAGCCAAGATCAAGCCATTGCACTATAGTCTGGGCAACAGAGCGAGACTCTGCCTCAAAAAAGAAAAAAAAATGGCTTATAATAGCTACTACATAAGATTATTGTGAAACTTTATGTATAGTAGGTGTTCGATAAATGTTTGTCTTGTCTCTTTCTTGCTTGCTTTTGTAAACAGAATTCTGGTCCCTTTTCCTGTACCTGAACAGAATCTCTGTGTTGTTCATCCATTCAACACATGTTTATTGGGTGTCAGCTATGTGCTAAGTATTTTGTTAGGTACTGAGCACTCAAGCATGAACAAGGCAAAGACTCTGTCTTCATGGATCTGCTGGTCAATAAGGGGAGACACAATTAACAGGTAACCAAAACCCAGTGTGATAAGTGCAGGTGGGTAGGAAATGCAGGGGACTGAAGGAGCACACAGGGGGCCAGCTCATTCAGCCTCTGCAGGCAAAGTAAGTGTTATAGAAGAACTAACATTTCAGCTGAGACTAGAATGCACAAGAGTGAGTTAGCCAGGGGAATACGTCTTAGAAGGACTGTCGCTGGAACTCTTTCTGAGTTAGTGCTTCACGGGATGGCAAGATACTACTGCTGAGTAATTGCAATGATCCAACTGGAGTTGAAGTTGGAAGGGGAGAGAGGTGAGCAACAAGGCTGGGCAGGAAAGCAAGAGTTTGATTGAGGGGGCTTGGAAGCCTCTTGCTCCAGGTCTATCACCAGAATGTGGGTGTGGAGTCCCAGGGCAGCCCCAGGGCTGGTGCTATGAAATGAGTGCTGGAATTCGTGGCTCCTGGGGAGGAGCAATGATGGACATGTGATTTCAACGAAGCCCACAGGGTCACCAATGCAAAGGCCTGCAGGGCTGGTTGCAGCATGCCCATGCCCATAGGGGATAGCCAGGTGACTAAGTGCTGTGGGTGACCCAACAGCCTTCCTCACCCCCGAAAGTGGGCAGACACCACCTGGATCCAGGTAAGTGTGGCGGTGAGAAAATCAAGAAAATCTGGAAATCTACATTTTATTCTGTTTTCTTTTCTTTTGAGACTGAGTCTCACTCTGTCTCCCAGGCTGTAGTGGGGTGGCACGACCTTGGCTCACTGCAACCTCCGCCTCCTGGGTTCAAGTAATTCTCCTGCCTCAGTAGCTAGGACTACAGGTGCCCAGCACCTCGCCCAGCTAATTTTTTTAATTTTTAGTAGAGACGGGGTTTCACCATTTTGGCCAGGCTGGTCTCGAACTTCTGACCTCAAGCAATCCACCCACCTCGGCCTCCCAAAGTTCTGGGTTTACAGGCGCGAGCCAATGCGCTCAGCAGAAATCTACATTTTAATGTTGATAGCTAATCTTTATTGAGCATTTACTCTATTCCAGGCACTCTTTTATAAGCTTTCTATCAATGAACATACTTAAGTCTCTCATATAACTAGGAGGCATGAACTACTATTACCCCATTTGGCAGCTAAGAAAATTGAGGTCAGCATGTGTGAGCAGAACAGGTGGAGGCTGGGGGAGCTGGGATGTGAACCAAGGTGGTCTCTGTTTAGGACCACGACTACATTCTTTCAAAACACTGGTCTAAGAGCCTAACTGCTGGCCAAATAAATTCTCAAGTCTGCCAGCTTTAGATCTTTGATTAAGAGGATGAAAATGAACTTCATAAATGTAAAATGATGATGGATGTAAAAATTTGGCTCACTAATATTAAACAGCGCTCTTGCAAAAGCTGCCTTGTTCTTCATGGATCAAGATGTACCAAGCATCAGAGAGGGATGCCTGTGCTGTGGTTCCCAAGCTCCAGCATGCTTGGGACTCTTTCTGGGTTGTTTATTTAAGATGCAGACTCCAGATCTTTTGGTGAGAGTGTCTGTTTCAAAGACTAGGGGCAGGACCAGCTAATCTGCCTTTTAACATGTACCCTAGTTTGATTCTGCTGGGGGTGAAGCCAGGACCACATTTAGAGGATCAGAAAAGATCTGATGCAGCCTCCAGGTGGGTGATGAAGAAGGTCAGATGCTCTTTCCATCTCTGGGCATCAAATCAACTCTGCACTTGAGTTCAGAAATAATGACCACATCAGACGGGTGAGGTGACTCATGCCTGTAATCCCAGCACTTTGGGAAGCTGAGGTGGGCAGATCACCTGAGGTCAGGAGTTTGAGACCAGCCTGGTCAACATGGTGAAACCCCATCTGTACTAAAAATACAAAATTTAGCCAGTCATGGTGGTGCGTGCCTGTAATCCTAGCTACTTGTGAGGCTGAGGCAGGAGAATTGTTTCAACCCAGGAGGCGGAGGTTTCAGTGAGCTGATATCGTGCCACTGCACTCCAGCCTGGGCAACACAGTGAGACTTCATCTGAAAAAAAAAACAAAAAAACCAAAAAAAAACCAGAAAAAAAGAGATAATGACTACATCACTTCCCAACCATATGGTCCTCCCTCAGAAAGCCACCTGATCTCCCAAGCCTCAGTTTTCTTTTCTGTGAAATGGACATAAACAATGTGATGAGGACCAAATTTATTTGCTGCTTCTTTTTTTGTCCTTTGAGATGAGGTCTTGCTCTGTCTTTCAGGATGGAGTGCAGTGGTGCCATCATAGCTCACTGCAACCTTCAACTCCTGGGCTCAAGTGATTCTCCTGCCTCAGACTCCTGAGTAGCTGGGATTACAGATGCATGCCACCACACCCAGCTAATCTTTGCAAAAAAAAAATTTGTAGAGTTGGGGCCTCGCTTTGTTGCCCACACTGGTCTTGAACTCCTGGCTTCAAACAATCCTCCCTCCTTGGCCTCCCAAAGTGCTGGGGTTACAGGCATGAGCCACCACGCCTGGCCCATTTGCTTCTTAGCTGTGTACTACTGAATAAGTCAGAACCTCTTCAAGCCTCAGTTTTCTCATCCATAAAATGGGCGATAATAATAGTGAAGATATTAAAAGACTATTGGATAATAAAAATAAAATAATTATGGATAAGCAGAGACTGACAAAAAAGAAAATAAAATAATTAGGAAAAAAGTTTATTGGATAAATTAAATAAGGAAAAATGAAAAAGCAATGAGGAGGCTGTTGATAAATATTTCTTCTCTGCTCCCTCCTACTCTTATTGGTTCTGTTAATTGCTTCCTCTGGGTGAATTTATTGCTTCAAAAGGAGATGCTCATTCATGGTGGGCACTTAGTTAGAGCTTGGAGTTAGTTAATGAGATCCCAATTGTGGTTTGAGGCCCAGGGTGTTGGGAGATTTAGTTGCTTCCATTCAGAAGCCCCTCCTGTGGGTTTCCTCACTTCAGTCTGCAGCCCCCACCAGCCCGGTGACCTGGCAGATTAAGGCAGATGAGGGAGGGCAGGCAGAGGAAGGGCCATCCATCACCATTACCAGCCAAGCCTCTTCACAAGACACAGGTATCCTTCAGCAGCACTCAGCAGCAGCAGTAGCCTGGAATGGGAAGACAGCTCATTATGAGTTTATTAATGCACAGTTCGGCGGGGCTGGAAGAGTTTGCTGGGTATCCTGGAGGGTCCAGCCAGGCCATGCTGGCAGCTGGCCCAGCCGTCCTCCTGGGTTTCTGGGAAACTTTGGGAACAGCTTTTGCCCCTCAACCCTGCACTTCCCCAGGTTCTCAACAGGACCTTTATCAATCTGTAGGGGACTCTGGAAGGCCTCACAGTGCTTCTTCAGACAAAGACGACAAAGAGGAAAATTTGCACTTGGAGAAAATATCAGTGGGAGGGGTGGTTTCTGGGTGAATCGCATTTTCCATAGAGCCTGCCATGACACCCTCTCCATTTTCAGAGAAAACGGAGTACTTTCCTGCTTCGCGCCCCACGATACGTGAGCACCTGTATTACTATTTGACTATTTATGAGTTGGTTTCAATTGACTATTTATTTGACTATCTATTTCTTGATTTTGGTTGTTAGTTACACAATACCTGAACTGTTGTCCCTGTAAAAAATGGAAATTACACATATGTATAGAGACCCTTTTTTTCTCCATTCTCATTCCAATACCCCTGTTGTTTATATTATTATCTTATTTTTCTTTTTTCTTTTCATTATTTTTATTTTGTATCTATCGTTGCAGATCATTAGTGGTCGTAGGAGTAATAATAACCATTGTATTAGTCCTGATAATAGCAAACATTCATTGAGAACTTACTTTGCATCAACTTTATATTAGCTCATTTGATCCTCACAATAACCCTATGATGTATATACCATTTGTATTAGTTTGTTTTCATACTCTTATAAAGAACTGCCTGAGACTGGGTAATTTATAAAGGAAAGAGGTTTAATTAATTCACAGTTCAGCATGTCTGGAGAGGCCTCAGGAAACTTACAATCATGGCAGAAGGCAAAGGGGAAGCAAGGCCTTTTCTTCACAAGACAGCAGGAAGGAGAAGTGCTGAGAAAAGGGGGAAGAGCCTCTTACAAAACCAACAAATCTCGTGAGAATTCACTCACTATCAAAAACGCATAGGGAACCCACTCCCATGATTCGGACACCTCCGCCTGGTCTCTCCCTTGACACATGGGGATTACGGGGATTACAAATTATACAAATGTACAATTCAAGATGAGATTTTGGGTGGGGATACAGCCAAACCATACCACCATTATCATTTCCATTTTACAGATGAAGAAACTGAGGCTCAAAACATTTCAGAAATGTTTTCAAGGTCACATAACCAGTAAATGGCATAACTGGAAGTTGGGTCCCAGAAGTCTGAGTCCATAGTTTGTGTCCTTAATCCTCATTGTACAGTTCTCTACCTACTGTACATGTTTATGTATCATTGAAGGTAAATGCTATTTATGTGTGTATGTTCATGCATATGTGTGTGCACAATGGATTTTTTTTTTTTTTTGAGAGAGAGAGTCTTGCTCTTTCACCCAGGCTGGAGTGCAGTGGGTGATCTTGGCTAACTGTAATCTCCGCCCCCCAGGTTCAAGTAATTCTCCTGCCTCAGCCTTCCGAGAAGCTGGGATTACAGGTGAGTACCACCACGACTGGCTAATTTTTTGTATTTTTAGTAGAGATGAGGTTTTACTATGTTGGCCAGCCTGGTCTCAAACTCCTGTCCTCAAGTGATACACCCATCTCGGCCTCCCAAAGAGTTGGGATTATAGGCATGAGCCACTGTGCCTAGCCAAAATTGGTTATTTTTAAATTGTAAATAGTGTCTTATTGAATAGTTGTTTCTCATACAACTATTCAATAAGATACTATTTACAATCAAGCTATTTTTTTCCTAACAAATTCAACCAGCAATGTGTCTTGGAGTTTTTTCCATATCGACAGATACAGACTTATATAGACAGATATAAACTTACTTCATTATTTTTAATGGCTGCTAGATACTTTATGGGATTCATGGCCTGCAAATATAACTGTGTTTTGGTTTTCTTTTTTGGGGTCATTCTCCTGTTGATGGACACATTTGTGTTTCTTTTCTCCTTTATTTTAAACTAAATTTTCCCTTTAAATTGTAAGTAAAAAAATGTACATTTCTTAGTACTTAGGACTTACATTTTGAGGAAGGAGATTGCCATGCACACATTAACCCTGCATCCTTGTGCATGGATTCCGCATTATTTCCTGCAGGCTGTGTACCTTGCTCTCATTTATATGCAAGTCAGATCCTGCACTAGAATGAACAACCTGAGGATACAGACCATGCCCCAGTTATTTCTGTGTCCCCTCCCCTAGTATTGTGCCTGGTATGTCGTAGGGGCTCAGTGAATGTTTGAATGAATCAGTGATTGAATGGTGTATTAGTTATTGCTGGTTAATAAATTTCCACAAGACTCAGTGGCTTAGAAGAATACACATTTATTATTTTACAGTTTCTGTGGCTCAGGGATTCAGGCAGAGCTCATCTGCGCAGGCTGCAGTTAAGGTGTTAGCTGGGGATTTGGTCATCTCAAGGCTCTACTGGGGAAGGATTTGCTTTCCAACTCATGTGGTCATTGGCTGGATTTAGTTCCTTGTGGTTGTTGGAGTGAGGACCTCAGTTCCTCTTGTTTATTGCCACATGGGTCCTTGTCAGAATGTGCAAGTAATAGAGTCTGCTAGCAAGACAGGAATCACATTCTTTTGTAACCCAATGTGGAAACAGCATCCCATCACGTTGGTTGTGTTTTGTTGATTAAAAACAAGTCACAGGTCCCTTGCACACTCAAGAGGAGGGAGTTATACTGGGACTTGAATACCAGGGAGCAGGGATCACTGGGTGCCCTCTTAGAATTCTGTCTACCACAAAAGAATAATTTAAATAATAACATCAAAAAATAATACAGTTGACCCTTAAAGAACATGGGCTTGAACTGTGAAGATTCAAATATGCAGATTTTCTTCTGCTTCTGCTCCCCTAAGACAGCAAGACCAATCCCTCCTCTTCCTCCTCCTCAGTCTACTCAAGGTGAAGATGACAAGGATGAAGACCTTTAAGATGATCCACTTCTAGTTAATGAAGAGTAAATATATCTTCTTTTTCTTATGATTTTCTTAGAAACATTTTCTTTTCCCTAGCTTACTATATTGTAAGAATATGGTGTATAACACATATAACATACAAAATATGTGTTAATTGATTATGTTATTGGGCTTCCAGTGGACAGTAGGCTATTAGTAGTTAAGTTTTAGGGGAGTCAAAAGTTATATGTGAATTTTCAACTGTGTTGGGGGTTGACATTCCTGACCCCTATGTTGTTCAAGAGCCAAATGTATTTGTATATTTCTTACAGATTACAAAACACTTTAATGTTCATCACTGTACTTTAATGCTCACAGCTACCCCAGAAAGTAATTACCATAAGAAAACCAGGGCAAGATTATTATTCCTATCTTCATGTTGAGGAAATTGGGACTCAGAGAGTTCAAGTAATTTGCCCAGGATCACACAGCTAGCAAGAGGAAGAGCCAGGATTTCAACCTAGAAATTACTCTGTGAGTATAAGCAGTAAGATAGGCTATTCAGTCCTGGGGTTTGCCTTGATATAATCTCAAATACAAGGGGATACATGACGAGAGGGTTACAAGGAGGCATCATGGTGTGGTGGAAGAAGATGGGGACTTTTTTTTTTTGATGGAATCTCGCTCTGTCACTCAGGCTGGAGTGCAGTGGTGCGATCTTGGCTCACTGCAACCTCCTTCTCCTGGGTTCAAGCAATTCTCCCTGCCTCAGCCTCCCGAGTAGCTGGGATTACAGGTGCTCACCATCATGCCCGGCTAATTTTTGTATTTTTTAGTAGAGACGGGGTTTCGCCACGTTGGCCAGGCTGGTCTTGAACTCCCGACCTCAGGTGATCCACCTGCCTAGGCCTACCCAAAGTATTGGGGTTACAGGCATGAACCACCACACCTGGCTAAAGGTAGGGACTTTGAAGGCAAGACTCAAGTTTGAATCCTGGCCAGGTGACTTCTGGCTGTGTGAATTTGGGCACTGTTTTCTATTATCCTCTCTGAGCTTACACTTGTCCTCTGCAAATGGAGTTGTTGTGAGGATTAAGTGCCATAATTAATGTATGTAAAGTGCCGCTCAGTGTGCTTGGCACATAGCCTGCACCCATTGGGTGTTGCTGCTGTTTTTATGGGAGCTGGTTGGGCAGTGGTATTGTTTATAAACATGTATGATGTGCTTTTGAAAGCTCCTTCAAAACTCAATGATTAATTGTTAATGGACTGAGCCCGGGGCTTCTCTTTTTGAGGTATCGTTTACGTGGAAATTCTGTTTGTTGCTTTTGCCCATATAAACCCACTTGATTAAGAATTGATGAAAGGAAGTCATAATTCAAGTAAATAAAGGATGCTCCATGAGGGTAAGTTCTGACAGCCTTGAAATTAGTGCATGAGTATGGTTGCCATGATTAATCGGGACTGAATAATTGGCCTCAGGGAGAACCTGCCAAGCGAGGCAATGGATATCAAGGGAACTTACCCATTGGGCATGAGATCAGGCACCCAGAAGGCACACACTGGGTGGTGAGATTTTAGCCAGATGGTCACCTCTTTGCTCTATGGGTTTTCGACCGACTGAGAAATTAACAGACACAGGAGTCAGGGATCAAAATATCAGGCCTGTTGCTGGCTAATGTGGGTGGAAGGACATGGCTTGGACCTGTGGACCTAATGATCCTCCTTAATTCTCCTCTCCTGTTCTAGAACTTGAGAACTTCTTAAGGGGCGAGATAAGAGAAAGGGGAAAAGAAGACCTGAAAAACAAACAACAACAACAACAAAACAAAACAAAAACCAAAAGCAATCAAACAAAAAACAAAAAACACCCCAAAAAACCGCAGGGAGGGAAAGAAAGGGAGAAAAGGGAAGAGGGAGGTGGTAACACTTTAACTTTCCCCCCAAACGGTAGACCAGTGAAGCTCAGATTCTTGCCAATCTGCCAATCAGATGCATTGCTCCACCTCCCAGGGGAGGAAGAAAAAGCTTTTTCACCTATCAATGGCACTAGGCAGTATTTTATGAGCCAGCCTGGCTTCTGGGTGAGGGAGACTCTGGTTTCGCCTTTCGTTAGGGAATGATCATCATAATAATACCAAATATTTATGGAGTTTTTACTTGTGCCAACTCCTTTAAAGGAATTATCTAGTTTAGTTATCGAGAGTCAAATGTATTTGTATATTTCTGGTTATCACAGCAACCCTTTGGGAGGGAGAATAAAATTAGCTGCAGTTTACAAATGAGCATGGTGGTACCATGTCACCTTTTCGACAATCCAAGGCCACACAGCTAGTAAATGTCATGCTGACATTCAAATTCAAGTCTATCTGCTCTCAAATTCTGTGTTTTTTATATACTAGTTTTCTCTAAAGGTGGTCCATGGACTTCCTGATCAAGAATCATCTGGGATGTGTTTTAAAAAATGCAGATTTCCAGCATGGCTGACTCTCACACCCAAATGCTGACAGGAGGTCTCAGGAGGGGCACAGCGATGTGTACTTTAAATAAGGACCCTGGCTGTGTGAATCAAACACACACCAAAGTTCGTGAGTGATTGCACTGGAAGGATAGGTGTCCAAATCAGCTTTTACTAATATATCTATGGGACAAGTAAACGGACATTTATTTGCAAACAGAATTTTTATTTACTGATTTTTGCTAATGTATTGAATCTGACAAGTTTTTTGGGAGCCAGGCAAGCCAGGCCTCAGGTAAGCTGGGTCTCAGGTATCTGAACTCCTGCAAAGATCTGGATGTCACCTCTGGTACAACTTTTCTCACAATTTTCAATCTAGAGACTTTGACTTTTTGCCCAGTGATGACTCCTACACCAAGAGAAGCCAAGACCAGGGGAAACTGCCTTCTGAAAAAGCTGATCCTCCTTTTTGCTTTTCAGGACATGGTCATTTACATAGATTAGCATGACCACTTACATACATTTGCATATATCTGCATAGATTTGCATGCATAGGGTATGTGCATGGCTTTCTCTTATCCATTTGGCTCCATTCTTGAGTAAGCTCTGTATATTGCAACTTCCCATCCTCTCATCCTCTGATTGGACCTTCTTGAACTTTGATTTCAAAGTTTTATTTTATTTTAAATTTTCCACATGGTGGGCAGTTGGCTTTGGGAACCTGACCTGGTTGCTCGGACAGGTGGAGTTTCCTTTACTGGCCGGTGGGAGGCAGTGAAGAGTAGTAGCTAACAGCACAGACTGCAGTTAGATCTGGTTTATGCACTTACTAGCTGTTTAACATTGAATAAGTCACTTAACGGCCCCAGGGCTTTGTTTCCTCAACTCTTAATGGGAATAATAGTACCTACCTAATAGTGTTGTTTGAGAATTAAGTGTCTATAAAGCAGTTAGCATACTGCCTGGCATGGCCCCGAAAATGGTACAATTAATATGGTAATTTTCTTGTGAGGATGATGTTGATGATGATGAAGATAATGATGCAGTACTCATCATAATGCCTTCTAAATTGTGACTCTCTTAATCCCAGAAGATAAGCACTCAGTGGAAGACAGAAAGGATTCAGTGATAGCGTGGTTTTAAAAAATATGTCCACAAATTCTTTGATATTCTCCCCTTCAAGAAATGTAACTTAAGGATGCTCTTTTTGAGTGTGAGTTGGACTTAGTGCTTAACTACTTCTCTTCCTCCTCCTCCTTCTTTCTTTTTAGAAATAGTCTGAAAAACATTTTATTTTTAAAATTTTTAAAAATGCATTTACTTGTCTATTTTTAAATTGATAGAGAACACTGTATGTTTTAATCATGTATGAAATGATGTTTTGAAGTACATCTACATTGTGAAATGGTTCAGTCCAGCTAATTAACAAATGCAATACTCACATAGCATTTTTACAGTAAGAGCACATAAAAACCACCCTTTACATTTTTCAAGAATACAATATGTCATCATTAACTATAGTCACCTTGCCTTATAATAGATCTCTTGAAATTTATTCCTTGGAGCCTGACTTCTAATGAATAACGTATGGCAGAGGTGATAGGGTTTCATTTCCAAGATTAGGTTATAAAAAGGCTCAGCTTCTGCCTTGGGTGCATACATTTCCTCTTTCCTGATTCACTCTCTTTATGAGCAGCCCTAATAGAGAGACCCACATGGTGAGGGATTGAAGCCTCCTGCCAACAGCCATGTAATTGAACTTGGAAGCAGATCCTCCAGCTCTTTTAGAAGCAGCTGCAACTCATGGCGATCTCATGAGAGAACTTCAACCAGAACCATGAACCTAAGCCTCTTCACGTTCCTGACCCTCTGAAACAATGAAATAATAAATGTTTGCTGATTAAAGTTTTAGGATAATTTTTGCTAAGGTTGGGGGCAATTGGTTATACAGCAATATATAACTAGAACAGTTGGGGAGAGGGTATTCCAATTGTGGATACCCAGTTCTGGGGACTGAGGTGTTATACCTCTTGGTCTGAAGGCAGAATGCTCAAGGTGGTGCCAGGAGAGGTCTGTGCAGAAGTGCATTGAGGAGTAACTGGAATAATGGTGAATGTTAACTTGTTGTTGACCGCCATCCACATAATTGATTCCTTTACTTGCATGACACACTCACATATACGTTTCTAGATTTCAGATAACTTAAACAATTCATGAATACATAAAACATGAGTAGGGGAGAAGCTATTTCTTTTCTTACTCATTGCTAGGTTCATGGCTGAGGCCCCTATAAGAAGAGCCAGATTAACAAGAGAAAAGCATGCAAGTTTATTTAATATAAGTTTTTCATTACATAGGAACCTTCAGAAATGAAGACCCAAAGAAACAGGGAAACCTATGTATTTTTATGCATAGGTTTGATGGAGTGGACAATGATGCAGAAGTATGATTGGGCAAAAGTGGTATGATCTAATGGTAATAAACTGGGGGGAACTTAGCAAGGCCTGTTTGTTCAGATTATTCACTGTATCCCTGTGTCATCAGAGATAAAGACATTCCTTTTTTTCTGGGTATTGGGAGGGCACTTCTGGAATGAGGGTCTTATGACCTGCTTCAAGGGAGTGTCAGAGAATTCTTTTCCGGCCTAATTCAGGGGAGAAGGGTGAGGGGAAAGTGAGAGTGACCTTCCTGCTTCTGCTGTTTTCTCAAATGCCAAGGTGTTATATCTTGGGGTAGCCTGTCTTGAACCTTATCACATGACTATAGTTTGCAACAGCTATTAAGGTACATTAGTACTATTAGTATTCAATAGAGGTTTAAGCATAGTTGAGCTAGGTGAGGGTTACATCCCAATTTTAGTTGGAAGCCCTCTCCATTATCTTCCATTCATAAAGCCTAGAGGATGTTATCCATTTATTTACAAATATTTGTTGCATACCTACTGTATTCGTCCATTTTCACACTGCTGATAAAAACATACCTGAGACTGGGCAATTTACAAAAGAAAGAGGTTTTATGGACTTAGAGTTGTACCTGGCTGAGGAGGCCTTACAATCATGGTGGAAGGTGAAAGGCACTGCGTCACATGTGGAGACAAGAGAAGAGAGCTTGTGCAGGGAAACTCCCCTTTTTTATACCATCAGATCTCATGAGGCTTAGTCACCATCATGAGAACAGCATGAAAAAGACCTGTCCCCCTGATTTAATTACCTCCCACTGGGTCCCTCCCACAGCATGTGGGAGTTCAAGATAAGATTTGGGTGGGGACACAGCCAAACCATATCATCCTGCTTCTGCTGCATTCTCAAATGCCAAGGTATTATATTTTGGGGTAGCATGTCTTGAACCTCATCACATGACTATAGTTTGCAACAGCTATGAAGGTACATTAGTACTATTAGTATTCTATAGAGGCTGAAGCACAGTTGAGCTATGCAAGGGTTACATCCCAATTTTAGTTGGACACCCACTCCCTTCTCTCCCATTTATAAAGCATAGATGATGTTATCCATTTATTTACAAATATTTGTTGCATACCTACTATGAGCTATTTACTCTGGTAGGCCCTGGGGAGTCTATGGTAAATAAGACAGTGTCTGTGATCACAGAGAATATAGTCTAGTGAAAAAAAACTGCAGGCAGCAGGTAATTAAACAAACAAAAATAATAGTGTTTTGAAAATTATGATAGATGCACTTATTAGAATGTTTTTTAGCTATAATGGCAGAAAATCTTGATTAAAACTTGCTTAGGAATAAACTATTTAATCACACAGATATAGCAGTTCACATGGAGGGTAGGCTCTAAGCAAGAAATGGTCAGCAACTTGGTGATGTCAAGAGGACCCAGATTCTTTCCATCTCTCTGCTTTGTCCTCCTGGAGCTGGCCTCATCCTGGTTCTCCTTGTAGATAAAAAATGGCTCTCAGAAGCAACTGAGGCTCCACCGCTTCAGCATTCACTTCTAGCTGGAGAGAGGCTAAAATCTCCCTACTTTGCCCAGGCTATGTCTCTTCCCTTCAATCTGATTGGCCAGTTTAGATCATGTGAGCTATCCTGAACCAATAACAGTTGCCAGGAGCATGCCTAATTCTGATGGGTTAAGACTAATTAGGACTCGCTAGAGCTAGGAACGGGTTACCATTGCCCTAAAACAGGTGGCAGATGTGAATGCCTAATAGCATCAGACTCAGGGAGGGAGGGATAAAAGGGAGGGTTTTGAATTCTGGGTAGGCAGCCAGATGTATCTTTTTATAATACGGGGAGAGTGGGGAGGTGTGGGAATATGTGGCTGGGAGTCTGGGAGGACTTCACTGGGGGAGTGATGTTGACATTGAGATCTGAAGGATGAAGAGATGGAGGCAGATGAAGGGACTAGTGTGTGTGTACCTGTGTGTGTGTTGTGTACATATTTTGAAGATTATGGCGTCACAAGATGGAATGGGCCAGGAACCTTGGGCATTACTACAGTGCCAATATTGAATCTATCCCAATTTATAAGAAGAAATATGCAATTCATAAAATTCTGCACCTAAACAGCACCAGTATTAATATATAATATTATACACAGCACCTTTTATCATTGATGGAATTTACAGCACCATTTCACCATGATCTCCTTGACTTTACTATTTTAGGGTACAAGGACCTGACTTCCAACTGTTAACGTTTATTTATATATATATTTTAAAGCTGGACCCATTTTATCACCATTGTGGCAGCCTGAAATGCTAGAGAATGAACAGCTGCTCCCAACATCCTCCACCCAGCTGAAGGAACACAGACGTGGGGCACATAAACATTCAGTCCATAACAGGTATGACTAGAACGTGTGGTTCATAGGGGCCACCATGGAATAGTCTATAGCCCTCTCATTTTGCAGTAGGGGAGGCAGAGGCCACGTGCTTCCCTAAGGCCAGAT
Organism: Homo sapiens; assembly: GCF_000001405.40. Lineage (NCBI taxonomy): Eukaryota > Metazoa > Chordata > Mammalia > Primates > Hominidae > Homo > Homo sapiens. The sequence continues at coordinate 19,985,216 of NC_000016.10, forward strand.
AATCTGGTTAGTTGGGTTCTGGGCCAAAGCCCTTCTCACACACCTGTCAGCTTCTGTATTTGGAGCCCTACTAGCTAATCCATGCACAGGAATTTGTTTTGTTTTTGCTTTTATTATTTTTGAGACAGGATCTCCCTCTGCCACCCAGACTGGAGTGCAGTGGCATGATCACAGCTCACTGCAGCCTCAAAATCCTGGGCTCAAGCGGTCCTTCCACCTCACCTTCCTGAGTAGCTAAGACTATAGGTTTGCACCACCACACCTAGCCAATCATTTTTGTTTTTTATTTTTGTAGAGACAGGGTTTCACTATGCTGCCCAGGCTAGTCTCGAACTCTTGGCTGCAAACAATCCTTCCACCTTAGCCTATGTCAGTAATTTCTTTTTTGTTTTTGAGACAGGGTCTCACTTTGTCACCCAGGCTGGAGTGCAGTGGCACAATCATAGCTTACTGCAGCCTCGACCTCCTTGGCTGAAGCGATCCTCCCACCTCAGCCTCTCGAGTAGCTGGGACTACAAGCATGCACTGCCACGCCTGGCAAATTTTTTGTAGAGACAGGGCTAATTTTGTAGTAGAGACAGGGCTTTGCCATGTTGCCCAGCCTGGTCTGGAACTCCTGTGCTCAAGCGATCCTCCCATCTTGGCCTCCCAAAGTGCTAGGATTACAGGCATGAGCCACTGTGCCCAACATGTGTGCAGTAATTTGAACTAATATTTACGCCCAAGCTCTCTGACAGTGTGAGTTATTTGTTGTCTGAGAAGGACAAAATCCTCTGTCTTTGGACTCTTGTGCTATTTTTTGGGTCTTAACAGTCAGAGCCAAACTTTTCTTTGGCTTTGATGTGGTTGAAGAATGATGACTTCTTTTCTTTGAATAGCTTTTTTCGTTGTGACACAGTGAGGTGCATTAATTGAGGAACATATAAACAAATAAAACGAAGAAATTTAAAATCACCCGCGGGGATCATGATGCTGCACATCTCAGATGCCCCTTTGAGAAAGGACCTTCTGTTGCATGTGCTGACTGTGTCCAGGCTCCAGCTGTTGGCCCTTCAGGGATTGCCTCATGTATTAGTCAGGGTTCTCCAGAGAAACAGAACAAGTGCACATGAACACATAGATATACAGAAGGAGATTTGTTAAGAGAAATTGGCTCATGTGATTATGGGGGCTGAGAAGTTCCATGATCTGCTGTCTGCAAGCTGGAGGCCCAGGAAAGGTGGTTGTGAAATTCATTTCAAGTCCAAAGGTCTGAGAACCAAGGGAGTCATGGTGTATGTCCCAGGTGAGCCAATGGTGTATGTCCCAGGCTGAGTTCCAGTGCCTGAGATCCAGAGATGCTGATGTCTGAGGGCAGGAGAAGATGAATGTTTCAGCTCAAGAAGAGAGAGTGAATTCACTCTTTTTTTGTTGTTGTTGTTCTAGTTGGACTCTCAATGGATTGGATGATGCCCACCATATTGGCAAGGGTGTTCCTTTTTACTCAGTCTACTGATTCAAAAGTGGATCTCTTCTGGATAGACATATCTCATAGACACATCCAGAGACAATGTTTTACCATATATCTGGGCATCCCTTAGCCCAGTCAAGTTGACACATAAAATTCATCATCACACCTTGGCTGCAGAGAGCTACCTCATTCAATGTCACACCCTTCAAGGGATGGCTCACATCCAGTGACTGAGGAATCAGGAAGCATCAAGGTCTGGGCACTTTGGGCCAACTTGGAACACTCTGAAGGATTGTTCTAGATCTAGAGCTTCCTGCATCAAACCTCAAGCTCTCCCTCTGCTCTGCCTCCTGTATCCTTCTTCCCATAAGCCCTCTTTAATCAACATGCCTCATGCTATCCTCCACCTCAGGGATTGCTTCTTGGGGAACCAACCTGTGACATTACCTGTCATCAATCTCATTCTCCACAGATAACTACTCTGAAGATTTTGGTCCGTATCATGGCCATGCTTTAAAGTGCTCTGCCTCTTTCTACATATAATACTTTTTTCGTTTTGTTTTTACAAAAATAAGATACACTGCACAAACTCTGTTCGAAACAGTGCTATGTGGGGGTTAAGAATGCAGACACTGAAGACAAATTGCCTGGGTTCAAATTTCAACTCTGCCACTAACTAGGCTTGTAATTTCAGACATGTTAGATGTCTCCATCTGAGCCTCTGCTTCCTCATCTCTAATATGGTGGGTAATAGCAGTACCTTCTTTCTAAGGTCGTTTTGAGGATTCAATGAGCAGTATTCAGAGTAAATCCTCAATAAACATTAGCTGCTAATGTTATTTCATAACTGGGTTTTCTCAAAGGCTATTGTAACATTCTCCCATGACATCAGATATTCTTCTCTATCATCAGTTTTAATGGCTTCATAATATTCTGTTGTGAGAGTGTACCATCTTTTATTTAACCAGTCTTCTTTCATGGGAAGGCATTCTTTTCTTTTCTTTTTTTTTTTGATGGAATCTTGCTCTGTCGCCAGGCTGGAGTGCGGTGGCGCGATCTCAGCTCACTGCAACCTCCGCCTCCTGGGTTCAGCAGTTCTCCTGCCTCAGCCTCCTGAGTAGCTGGGACTACAGGGAAGGCATTCTTGAAAGAGAAATCAGTCTGTGCAAAACCCATGAAGCAAGAGAGCCTGTTGACCTGAAAAAGATCCCGTGTTGGGGGCATTGGTGAGGAGAAAGCAGGATCAGGTCACCCTGAACCTTGTAACCTCTGAAGTTTGGGTTTTACCCTGGGGATGGTGGCCGCCAGTGAACAATGGCTTTCTAATAGTAGAGTTGCAGACACTGTGACATCTGGAAGAAAGAGGAATCTTCCCAGGAACATATTAGGGGTCCTGCTGAACCTGGTTGGTGAGGCTTTTATATTGGGAACAGGAGACAGGGCAGCAGTGTGATGTACTGTTTGCTCGTTTGCCTCTGGAGTGGCAGCTGTTGTCTCACCCCCTGATAGTAACCTCACATCCTGAGCGGTCAGGATGCTGCAAGCTCCCTTAGCCTGAATACACTCCTCAAATAGAATTCCCAGGGCAGGCAAACAAACCATCAGATCATCGTGGGCTGTTGTGGGCAGATTCAATTCACTTGTGGCGAGGGATTGTTTGCCAGGGCGAGGAACTCAAGTGCTGGGCCAGAGGGAAGGTGAGCTCATCGGGAGGAAGCCCTGCTTGCTTTCTCCACATATGAAAACCTAGAAACAAATAACACTCAGAAATTCCCTCTTGGATAAAAGAAAAGAAGCTCCTGGTGGAAGATGTTTAAACTATGATTTTTATGATCCTTTCATGCCCTCAAAAAGGCTAGGCTGTGGAAAGAGAAGAGTGTCACCAGGAGGTTGAGCAGACTGGGCACTGAAGAACCCATTCACATTACAGCTGATGAGCTCGGCAGCTCCTAGGGCTGTGCAGTGTGCAGCTGGAATGGCTACACACAGCTGCCCTTAGGTAGGTACCTGGGAGAGGAACAAACTCTTAGTCAATCACTTCCAGGGCTGGGAAGGAGGCAAACATTGACCTTCTGGTTCTTTTCAAGGGAAGAAAATAGAATTTCCCAAGTGTTTGCAAAGGAGGAAATACATTTATGCTTGGAAATCTCTTCCCTAACCTTTATTAACCTGGCCAGTTTTCTATAATAATGTATATTTTTATATTTGAATAGGTAATAATTCCACATGGTTCAAAATTCAAAAGGCATGAGAAGATTTTCAGTGACAAGCCTCCCTTTCATTCTATGCCTTAGATGCTGGATTGCTTTCCTCAGAAGCAGACAGTGGTCCCAGCTTTTTTTTTTATCCTAGGCCAAGTCTTAATTCTACTTCAATACTTTGAAAAGCTTTCTTGGCTGGGTGCAGTGGCTCATGCCTGTAATCTCAGCACTTTGGGAGGCTGAGGTGGGTGGATCACGAGCTCAGGAGTTCGAGGCCAGCCTGACCAACATGGTGAAACCTTGTCTCTCCTAAAAACACAAAAAATTAGCCGGGCGTGGTGGTGCACGCCTGTAATCTCAGCTACTCAGGAGGCTGAGGCAGGAGAATGGCTTGAACTGGGGAGGTGGAGGTTGCAGTGAGCTGAGATCACACAACTGCACTCCAGCCTGGGCAACAGAGTGAGACTCTGTTGCAAAAAAAAAAAAAAAAAAAAAAGAAAGAAAACCTTTCTCAACCCACTTCCTCCCTGCAGCCAACCAACATTCCAACGTCCTTGGTGGAATCTGTCATTCACTCATCAATCAATTATCCTCTCTCCCTTCTTCCCTTTCTCCTTCCTTCTCTCTTTCTTCTCTCCTCTCTCCTTCTTTTCTTTCTCCCTCCCTTTGTACTTTCTGGGTCCCAGGGGGCAAGGTTGAACTATTCATACCTCTTCTTACCTAGCAAATTACCAGCATGTATGCGGACAAATCTCCTTTTTGTTTTATTACTAATTAATTGCCTTTTATTTCATCCCTCTCCAGCTCCCAATAGACAGCATTTCTAATATGTCTGGTGTACATCCTTTTGTTTATATGAGTTCTTGTAAATGCGGAGGCATGCATTTTTGTAAAAATTTCAAGTAAGCATTAAATATCCACTCTGGGATAGGCTTTGCACTGGGGATTTAGGGAAGCACAAGACAGGCTAGTTCAGCTCTGAAGTCTCCAGAGTGGAGGTCATTTGGGAGTCTTCCCTTGCTCTGTGTTCCTACACAGATAACTCACTGCTCTTTTTGTTCCTCCAGCTCCTCTCTGCCTCTATATGTCTCTGTGTCTGCCTGTTGCTGTTTTCCTGTCTCTGTTTCTCTTTCTTACTTAATACTTACTCTTAGTCAGCCACTTTACATGGTTAATCTCATGAATCTGTACCCCAGCTCTGTAAATCAGTGAACCCAGGCTTGCTGGTTTGTCCAGAGGGGCTGCTGTTCTTCGCACTCCCCCAATAGACCCATTACCTCAGTGTATTAACAAAATGTCATTTTTTTTCCTGAAGATTTTATAGATGTGGAGAGGGTGGTTCACATTGCACAGCATTCAGCAGAAACCCAATCAGATTCTCCATGAAACATCTTTGGTTTAGCCCACCAAGTTTTCTTCCCCCTCTGTTGGGGAGCTCATCTTTTCCCATCTGTCTTCTCTTCCTCCTTTCTTTCCCTCCCTTTCCTTTCCCATCTTGCAGCCTCTAAAAACCCCTTGAGTGTCCTGAAAAATCAACATGCACCCTCAGTTAACATCTCTCTTTAAGCAAGAAAAAAGCTGGAGATTAATGATAAAAGCCACCTCTTGGCAGGGGTAAGGAGGAAGATGGGAGTAGAAGTGGAAATGATTTGTGGGATGGGAGCAGTATGACCTGGACCAGAAACAGGGGGTATGGGGGAAAGGGTGTCATTGTCTGCAGAGAATTCAAAGCAGTAACAAAACTGAGAGTAGGCATATCTTTCCTTATCAGCAAACATTGGCCAGACGTTCTAAACCATGTCTATGATAAAGTACTTCCTTTGACCACCATATGCAACTGTCACTGCACATTGGGTGCAGGATGGCAAAATGTGTAAGCCTGGAGTTGAACAGCCAGGCTTGAATGCCAGCTCTGATGTGTACTGGCTGTGTGACCTTGGACGAGTTACTCTACCTCTCTGTACCTTAGTTTCCCACTTGCATATTTGGGACTATACAACACCATGGCCTTGTTGGTAGGTTTACATGGGTTAATGCCTAGGATTAGCTCGGAGCAGTTAGTAATTACTTAATGAATGATGGCAATTATCAGTGTCAGGAAAATTGTGAAAAACTTACAGTGAGCAGCAAGGATGGCTGGATGTCCTCTCTGGTGCACCTTTCTGGATTATCACCACCTTTCATTGTCTTTGAGCTATTGTACAACTCTGTAAGTTGCAGAAAACTGATAATGCAAATGAATTTTGTCCATAGAAACACAAATAAATTATGTCTGGTAGAAGGCAATTGATTATTGCACTGCGGATATTGAGCAGTTTTGCATCTATTAGGCAAATTTATTTCAGGAATCCCGATTACCTATGTATGTGTCTAGTCTTTGACTTCTTTGAATCAGTTGTAAGCATATTTCTGGTTTTCTCTTTAACGAATGAGTTAAATAAAATAAATTTCTGACATGTGTTTATGAGAGTCATTGTTTCACCTGTTTCAAACATTTCTGTTTCAAACTGTTTGTACAATTTTTCATAACTGTTTATACAATTTTTCTTCAATGTCTTAAAAACCACAGCAATGGCCGGCGCCTGTAGTCCCAGCTACTCGGGAGGCTGAGGCAGGAGAATGGGGTGAACCCGGGAGGCGGAGCTTGTAGTGAGCCGAGATCACGCCACAGCACTCCAGGCTGGGCAACAGAGCGAGACTCCGTCTCAAAAAAAAAAAAAACAAAAACAAAAAGAAAAACCACAGCAAAACTTCCCTGCCCTCATCCAAACTCCCCAAACAGAAGAAACCTCTTTAAGTGCTGTAGTGGCTTGGTAATGGTTCAGCGGTCTGAGCTGAACTACATTTCCCAGAATCCTCTTCCCTTCACGTTTCCAGGTAGAGTGGGCTATGAAAGATTCCTGTGGGAGATTGGAGCGCAGGAGTGAAGCGGCCACCATTTTGCAGCTCATGCCCATTGCTTACCTTCTGGCTCTCCTCGTTGGTGTGATGTGATGCCTGGGTCTGCAACTGCTTCCCTCCACTAGATTCTCGTGTCTCCCTCTCCTGGGCAGCTGTGAGTGTTCACCTCCGTAGTAAGATTACCAAGGTGAGAGGCTACAAGAACCTCAGCTCTTGCTTGTGGTCTCCAGCCTGGTCTCAAGCCCCACTTTCTTACCCTCCTGAACTTCCTGCCCTGTGGCCTTGAAGCCCCAGCATCAGATCAAAGTAAACAGCCTTCCAGAGGCTGCTTAATCCATTCCCATAGTTGTGTAAGGTCAAGTGTGCAACCAATCCCTTAAAAAACCCTAAATTTAAATCTATGTCCATATCTGCTATCTGCTAAATGTTTGTGTCCGCCCCCCGCATTCGTATGTTGGAACCGAATCCCCAATGCGATGGTATTTGGAGGTAAGGGCTTTGGGAGGTAATTAGGTTTAGATGAGGTCAGGAGGGTGGTGCTCTCAAGAGATTAGTGAGGCTTCAAAGAGATCCCTTGCCTCTTCTGCTATGTGAGGATGTAGTGAGAAGACAGCTGTCTATGAACCAGGAAGGAGGCCCTCACCAGACACTGAATCTGCCAGTGCCTCGATCAGTGCCTCAGTCGTGCAATTCCCGGTCTCCAGAAGTGTAAGAAATAAATTTCTATTGTTATAAGCCACCCCATCAATGACATTCTGTTATAGCCACCCATACAGACTAAGACAATATCCATATTCACATTCACATTCACATGCACATCTCCTCAGTATCTGTGTATCTCTTAGTGGCTCTGCTTCTCGGATTGAACTCTAACTGCCCAGCTTAAGGACGCAGAGCTGGCCAGTGGTGGAACCCAGATCTGTGTGGCCTCAAAGCCCCCAGTCCTTGTTCTTGACTCCTTCTCCACCCTCCTTGTGTGTCAGCTCTACCTGGGCTGTCTCTTCTCTGCTGGCTCCTCTGTGCTCTGCCGCAGTCTGCTCTTTTTCTCTTTTCCAGCTTTCCTTTCCTTTCTCTACTTTAACTCTTTCCCATACAAAGAAGAGATGCTCAACCATAATGATTATGATTATGTTGACTGTGAATGACTTAAAAAAATCTTTAGGTGATTTAAAAATCAGGTGACTTAAGAGAAAAATAAACGAGGTAAAATGGTTTTTAACTGGGATGTGGCTCATAATTCTAAGTTTGTTTTTCTCCCCCTGATAAAGTTCTCAATAGGGAAAAGTTCTGTACTCTGGTGAAGATCTTCTTCTGGATCCAAACGGCCCAAGCTCTGTTTTAGGTGTCTTTCATCTCAGGCCTGGTGCCATCTGGATTTCCATATGCAATGTGATTGTGCTCCCATGAGGAATCAGCTGCTTTCTTTTCCAACTCCCTACCTCTCAATCCATCTTTTGCCCAAAAGACCAAATCTCTTTCCTGCAGTGGTTAGTTTTATAACCCAGATATAGGTTTTCTGTGGGGGTCATACATAGCCCTGAGTCCCATTCGAGAGAGCCTTCCCCACTAGGTACTGAGGGAAGATGGACTTGTTACTGAAGACACTGTAGGGAGATGAAGAGGTATGTTTACATTGCACAGCACACAGTAGAAACTTATTGATATGGTTTGGCTGCATCCCCTCCCAAGTCTTATCTTGAATTGTAGCTCCCATAATTCTCACATCTCGTGGGAGGGATCCGGTGGGAGGTAATTGAATCATGGGGGTGGGTCTTTCCCATGCTCTTCTTGTTATAGTGAATAAGTCTCATGAGATGTGATGGTTTTATAAAGGGCAGCTCCCCTGCACAGGTCCTCTTGCCTGCTGCCATGTAAAACATCCCTTTGCTCTTCCTTTGTCTTCTGCCATGATTGTGAGGCTTCCCCGGCCACGTGGAACTGTGAATCCATTAAACCTCTTTCCTTTATATATTACCCAGTCTCGGGTATGTCTTTATTAGTAGCATGAGAACAGGCTAATACACTTATGTTCCCTCCTAGTCTTCTCCCCAAAGCTTCTTACCCCTGGTAGCCACCTCATTTACTCTCATCTTCCCCTACACAGACTCCTGGGTTTCATTCTGATTTATAGAATCAGAATCCAAGAAGGCAAGGCCTGGGAACATGAATTTTAACAAATATCCCAGATGATAGTCACGCGCAGGAAAGTTTGAGAGTCACGGCACGAGACATAGTCCAGATTTTCAGTTTTTAGGATATGGGCTTTTTAAAAAAACCAAGCCTTGAATGACAAACTGCCTGAATTTGAATTGCAGCTCCGGTGTTTGTTACCTCTGTGATTTCTGCAAGTCATTTTATCACTGTGAGCCTCAGTAACCTCATCAGTAAAATGGGGCTGATGATAGTATCTATCTCATTGGGTGATAATAAAAGTTAATTCATTTGCTCATTAATTCATTAATTCACTTGATATTTATTGAGCACCTTTGGTGTATCATGACCTCTTCTAGGCATTGAGGAATATAGAAGTAGAACAGACACACACATACATGCACACACATATGCACACACATATACCTTGTCCTAATTGAACCAGTGCAAGGGTTTTGGCATACTTTTCCTGTAAAGAGCTAGACAGTAAATATTTTAGGCTTTACAGGCCACAAATGACTTCTATGACCTATCTTTCTTTGTTTTTTTCTAAAACTCTTTAAAAATGAAAAACCATTCTTAGCTCATGGGCTGTGCAAAGACAAGCCACAAGCTGATCCGTGTTGTAGTGGATTAAATGGAATAATAGCTATAAAGTATTCTAGCAGACATGATGATGATGATGTGAAGTGCTTAGCACAGCTCCTGGCCTGGAGCCTGGGCTCCGTAAGTAGTTAGCTGTTTCATTTGCCAACCTTAACCCCCAGTGATGCTCCCTTGAGCTTTATGCTCCTGCCCTGGTCACCGTTCTGTGGTATCTTGTATCAGACCCAGACCCGTTGGCCACTCAGCCTTGCGGAAGTGAGCAAGACCCTTCCTGCTGCTCTCTTCCTTTCCACAAGGTCAGAGGGGTAGATGTGGGCATCCATCCTCCCTTCGGTCACGGCTGGCAGCCCCTGGCAGTCCTGCTGGTGGTCTCTCGCTTGGCCAGGGCACACTTCCGTCCGACTCCTCTGCCTCCTGGGGAAAATAGTTGGAACCAGCTGGGATGACTCACAATGCGGCGGCCACGCGGCTTGGCTCTCTGCAGGGCCACAGCCTCTTTGTGTGTCAGCTCAGGGGGTGGCGGAAATGGATGGGCCGCCGCTCAAGATGTCCTCTTGCCAGGATGGGGCAACCTGAGGACATATCTCTGCTGCCTGATGCTTTCTGGACATGAAATGAAATGGTCCAGGGCTAAATCAGGTTCCCCACTGGGCAGTCAGCCATGGGCTCTCACATCCTGGGGAAAATTGGGGACTGAGTTGGCCTTTGGCATTTTGAGGGGCTCCAGAGCTCCCGGTGTCAGTGGATTGGCATGTCCCATTTTTGAGGCCTGGTACCACTCTGCTGTCTTTAATTACATGGCAAATGTTGTCCCCGAAAAGGAAACTTCCCCAAGTGTGGCTGAGAGGACAGTCCTCATCCATCTCCTTGCCCTCTTCTGACCCTCTCTATAATCCATCTTCCACGCTACAGTCAGCATGATCTTTTAAAAATGTAACTTTGATCTTGACTTTCCTGCTTTAAAATACTTCAATGGCTCTTCATAACTTTCAGAATAAAATCAAGAGTCTTTTGAGAAAATAATTTCAACTTTTAGATTTGGGGTTGCATTTACAGGTTTGTTACATGGGTATATTGCGTGATACTGAGATTTACAGTACAGATCCCGCCACCCAGGGGGTGAGCACAGGACCCAATACATAGCGTTTCAACCCATGCCCACCTCTCTTGTGTTTCTCAGCGTCTATTGTTCCCTTCTTTGTGTCCACGTGTACTCAATGTTTAGCTCCCACATATAAGTGAGAACGTGTGGTATTTGCTTTTCTGTTCCCGTGTTAATTGGCTTTGGATAATGGCCTCCAGCTGCATCCATGTTGCCACAAAGGACATGATTTCATTCTTTTTTATGGCTGGGTAGTATTCCATGGTGTGTATGTACTACATTTTCTTTATCCAATCCACTGTTGATGGGCACCTGGTCGATCCCATGTCTTTGCTATTATTAATAGTGCTGCCATGAACCCATGAGTGCATGTGTCTTTTTGGCATAATAATTTATTTTCCTCTGGGTATATATCCAGTAATGGGATGGCTGGGTTGAATGGTAGTTCTCTGAGAAATCTCCACACTGCTTTGCACAGTGGCTGAAGTTCAGAGTGTTCAGCTAACATGAGGCACCATCCATGACCCTGTGGTACTTCTATCTCTTGTATCGTCTCCTTCCCTCTGCACCCTAGCCATGCTGAATCACAGGAGCTGGTTTCCAGAAGTCCCATGCTTTCACAGTCCCATGGCTTTGTGCCCACTTTTCCTGGTATTCCCTCTCCCTCCTTGTCAACTGGAGTCCCTCCCTCTTTTGAGCTCCTACTTGCAATTGATTCCCAAGTGTAGACAGCATGGTCAGGAACCTGGGTTTGAATTCCAGTTTGATTTATTGCTAGCTGTGTGGCATCAGGTAAGTTACTCAATCTCTCTGAGCTTTAGTCTCATCTGCAAAGTGGGGCTGATAATGGGACTTGCCTCATAGGGTGCTTTTGTTGTGAAGATTGGGTGAGATGATGCATGTAAATATCACTGCACTGTGGGTGGCCTGTAGTAAATGCTCAGTAAATTTATCGACATTACCACTGGCTGACACCATGAGCAATTTAAGGGAAGACCAGTGGCTTCATCTCTGGACCCCCCAGCACCTAACACAATGCCTGGATTATATCAGTCACTAACTGAGCTTTTGTCTAAATGCTTTTGAATAAAGGTCATGAAGAAAACTAATCTAGGCTGTGTATCAAAATTTATCTATATGAGGATGTCCATTGCAGCATTCATTTGGAGAATAAAATATTGAAAAACCACTGAAAGTCCAGCATGGTACATCCTTACTATGAAATATTTTGCAGCAATCAAAGACAATAATGTCACCCCATAAGTGCTGACACAGAAAAATATCTAAGACATATTCTGTGAAAATTTTGAGTTTGTGCCAGCAGATAGTATGATACCATTTATGTGTGTGTGTGTGTGTGTGTGTGTGTGTGTGTGTGTGTTTGTTTTTTTTTAAGACGGAATCTCGCTCTGTCGCCCAGGCTGGAGTGCAGTGGCGCCATCTTGGCTCACTGCAAGCTCCGCCTCCCGGGTTCACACCATTCTCCTGCCTCAGCCTCCCGAGTAGCTGGGACTACAGGTGCCCACCACCATGCCCGGCTAATTTTTTGTATTTTTTTTAGTAGAGACGGGGTTTCACCGTGGTCTCGATCTCCTGACCTCATGATCCACCTGCCTTGGCCTCCCAAAGTGCAGGGATTACAGGCATGAGCCACCGCGCCTGGCCTGTGTGTGTGTTTAAAGGACATTTACAGGTAGAAAATGTTTAGAAGAATACTGAAGAAACTGTTAACTGTAATTACCTCTGAGAGGGGAAGAGAGAGGAAAAAGAAGGAGTTTTGCTGTTTACTTTATGCCAGGGGCCAGTAAACTACAGCCCTTGGGCCAAACTCAGCTGGCTGCCTGTTTTTGTAAACACAGTTTTATTGGCACACAGCCATGTCCATTTGTTTACATATTGTTTGTGGCTGCTTTTGAGCTTCAAAGGCAGAATTGAGTAGCTACAACAGCCTGCATGGCACAGACCATATGTCCCACAAAGTCTAAAATATTTACTATTTGGCCCTTTACAGAAAAGGTTTGATGATCTCTCTTTATCCCTTTCTGTACTATTTAATTAAAAAAAATGGGACATAGTATTTAAATTGTTTTGTTTGCAAGTTAATGTGACCTTATTTTGTAGTAACAGGATGCTGAAGCCACGGACTACCATATCCATTATCTGTTGCCACAATAATGCTGTAAAAAAAATATTACTCCAAAACTCAGTGGCTTGAAACAACCACCATTTATGGATCATTAGGGTGGTTCTTCTGGCCTCTGCTGGGCTTGTTTACATATCTGTGGGTTGTGTAGGAGGTTCTGCTGATTTTGGCTGGGCTCTCTCACATGTTGGCCTTGGCTGGGACAACTGGGCTGGTGTCCGTTGGTCTCTCATCCTCCTGCAGGGTGGCTCAGGCTGTCCTCAAGGTGACGGCAGTGTTCTGACAGTGAATGGGAGAGCAGGTCTCTTTAGGCGTAACCTTGAGACTCACACACCCTCACTTCTACTCTAGTTGGCCAGCACAAGTCACAAGCCCAGGCCAGATCGAGGGATGGGGAAAGAGTCTACCTTTTGATGGCAGTAGTTGCAAAGCCAGATCGTAAAAGATAGTGTATTAGTCTGTTTTCATGCTGCTGATGAAGGCATACTTGGACTGGGTAATTTATAAAGAAAAAGAGGTTTAATGGACTCACTGGAGAAGCCTCACAATCATGGCAGAAGACAAAAGGGACATCTTACATGGCAGCAGGCAAAAGAGAATGAGAGCCAAGTGAAAGGGGAAATGTCTTATAAAACCATCAGATCTTGAAAGACTTATTCACTACCAGGGGAACAGTATGGGTGACACTGCTCCCGTGATTCAGTGATCTCCCACCGAGCCCCTCCCACAACATGTGGGAATTATGGGAGCTACAATTCAAGATGAGATTTGGGTGGGGACACATCCAAATCATATCAAATAGGAACACCAGAAGGGGTGGAGAATTGAGGACAGTTTTGTAACCAATCAACTGCAATGACTCCCTTACCCTGACAGAGCACTGTCACCTACAGGCTGTCTAGTGAGCTTCCAAATCACCCTTTAATGGTAGGTAGTCCAGTGCCCTTACCCCTATTATAGAGGTAGCTGAGGAAGCTGAGATCTAAAGAGACTTGCTCCAAATTGCTCCATGGGGCAGGCTTAGACTTGAATGTGAACCCAAATCTCCTGACTCCTAGCACAGGGCTCTTCCCCAGGCTCCTGGCTGCTGAGCTTTCTTGGTCCCTTTTTTTTTTTTTTTTTTTTTTCTGTTTCACATGGGCCCTGGGAGAACAGTGAGCTTCTCTTATTCATTTTTGTATTCCTAGTGCCTGGCGCTGACCATGTGTTCAGTTGACACATGGGACAGTCTGGGACTATTTTTTCAAAAGGCACAATGAATGGCAGTATATTGAATATGGAACACTTCCATTTTTGGCCACTCACCAAGCAAACTACTTTCTGTATCTGAGGAATTTCCCATCTTATGGGCCCCAGGTGGGTGATTAAGGCTTCACCAGTCACAAAACAAAACTCTCTTGGACCCCCACCCAAAAAGACAGGGTCTGGAGGGTTCTCTGTTGGGGTGGGGGCCTCACTGGTCCAATCCTGTGGTGTGAGTTTTGGGATTGTTCCTGTCCTCAAATCTCTAGACTTGGTTCTCCAGCCTTTCTGCCAACCACTTAATATCCTTTAATTAATTCCTTTTTCAGGAAATTACCCAGAGTTGGTATCTTAGTCTGTTCATGCTGCTGTAACAAAACACTGGAGACTGGGTGATTTATACGGAACAGAAATTTATTGCTCACAGTTCTGCAGGCTGGGGAAGCTCAAGATCAGAGTGCTGGCAGGTTTAGTGTCTGAGTAGGGCTTCCTTGGTGGCATATTCTCACAACCCCACCTCTTTTTTTTTTTTTTTTTTTTTTTTTTGAGACCGAGTCTTGCTCTGTTGCCCAGGCTGGAGTGCAGTGGTGCAATCTCAGCTCACTGCAAGCTCCGCCTCCCAGGTTCATGCCAGTCTCCTGCCTCAGCCTTCCGAGTAGCTGGGACTACAGGTGCCCGCCACCACACCTGGCTAATTTTTTGTATTTTTAGTAGAGACAGGATTTCACCATGTTAGCCAGGATGGTCTCGATCTCCTGACCTCGTGATCCACCCTCCTCAGCCTCCCAAATTGCTGGGATTACAGGCATGAGCCACCATGCCTGGCCCCGCAACCCCACCTCTTAATACCACATCATTGGTGATTAAGTTTCAACACAAGGACTTTGGGGAACATTCAGACCATACCAGTTGATTTCTGCGGCTTGCATTTAAAAACTCTGACTCTTATGTGTAGCAACTATTATGCTATATGCTACAAGTAACTGTCTTAAAAAGATCTTTTTGGCTGGGTGCGGTGGCTTACACCTGTAATCCCAGCACTTTGGGAGGCTGAGGCAGGCAGATCATCTGAGGTCGGGAGTTTGAAACCAGCCTGACCAACATGGAGAAACCCCATCTCTACTAAAAATACAAAATTAGCCAGGTATGGTGGCATATGCCTGTAATCCCAGCTACTCTGGAGGCTGAGGCAGGAGAATCGCTTGAAGCCGGGAGCTGGAGGTTGCGGTGAGCGGAGATTGTGCCATTGCACTCCAGCCTGGGCAACAAGAGTGAAACTCTGTCTCAAAAAAAAAAAAAAAAAAAAGAAAAAGAAAAATCTTTTCTCTGTCTCAGTTTCTTTATATTTAAGATGTGGAAAAGGTATGCCTCTCCTAAGCTCTGGAGGATAAAAGGGAAGTACATAGACAAAGAGAGGTGAAAAGGCTGGAAAATTAGCTTCAGAGAAAGACAGTTCAGCTGGAGCTATTTGGAATTGAATCTCACACCATATAGGACTTGCCTAATTGTTCAGAGGATTTCACACCCATATGTGGGGTGAATTGCTGCTTTGACCTTAAACATCAGAATCGTGCAACTGTTCAAACTGAATTAAGCTGCAGCCAGCATCAGCAGGTAGAGGTGAGTGTCTTTTGTCCTCTCAGCTGTTTGGCTGTTGGAAAGGTGTACTAGTTTCCTAGGGCAGCTGTAACAGATTGCTGCAGACCCAGTGGCATAAAACACCAGAAATGTATCCCCTCACAGTTCTGGAAGTCTGAAATCAAGGCATCAGCAGGGCTAGGCTCCCTCTGAACGCTCTAGGGAAGTATCCTTCCTTGGCTCTTCTAGCTCCTGGTAGCTCCTTGCAATCCTTGGTATTCCTTGGCTTACAAATGCATTTCTGCCTCTGTAGTCACATGGAATTCTCTGTGACTGTGTCTCTTCTTATGAGGACACCAGTGATTGGATTTAGAGCCCCCACCATGCTGGTAGTTAGAGCATTGGCTATAGAGCCAGGCTGCTAAGGGTCTGAATCCTGGCTCTGCCATTTATTAGCTGTGTGATTCTGGGCAAGTTACTTGATGTCTCTGAGCATCAGTTTCCTTTTCTGTAAAATGGGGATAATAATAATAATACTATACCTAATGCAAGAGTTGCTGTAAGGGTTAAATAAGCTAATATGTCAATGGTCTAGAAGAGCTGAATAAGAGTTTAACAAATGTTACTGTTCTTGTTATTTCTACCAATACATATTCATTGAGCACTTTCTATCTTCTAGACCCTGGCCTTGCAGCTTGAATACAGCATGGTCACCGGCATAGAAGGCAATAGTTATCCTGATTTACTTGGTATCTCTTAGTATCCAGCCCACTGCCTTGTTTGTGGAGGATGCTCAGGAAATATTTGTATATTAGTGGAGCGTTGGTGCTGATCTCCCCACTACGCTTTGGCTTCAGAACCTTGGAGCATGTATATATAACCTTCTATATTGACCCTCTTGTGAATCTGGGTGAATAGTGGTAGCTATAGTTTATGAGACTTTCCTTGTCACCTCTCCACGTAATGACCGAGAGCCCATCTCTGGGCCTTTGCATGGGCTG
The DNA here is from genome assembly GCF_000001405.40 of Homo sapiens. Taxonomy (NCBI): domain Eukaryota; kingdom Metazoa; phylum Chordata; class Mammalia; order Primates; family Hominidae; genus Homo; species Homo sapiens. Next base: position 20,001,591 of record NC_000016.10, read on the forward strand.
TTTCCTCTGCCTAGAACATACCACTCTCCAACTTCCCTTAGTTACCA